>NC_000023.11:113068760-113674979 GCF_000001405.40 Homo sapiens
CCTTATATATCAGGGTGCTCCAGTGTCACCATATGTGTGTGTGTGTGTATATATATATATGTAGATATATATATACACAATTATTATATCCTCTTGCTGAAATGATGCCCTTATCATTATATAATTCTCTTCTTTGTCTCTTTATTTATTTATTTATTTTGAAATCTATGGTGTCTGATATAAGTATAGCTACTGCTGCTTTTCTTTTTTTGGTTTCCATGGAATATCTTTTTCTATTTCTTTATTTTCTGTCTATGTATGTCTTCATAAGTGAAGTGTGTTTCTTGTAGGCAACAGATCTTTGGGTCTTTATTTTTTATTCATTCAGCCACTCTGTCTATTTAGTCCATTTACATTCAGCATTATTATTGATAAGTAAGGACTTACTCCTGCCATTTTGTTATTCTTTGTTTTCTGGTTGTTTTGTTGTCTCCTCTACTTTCTTTCCTTCCTTCCTGTCTTCTTTTTAGTGAAAGTGATTTTCTCTTTAGTATGTTTTAATTTCTTTCTTTTTATTTTTTATGTGCCTGGTTTGGATTTTTTGATTTGAAGTTACCATGAGATTTGCAAATAACATCTTATAACACGTTATTTTAAACTAATGACAACTTAACACTAATTGCATAAACAAACAAACAAACAACCAAAGAGGAAATTAATAAAACCTCTACACCTTAATCCCCCCAATTTTAACTTATTGTTGTTTCCATTTATATCTTATTGTTCTATGTCTTTAAAAATTGTTGTAGTTCTTATTTTTGATAGGTTCATCTTTTAGTCCTTCTACAGAAGATATGAGTAGTTTCTATATCACAATTACAGTGCTATAATATTTTGTGATTTTCTTTGTATGTACTGTTACCAGTGAGTTTTGTATCTTCAGGTGATTACTTATTGCCCATTATCATTCTTTCTTTTTAGATTAAAAAACTCCCTTTAGCATTTCTTGCAGGACAGATCTGATGTTAGGGAAATCCCTTAGGTTTTGTTTGTCTGGAAAAGTCTTTATTTCTCCTTGATGCTGGAAGGATAATTTTGCTGGTTATACAATTCTAGGATGAAAGATTTGTCCTTCAGCACTTTAAATATGTCATATCACTGTCTCCTAGCCTGTAAACTTTCAACTGAGATGTCTGCTGCCAGATGTATTGGAGCTACATTGTATGTTGTTTGTTTCTTTTCTCTTGCTGCTTTTAGGATCCTTTTTTAATTCTTGACCTTTGGCAGTTTGATTATTAAATGTCTTGTGGTAGTCTTCCTTGGGTTAAATCTCCTTGGTGTTCTATAACTTTCTTGAACTTGAATATTGATATCTTTCTCTAGGTATGGGATGTTCTCTGTTATAATCCCTTTCAATAAAATGTTTACCCATATTTCTTTTTCTACCTACTTTTTAAGGCCAGTACATCAGATTTCCCCTTTTATGGCTATATTCTAAATCATGTAGGCATGCTTTATTATTTTTTTAAATTTTGCTTCCTCTGAGTGTTTATTCAAATAGGCTGTCCTTCAAGCTCACTAATTCTTTCTTCTGTTTGATCAATTCTATTATTAAGAGACTTTGACACATTCTTTAGTATGTCATTTGCATTTTTCAGCTGCAGAATTTCTCCTTGATTCTTTTTAATTATTTTAATCTCTTTGTTAAATTTATCTGATAATTTTCTGATTTTGACTGGGCATGGTGGCTCATGCTTAAAATCCCAGCATTTTGGGAGGCCAAGGTGGGCAGAGCACTTGAGGCCAGAAGATTGAGACCAGCCTGGCCAACATGGTGAAACCTCATCTCCACTAAAAATACAAAAATTAGCTGGCCATGGTGGTGCACACCTGTAATCTCAGCTACTCAGGAGGCTGAAGCAGGAGAATTGCTTGAGCCCGGGAGGTGGAGGTTGCAGCGAACAGAGATTGTGCCACTGCACTCCAGCCTGGGCAACAGAGAGAGACTCTGTCTCAAGATAAATAAATAAAATAAAATAAGTTTCTGAATTTCTTCTCTGTGTTACCTTGAATTATGTTGAATTTTCTCAACACAGCTATTTTGAGTTTTCTGTTGAAGATCACCTATCTCTGTTTTTACAGGATTGATCCTTGGTACCTTACTTAGTTAATTTAGTGAGGTCATGTTTTATTGGATCATCTTGATGCTTGTGGATGTTTGTAGGTATCTGGGCATTGAAGAGTTAAGTCTATATTGTAGTCTTTGCAGCCTGGACTTGTTTGTACCCATCCTTCTTGGGAAGGCTTCCCAGGTATTAGAAGGGACTGGAGTGTTTTAATCTAAGTTTTTGGTCTTTGCAGCTGTATTTGCATTAGGGGTAACAATAAGCTCAGTAATGCTGTGTCTGTTATAGACTTGTAGAGGTAACTCCTTGGTGGTCTTGAATAAGTCCCAGAAGAATTCTCTGGATTACCAGGTGGAGACTTTTGTTCTCTTTCTTTACATTTTCCTTAACAGAGCTTCTCTCTGTGTGCTGGGCTGCCTGGAACTGGTGGAGGGGTGACACAAGCAGCCCTGTAGCCACCACCACTTAGACTACAGTAGGTCAGACCTGAAGCCAGTATAGTAGTGGGTTTTTCACAAGACCTGCTGTAACTACTGCCTGGCTACCACCTATGTAAGCCCCACTGCTCTACAATCAGTGGGTCACAAAGCCACTCAGATTTGTGTCCTTCCCTTCAGGATAGTGAGTTCCCTGCAAACCCCAGGTGGATCTAGAGATGTTATCCGGGAGCCAGGGCCTGGAGATGGAAACCTTAAGAATCTACCTGGTGCTCTGTTCTATTGCCACTGAGCTGGCACCCAGGGCACAAAACAAAGTCCTCCCCCCATCTTCCCTTCTCTTTCCACAAGCAGAAGAGTCTCTTCCTTTAGTCACAATCACTTTAGGTCCACAGTGAGTACTGCCTGGCTACCGTTGATTTTCACTCAAGACCCAAAGGCTCTTCAGTCAGTTTGTGGTAAATGTTGCCAGGCCTGAGACTCATGCTTCAGGAAAGTGGGCTCTCCTCTGGCTCAGGAAATGTCCAGAAATGCCATGCAAGAGGCAAGGCCTAGAATCAGGGACCCCAGAGCCTACTTGATGTTCTACCTGACTGTAGCTGAGCTGGTACCTAAGCTGCAGGACCATATCTCCTTACTTTTCCCTTTCTTTTTTCTAAAGCATGAGTCTCTTCCCATAGCCACCACAGCTAAGAATGTGCTGGGTCACATTTGAATCCAGTACACCTCTGAGTCTCACTAAATGCCCAAGGTGGAGTACGGCCTGGGTATCCCTGCTGATTATTTAGGGCCTAAAGGTTTTTTAGTCAGCAGGTGATGAATTGTGCCAGGATTGGATCCTTCACTTCAAGGCAGTAGGTTCCCTTGTGGCTTAGGGAGTATCTAGAAATGTCTGGGATCTAGGTCTTAGAATGGAAGCCTCAGAACCCTGCCTTGTGCCCTATGCTACTGTTGCTGAGCTGGTACACAAGATGCAAGACAAAGTCCTCGTTACCTTTACCTCTCCTCTCCTCAAGCAGAGGGATGGAGTCTCTCCCAGAGTTGCAAGCTGGGCCCCTTGGGGTTGGGAGAGGGGTAGCACAAGCACTCCCTTGGCTACCCCAGCTGGTGTCTTACTAGATTGCATTCCCATCCAGTCCACTTGCTCCAAGCCCAGCAAAGCAATAGGAATTGCCCAAGGATTGCAGTGCTTGTGGCCTAGACTGCCTTTCAAGTTTATTTCAGACCCCAGAACCCTTTAGCCTGTGGTGGTGAGGCTTTCAGGAAATGAGGTTCTGACTGCTAGGATGGATGATTCCCCTCTGGCTAGGGCTAGTCGAAGTGCTCCTTCTATGGGTGTTGGCCGAGTTCTGCCCAGTGTTTCTTTCCTCTGTGACATGGCAGAACTGAGTTTCAATGCAAAGTCCCACAATCACTGAGCTCTCCCTCCACCAAGTGCACAGAATCTTTCTCCGTGACACATGACCATTGCTGGGTGATGAGGGAGGGGTGGTGTCCATAATTTAAAACTGTCTTTCTGATCCTCTTTAGTCTGATTTCAGTGATATGAAGTTAAAAACCAGGTACTGTGAGTGCTTACCTGATTTTTTGGTTCTTATGAAGGTGCTTTTTTGTGTGAACATTTTTTCAATTTCATGTTTCTATGGGGAGGACCATTGGTGAAAGCTTCTATCTTGCTCTGCCTCCTGCCATATGAAAACAATTTTTGAAGACAGTCTTTTAACCTCTTGCATAAGACTTTCTCATGGAACACAATTTGGAAAGTGCTGCTCTGTTGCACTGGACTACTTGCAAATTCCAGAATATTTGTGTTTTACAGATGTTTTTTGCACAAGGTAGAAGATGGGTGCATCTGGTAAGTCATACTTAGAAGTAGAAATCCTACAATACCTTTTCCCCTCTTACTAACTCAGAAAACTTACATATTCATGTAAGCCTAGCTGCTCATGTTTAATCTTCTATAATACCTCTGTCATGCCTTACATTTTTCTGTAAGGCAGAATTAACTGATTGTTCCTTTATGTTGTCACAGTACATTGCTTATAGCCCTTTAATATTACTTCTCACATTTTGAGTGTCTGCCTGCCTTCCCTGGGTAGACATTGTGGGCTTCTTGAGGAAAGGGGTCATATCTTGTGCACTTTTCTATCTTGAGTGCCTAGCACAGTGCCAGGCATTTCAGAGGCATAGTCAGTTAACATTCATTAAATATACATAAAATCATTATCCCAATGTAAGTCCTTATGTAAAAAGACTGAACTATATACTACACACTAAGTGCTACTAGAATTCAAAAAATGAACTCAATGAGGAATGGAATAATTAAGAAAAGTTTCATAGAAGAAGTGAGTCATGAACTAGAATTTGAAAGATGAATAGGATTTGAGCAAGATAAACCCTCTAAATGAAGACAGTGGCAGAGGCAGTGCCAATCCTGGTATTTTAGTGGCCTAATAAGAGAAAATAGTGTATGCTGAGGAGTAGAAAAAGTTAAGGTTGAGTAGTTAGAATGATAACATCATAAAAAGCTTTGAATGCCAAGTATAATAGTTTAATGGCTGTTGATTAAAGGATTAAGTCAGGATGAAAGCAGAATTTAGCAGAGATTAAACAAAAACATGTATTCATTTAAATTAAGGTCTCTGTTCATTATTAGAGTCACCTACCCTTGTGTTTGCTCATTGATCTCTGCAATTTACATATATAAAGTATTAAATGTCATTTTTGAATTCATAACAGAAAATTTGTGATTTATAGATGAAGTGTTATCTTGAAAGCAGAATCTTTCTCCTTTTCCAAAATATCTTTTTTTCTTATAACATGTTTCTCTGTGGAACTATAAACATAGTCCTCATAAACTCAAGCACTAGAGGTGACCCTTGTTCCTGGGCATTAATCCAAGTTCTCTGGTTTTTACACCTTGAAATTTAGATGGAGTTATTTCAACCCATTGGAGAAAATCATTCCTAAGCAAAGAAGCAAAATTATTTTTTTAATTAGCATTCATTTTTCTTTAGTTCTAACTCATTAAAATAGTGTGAAATTAGTTTGAAGGCCATCATATTGAGTTTTTAGTATACCTATTGTCAAAAGATTTTTTTCCTCTTAATGAGATTGTAAGTTTCAGGAGAATATTTTAAATCTAATAATTGAATTTTGGATTGACTTATTTCAGGAATATATTTTGTAAACTTTTCTGAGTTCTATTAAATGAAGTTCTGAAACATTTTCAATCTAAGTTCCACTTTGTTGGAACAGGTGAATCCAAACCTGCTTGCTTATTTCTAAATCAAACTTCTAGTTTTGATATATCTTTAAAGTATATTATTAAGAAATTTTTCAATACTATAAATGAACAAGAATGGTCACAGAAGAAAAATTTAATGTGTACTTTACGTAGTTTTAAATTATAATATATATTAGAAATATAAGATAAACCTGTAGTGGTAATGTTTTTTCTTCGGACTTGTGTCTTTGGTTTGTTTAAGAACTTAATGTTATGTAAGAATATTTTTCATATTTTGCAATATTTTTCACTAATTCTGTTCAATATTGGAGATTTAATTATACATGATGCTTAAGACAGCAAGTAAAAGATTATGTGTTCAGTAATGTGTCCTTAAAATATCATCTTTCTAAGTAATTATTTAAATTTACTATTTTGAACATCAATGAATAATAAATTACCAACTTCAAATAAGACCCTGCTACATTCACATATATATATTTATTTACATAGGCACAGGTTTCTCCTTTATTGTGATCTACATGCTATTAATAATAAAAATATATTACTGACTGTATCATAGCTCATAAGAAATGAATGGTAAGCACATTATAATCATTGTTGAATTTATGTTAATTGAATATTTTGTGAGAATAGTACAGCTCAGTAAATACATTTCCAAGAATAACATATTAAGAACTTATGAGCTCTCTTAAGACACAATGAAGGTGCCTTTGTATACAATGAACATATTCAATATTACAGTGCTGTTGAAACTTCATTTCTGGCTTAGGAAACAGCAATTCCTTCCCAGTAATTACAAACTTGGTATAAAATCGCTATTTCAAAACTTTCCAAGTAATGAATTTTTTGACTCAATGAACAAACTTGGAATTGAAATTTTTATAATCTGACAATTGATAATTTCAACAGAGGTCTTGATAAAGTGTCTCAAAGAAAGTATTCATATGCAAATGTTGCAATTTAGCTTATTTGGATATTCATTGCTCTATTAATTTTATATCTAAGAAAATAAACTTGCTACACTTACTAAACAAAAATTAAACTTTACTTTGTCAGGAAGATGGTTTGTTGCCAACAAGAAAGCCCCTTCTGGACTATCATATTGAAAACAATTACTTTAGAGAAAATAAGTTGGAAAGAATCCTAATCCACTTAACCTTGTCTCACAAAGAGGAATTTATTCTTTTTTTTTCTCTTTTCTTTTTTGCTAAACTGCATCTGGAAGTGCTGAAGTTTCTTATTCATATGAAATGGGCAATTAGGGTTTCTCATTCAGTCACAAAACTAAAGATCAGAGATCTTCACCAATGTCTTGCCTCAAGCAGAGAAGTTGGATCAGTAATTTTCAAGTTTCTATTTGTGTGATAATATTACCCTTTAAATCAAAATGGCAAAAGTAACCTTAATTTTTTTAGATAATCATTTTAATACAGTTTAATACCTACCACTTGGAAGAAACATTAAAAATAAGCTGTTTTAAATAGTCTCAGTTACATAGTTCTTAATTTAAGGTATAACATATAGATGTACAATTTAGCCAGAGAAAAACAGTATTTCAACAAAATTAGGAGAAAATGTCCCCCCTGCATTATTATAAAATATAATTAGTTTCAAAATTATTTAAACCAAACTGGACATTTAAAGTATATTTTAAAAACATAGCTTTTGGCAATTAGGTAAGAAAAAAGATATAAAAGGCTTACAGATTGGAAAGGAAGAAGTAAAATTATCCCCATTCAAGCATGACATAATCTTATATAGAGAGAATCATTAAAATTATCCCCCAACACACAAAGCACTATAGCATTAATAAATGAGTTCAGCAAAGTTTCAGAATCCAAGATCAATATGCAAAATGTGTTGTATTTCTATACATTAACAATGAACAACCCAAAAGTGAAATGAAGAAAACAATTCTATTTACAATAGCATCAAAAAGAATAAAATACTTAAAAATAAATTTAAACAAGGAGATGTGAGATGTGTACACTGACCATTACAAAACATTATTGAAAGGAATTAAAGAACAATATAAATGGAGAGACAACTAATGTTCATGGATCGAAAGAGTCAATATTGCTAAAATGGCAAAATTGATATACAGATTAAATAAAATCGCTCTTAAAAATTCTAATTGCTTCTTTTGCAGAAACAAATGGGCTGATCCTAAAATTCACATAGAAATGGCAGGACCCCTGAATAGCCAAAACAATCTTGAGAAAGAACAAAATTGGAGGACTCACAGCTACAGCACTAAATACTGTGGTATTGCTATAAGAATAGACATTTATTTATTTATTTATTTATTTTTGAGACAGAGTCTTGCTCTGTCACCTAGGCTGGAGTGCAGTGGCACAATCTCAGCTCACTGAAACCTCTGCCTTCCAGGTTCAAGTGATTCTTCTGCTTCAGCCTCCTGAGTAGAAGGGATTACAGGTGTGTGCCATGATGCCAGGCTGATTTTTGTGTTTTTAGTAAAGACAGTGTTTTGCCATGTTGGCAAGGCTGGTCTCAAACCCCTGACTTCAAGTGATCCACCCACCTCAGCCTCCTAAAGTGCTGAGATTACAGGTGTGAGCCACCATGCCTGGCCAAGAGTAGAGATTTAGATCATTGGAATGGAATTGAGAATTCAGAAATAAACCCATATACCTATGGTCAATTAGTATTTGACAAGGGTGCCAAGCTCCTTCAATGGGCAAAGAATAGGCTTTTCAACAAATGATTCTGGGAAAACTGCATATTCACATGCTAAAGAATAATGTTGGATCATTACCTCACAACATGTACAAAAATTAGCTCAAAATGGATTATAGACCTAAATAAAATGGCTAAAACTATAAAATCTTTAGAAAGAAATTATAGGTAAAAATATTTGTTACCTTGAATTAGGCAATGGTTTCTTAAATATGACCCCAAAAGCACAAACAACAGAAGAAAAAAAAGATATATTAGACTTAATAAAAATTACAGACATTTGTGTATCAAAGCAGACTATCAGGGAAATGAAAAGATAATTCACAAAATAGGAGAAAACATTTGCAAATCATATTTGAAAAGGGCCTAGCATCCAAAATATATTTTAAAAGTTTTACAACCTGATAACAAAACACAAATAAATCAAATAAAAAATGAACATAGAGGTAGAAGAGACATTTTGCTAAAAAAAGATTCATAAATGGCCAAAAAGCACATGAAAAGATACTCAATATCACTAGTCATTAGGAAAATGTAGGTCAAAACCACAATCAGGTACCATGTCACGCCTATTTGGTTGTCTGTAACTTAACAATTTAGAAAATTACAAGCGTTGGTAAGGATGTAGAAAAATTGGAATTCTTGTATATTGGTAATGTAAAATGATTCAGCTGCTATGGAAACCAGTTTAGCAGTTTCTCAAAATTTTAAACATATAGTGACCATATGACCCAGTAATCTCACTTTTGGCTAAGTACCCAAGAAAATTGAAAACATATGTTCAAATAAATATATGTGCACAAACTTTTTTGCATCATTATTTATAATAGCCCCAAAGTAGAAACAACCCAAATGTCCATCCACTAATGAGTTGATAAACAAAATATGGCATATCTACACAATGGAATACTATTCAGCCATAAAATGAAATGAAGCACTGATCAACATGCTACAACATAAGATAACTCTTCAAAACATTATGCTAAGTAAAATAAGCTAGACAAAAAAGACCATAGACTATGATTCCATTTATATAAAGTATTCAGACTGAGCAGAACCATGGAGATAGAAAGTTGTTAGTGTTTGCCAGGGGTTAGAGAGAGGAGAGAATTGGAATTGACTACTACCAGGTATAGGGTTTCTTTTTATGGTGATGAAAATGTTCTGTTATTAGATAGTGATAATGGTGGGACAATATTTTGAATGTATATAATGGTTGCACATTATTGTAAATATATTAAAAACACTGAATTGTACACTTTAAGTTATTTAAATGGTAAATTTGTGTTGTGGAAATTTTATCTTAATAAAAACACTTGAAAAAATATTTTCTGGCTTTTACTGGTATTATGGAAATTCATTGAACTTAATCTCTAAACTACGAGGAGGCAAAGTCTAGAAAATGTTCATTAAATGTGATTCAAACAAATGTTATAAGGCAATCAAGGAAACCTAACTTTTGGAATGGCAATGTGAAGAGCTCAAAAAATTCCATGAAACGACATCTATTAAAGTAAAAATTAGCAAATACAGTCACCCAAAGTCTCTGAAGATTGACCAGAAGGTTTAAAATAAACAAGCTTTATTCAACAAAATCTATGAAAATGCTAAGAACACTGGGAGAGCATGAAATTTTACTCAGGAACTACACCCATATTCTTATACCTCTGCATTGTGGAAAAGTTTTTTAAGTAGATTTAACAGCCAAGAGGTATTTACTGTCTCTCTGACCTTTGATACCAATGGTGTCACTGGAGACCAAATGAAGAGTTTGGACTTCTACCACAACCTGGCAGTAATTAGGTTTTCCTCCCACTCCCAGCTGTGGTGCTATCAGAGGAGGCCTGGTGGAGAGTCAGTACGTTCACCCTCACCCAGAAATAATAAAATCACCCCCAAAGTGGTGTCATCAAAGACCACGTGGGGAGTTAGAACTTGCATCCTTATCCAGCAGTAATGAGGACACCCTTCAAGGATCAACAGATGTTGACTGGAGAACATGGACTCCTACTTTAACCTGGTAGTAACAAGGCAACATCACATCTCCAGCCAGAACCACGTCAAAGAAAAACAGCTAAAGTAGAAGATTTAAATAACACCCAGTGTTTCATAACATAATACAAAAATATGCATGTTTCAATAAAAAATTAGTCATCATATCAAAACCAGAATGATCTCAAACTGAGTGAAATACAATCAATTCATATCAACCTCAAGATGTTGACAGGTTAAAATTATTTCACAAAAATTTTAAATAAGCTGTCATAAATATACTTCAATGAAAAATGTCAAACATGCTTGAAACAAAATAATGGAAAGCCTCAGGGAAAAAAAAAACAGATAGTCTTGGAAATAATTAGAACATATATAAAGGAATCAAATGGAGATTTTAGGGATGAAAGTTATCATGACTTAATTAAAAAGTTCAGTAGATGGCCTCAACAGCAGAAGAGAGGGAACAGAAGATAGCATTAGTAAATAGAAAAATAGAACAGCAGATATTACCTTATCTGAAGAACAAAGAGAAAATAAACTGAAAAAAACTAGAACAGATCTACATGAACCTGTGGGATCATTCCTAAATCATTCTATGTGGCCAGGATCACCCTAAGACCAACACCAGGAAAGGACATAACTAAAAAAGAAAACTATAGACCAATATCCCAACGTAAACGCAAAAACCCTTAACAAAATACTAGCTAACTGAATCCAACAACATATCAAAAAGAGAATCCACCATGATCAAGTGGGTTTCATAGCAGGGATTCAGGGATGGCTTAACATACACAAGGTAATAAATGTGATACATCACATAAACAAAATTAAAAACAAACATCACATGATCATCTCAATAGATGCAGAAAAAGCTTTCAACAAAATCCAGCATTCCATTATGATTAAAACTCTCATCAAAATCAGCATACAAGGGACATACCTCAATATAATAAAAGCCATGTATGACAAACCCACAGCCAACATAATACTGAATGGGAAAAAGTTGAAAGCATTCCCTCTGAGAACTGGAGCAAGATAAGGATGCCCACTCTCACCATTCCTCTTCAACATAGTACTGGAAGTCCTAGCCAGAGCAATCAGACAAGAGAAAGAAATAAAGGGCATCCAAATCGGTAAAGAGGAAATCAAACTGTCACTGTTTGCTGATGATATGATTGTATACCTAGAGAACCCTAAAGACTCCTCCAGAAGGCTCCTAGAACTGATAAAAAACAATTCAGCAAAGTTTCTGGATACAAAATTGATGTACACAAATCAGTAACTCTTCTATACCCCAACGGCAACCAAGCTGAGAATCAAATAAAGAACTCAACCCCTTTTACAATAGCTGCAAAAAAAAAAAAAAAGGAATTTACATAACAAAGGAGGCAAAAGACCTCTACAAGGAAAATTACAAAACACTGCTGAAAGAAATAATAGGCAACACAAACAAATGGAAACACATCCCATGCTCATGGATGGGTAGAATCAATAATGTGAAAATGAGCATACTGTGAAAAGCAATCTACACAATCAATGCAATTCCCATCAAAATATCACCATCATTCTTCGCAGAACCAGAGAAAACAATCATAAAGTTCATATGAAACCAAATAAGAGCCTGCATAGGTAAAGCAAGACTAAGCAAAAAGAAGAAAGCTGGAGGCATCACATGACCTGACTTCAAACTATACTATAAGGCCATAGTCACCAAAACAACATGGTACTTGTATTAGTTTATTTTCATGCTGCTGATAAAGACATACCTGAGACTGGGCAATTTACAAGAGAAAGATGTTTAATGGACTTACAGTTCCACATGGCTGGGGAGGCCTCACAATCATGGCAGAAGGCAAGGAGGAGCAAGTCACATCTTAAGTGGATGGTGGGAGGTAAAGAGAGAGAGCTTGTGTAGGGAAACTCCTCCTTATAAAACCATCAGATCTCATGAGACTTATTCCCTATCATGAGAACAGCATGGGAAAGTCCTGCCCTCATGATTCAATCACCTCCTACTGGGTCCCTCCCACAACACATGGGAATTCAAGATGAGATTTTGGTGGAGACACAGCCAAACCATATCATTCTGCCCCTGGCCTCTTCCAAATCTCATGTCCTCACATTTCAAAACAAATTATGTGTTCCCAACAGTCCCCCAAAGTCTTAAATCATTTCAGCATTAACTCAGAAGTCCTTAGTCCAAAGTCTTATCTGAGACAAGGCAAGTTCTTTCTGCCTGTGAGCCTGTAAAATCAAAACAAGTTAGTTACTTCCTAGATACAATGGGGCTACAGGCATTGGGTAAATACAGCCATTCCAGATGGGATAAATTGGCCAAAACAAATGGGTCTGTTTTCTCTTTTTTCTTCAGATAAGGTAATATCTACTTTCTTATCTTCCTGTTTACTAATGCTATCTTCTGCCCCTGCAATTCTGCTGTTGAGGCCATCTACTGAACTTTTTAATTAAGTTACGGTAACTTTCTACTTTTTAAAAATTTTTTATTTCCGTAAGTTATTGGGGAACAGGTGGTGTTTGGTTACATGAGTAAGATCTTTAGTGGTGATTTGTGAGGTTTTGGTACACCCATCCTCCGAGCAGTATTCACTGCACACAATTCATAGTCTTTTATCCCTCACCCTTTTCCCACCCTTTCCCACTGAGTCCCCAAAGTCCATTGTGTCATTCTTATGCCTTTGCATCCTCACAGCTTAGCTCTCACTTATGAGTGAGAACATACAATGTTTGGTTTTCATTCCTGAATTACTTCATTTAGAATAGTCTCCAATCTCACCCAGGTTGCTGTGAATGCCATTAATTAATTCCTTTTCATGGCTGAGTACTATTCCATCATATATATATATAAAGAGAGTATATATGTATATGTGTATATATATACACATATACATATATACATGTTGTATATATGTATATTTTTATATATACATGTTGTATATATGTATATTTTTATATATACATATATATTTATATGTAGATATACATGTACATATATGTATATATACATATAAATTTATACATATATGTATATGTATATATGTGTGTGTGTATATATGTATATAATCACAGTTTATTTTCTACAAGAAATGCTAATGGAAATATTTCAATCAGAAAGAATAGAATGTTAATGAGCAATAACTAATTACCTGAAGGTATAAAACTCACTGGTAAGTAAACAGAAAAATACAGAATATTATAATACTGTAACTGTGGCATGTAAACTACTCTTTTCTTTTTTTTTTTTTTTTGAGATGGCGTCTCACTCTGTTGCCCAGGCTGGAGTGCCGTGGTGCGAGCTCGGCTCACTGCACGCTCCGCCTCCCGGGTTCATGCCATTCTCCTGCCTCAGCCTCCTGAGTAGCTGGGACTACAGGCACCCGCCACCATGCCTGGCTAATTTTTTGTTTTTTTTTTTTTTTTAGTAGAGACAGGATTTCACCGTGTTAGCCAGGATGGTCTCGATCTCCTGACCTCGTGATCTACCCTCCTCGGCCTCCCAAAGTGCTGGGATTACAGGCGTAAGCCACCGTGCCTGGCCAACTACTCTTATCCTAACTGGAAAGAGTAAGTGATGAACCAATAAAAAAGAACAACTGCAACAAGTTTGCAAGACATAGACAATACAATAAAATATAAATGGAAACAACAAAAGGTTTAAAAGTGGGAGGACAAAGTTAAGTCTCAGAATTTTTATTTGTCTTATTTTTGTTTGTTTGTTTATACAAACAATGTTAAGTTCTTATCAGGTCAAAATACAGGGTTGTAAGATTGTATTTGCAAGCTTCACAGTAACCTCAAACCAAAAACACAATGGACACACAAAAAATAAAAAGCAAGAAACTAAATTATACTACCAGAGAAAATCACTTTCACTAAAGGAAGATAGGAAGGCAAGAAAGAGAAGAGAACACCACAAAACACCCAGAAAACAAATAAAATGGCAGGAGTAAGTCCTTACTTATCAGTAATAACACTGAATGTAAATAGACTAAAATCTCCAATCTGAAGATATGGAGTAGCTGAATGGGTTAAAAAACAAGACCCATTAATCAGTTGCCTTCAAGAAACACACTTCAGGTAAAGACACACATACACTGAAAATAAAGGGATGGAAAAAGATATTCCAAGCAAATGGAAACCAAAAAAAGAGCGGGAGTTGCTATACTTATATCAGACAAAATACATCTGAGATAAAGTTGAAGTATACACTACTAAGCTAGAAAATATTTGTAAAACAACAAAAATAAATTCTTATTTCTTCAGAAATTTCAAAGGAAATGGTAACAAGTGGGATCAAGATCCTGAAGCATTTCTTTACAGAATTGTAACAGGAGATGAAACAGGGCTTTACCAGCATGATCTTAAAGACAAAACACAATCAAAGCAATGATTATGAAGAGGCAGAAGTGGTGCAGTCAAAGCTAAAGTGGGCCTGTGTAATGCAAATGTCACAGCAACAGTTTTTGGGATGCTCAGGGGATATTGCTAGTCGACTTTCTGGAGGGCCAAAGAACAATAGCATCTGTTTATTATGAGAGTGTTTTGAGAAAGTTAGCCAAAGTTTTAGAAGAAAAATGCCCAGGAAAGCTTCACCAGAGAGTCATTCTCCACCACGTAAATGTTCCTGCTCATTTATCTCATCAAACAAAAGCAATTTTATGAAAGTTTTGGTGGGAAATCATTAGGTATCCACCTCAAATTTCTGATTTGTCTATTTCTTACTTATTTTTGTTTTCTAATCTGAAAAAAATCTTTAAAAAGCACCAATTTTTCTTCAGTTAATAATGGAGAAGAAACACTGTGTTGACACAGTTAAACTCCCAGGATCCTCAGTTATTTTTTTGTTTTTAACTTTTAAGTTCAAGGGTACATGTGCAGGTTTGTTATATAGGTAAACTCGTGTCACGAGGTTTGTTGTACAGTTTATTATGTCACCCAGGTATTAAGCCTAATACCCATTAGTTATTTTCCTAATCCTCTCTTTTCTCCCACTCTCCACTTTCCAGTAGGTGCTAGTGTCTGTTGTTTCCCTTTATGTGTCCATGTGTTCTCATCATTTAGCTCAACTTATAAGTGAGAACATGTGGTATTTTGTTTTCTGTTCCTACATTAGTTTGCTAAGGATAATGGCCTGCACCTTCATCCATGTTCCTGCAAAGGATATGATTTTGTTCCTTTTTATGACTGCATAGTATTCCATGGTGCATATGTACCACATTTTCTTTATCCAGTCTATCATTGATGGGCATTTAGCTTGATTCCAGGTCTTTGCTATTAGGAATAGTGCCGCAATGAACATACACGTGCATGTGCCTTTATGGAAGAATGACTTATATTCCTTTGGGTTTATACTCAGTAAAAGGATTGCCTGATCAAATGGTCATTCTGTTTTTAGCTCTTTGAGGAACTGTCACACTTCTTTCCACAATGGTTGAACTGATTTACACTCCCATCAACAGTGTATAAGTGTTCCCTCTTCTCCACAGCCTCACTAGCATCTGTTATTTTTGGACTTTTTAGTAGTAGCCATTCTGACAGGTAAGAGAGGGTATCTCATAGTGGTTTGGATTTGCATTTATCTAATGCTCAGTGGTGTGTTTTTTGTCATATGCTTCTTTGCTACACATATGTCTCCTTTCAGAAAGTGTCTGTTCATGTCCTTTGCCCACTTTTTCATGGAGTGGTTTGTTATTTTCTTGTAAATTTGTGTAAGCTCCTTATAGATACTGGATATTAGACATTTGTCAGATGCATAGTTCGCAAATATTTTCTCCCATTCTGTAAGTTGTCTGCTTACTCTGTTGATAGTTTCTTTTGTGGCACAGAAGCTCTTTAATTAGATCCCATTTGTTAGGTTTTACTTTTGTTGTGATTCCGTTTGTTGTCTTTGTCATAAAATCTTTGCTCATTTCTATGTCCAGAATGGTATTGCCTAGGCTGTCTTCTAGGGTTTTTATGGTTTTGGGTTTTACATTTAAGTCTTTAATCCATCTTGAGTTGATTTTTGTGTGTTTTCTAAGAAACAGGTGTAGCTTCAATTTTTTGTATATGGCTAGCCAATTATCCCAGCACCATTTATTGAATAGGGAGTTCGTTCCCCATTGTGTGTTTTTGTCAGGTTTGTTGAAGATCAGATGGTTGTAGCTGTGTACCTTATTTCTGGGTTCTGTATTTTGTACCATTGGCACATGTGTCTGGTTTTGTACCAGTACCATGCTGTTTTGATTACTGTAGTCTTGTGGTATAGTCAGGTAGAATAATGCCTTCAGCCTTGTTCCTTTTGCTTAGGATTTCCTTGGCTCTTCTGGCTGTTTTCTGGTTCCATTTGATTTTTAAAATAGTTTTTCTTTCTAGTTATGTGAAGAATGCTTTTAGTAGTTTGATAGGAATAGTATTGAATCTATAAATTGCTTTGGTCAGTATGGCCATTTGAATGATATTGATTTTTCCTATCCATGAACATGAAATGTTCTTCCATTTGTTTGTGTCATCTCTGATTTCTTTGAGCAGTGTTTTGTAATTCTCATTGTAGAGATTTTTCACCTCCCTGATTAGCTATATTTCTAGGGGTTTGTGTGTGTGTGTGTGTGTGTGTGTGTGTGTGGCAATTGTGAGTGGGACTGCATTCCTGATTTGGCTCTCAACTTGACTATTGTTGGCGTATAAGGTTGTTAGTGATTTTTGCATGTTAATTTTGTATCTTGACACTTTACTGAAGTTGTTTATCAACTGAAGAAGCTTTTGGAACTAAACTATGGAGTTTTCTAGCTATAGAATTATGTCTTCTGTAAACAAAGATAGATTGACTTCCTCTCTTCTTATTTGGATGTGATTTATTTCTTTCTCTTGCCTGATTGCTCTGGCCAGGATTTCCAATACTATATTGAATAGGAGTGGTGAGAGACGCATCCTTGTCTTATGCCAGTTTTAAAGGGGAATGCTTCCAGCTTTTTGCCTATTTAGTATGATGTTGGCTCTGGGTTTGTCATAGGTGGCTCTTATTATTTCAAGGTATGTTCCTTCAATACCTAGTTTATTTAGAGTTTTTAACATGGAGGGCATTTATTGAATGCCATTTCTGCATCCATTAAGATAATTATGTGGTTTTTGTTTTTAGTTCTGTTAATGTGATGAATCACATTTATGAATTTGCATATGTTCAACCAACCTTGCATCCCAGGGATAAAGCCTCCTTGATCACAGTGGATTAGCTTTTTAACATGCTGCTCGATTTATTTTGCTAGTATTTTCTTTAGGTCTTTTGCATCAACGTTCATCAAGGATATTGGCCTAAAGTTTTCTTTATTTGTTGTGTCTCTGGTAGTTTTTTGTATTAGGATGATGCTGGCCACATAGAATGAGTTGGGGTGGATTCCCTCCTCCTCAATCTTTTTGGAATAGTATCAGTGGGAACAGTGTCAGCTCTTCTTTGTACATCAGGTAGAATTCATGTGTGAATCTGACTTGTCCTGGGCTTATTTTGGTTGGTAGTCTATTTATTGCTGGCCCAATTTTGGAGCTCATTATTAGTCTTTTCAGGGATTCAATTTCTTCATGGTTCAGCATTGGGATGCTGTATGTGTCCCAGGATTTATCCATTTCTTCTAGATTTTCTAGTTTGTGTACATAGAGGTATTCATAATATTCTCTGATGATTGTTTGTATTTCTGTGGGATCAGTGGTAATATTTCTTTTGTTATTTCTAATTGTTTTTATTTGGATCATTTCTCTTTTCTTTATTAGTCTAGCTACTTGGCTATCTATTTTATTATTTTTTTCAAAAATCCAACTCCTGGATTTGTTGATCTTTTGAATTTTTTTATGTCTTTAGGGATGAACTTAAATGCCTGGCATCATCACAAGAGTGTCTTGAACTTAATGGAGCTTATGCTCAGAAATAAAGTTATTTTATTTTTATCTTGTAATTCAAATTTTAATGAACTTTTTGAGGTCTCTTTGTATGTTTTATTTATCAAAAATGTTTAAAATCTAGTAGGAAGAATAAGGCATCTCTACAAAATATCATAGTACTTTAATTAGAAAGTATAAGAGACATCAAAGCACATGCATGGAACTACAGAGGAAGAGGAATGCATACCTATTGGTCAGGAGATCTTTGTGATGATTTCATTGACCCTGGAAGTTGAAGGATACATAGTATTCAATCTGAAAAATGAGAGTGGGGTTTTTATGAATTTGACACATCATGAGCAAAGATATAAAGATGAAAAGGTGAGAATCCTTTTCTACTTTTCAATTTTTCGCTAACAGTCTGTGTAATAGTATATGGATCCAGTAACTAGAAGACAAATGTTTGGAGATGAAGAAGATCATGGCGGATGGGAGGCGGGACTAGATTGCAGCTCCTGACAGAGCAGCATGCGGGGGCTTGCCTTGTGAATTTTAGCTCCAGATCGACTGCAAGAACAAACCAGCAATCCTGAGAAGACCCACAGACCCTCTGAAAGAAGCAGACTGCTCCTGTAGGACCCAGGGGACACCCCAAATACCGTGAGTGCCCCAGCTGAGGAAGTGGGAAAAGGAGACCCTCCTCTCCTGAACACACACCCCCACTGGAGAAACTTACGGTCTGTTTGCAGGAGCAGTTTCTGACTTTATCTGAAGTTGAGTCAAGTTATAGAGCTGAGAGAAATACAGGGGTAGAGGATGCAGCAGAAAGGCCCTGGAATCTCACTAGGTTTCCAAGCAGCCCATTCCTGCCTGGCACCACAGGGATCCATCTGGAGGGTGGCCAGAGGAGCAGGGGATAAAACTCCGCAGGCAGAAGTAATTCTCTAGCTGAAATTTGTAACAATTTAAATGGGGCAAGAAGCCTGGCCAGAACTTGGGGGAAGGGCATTAATCAGGTGTGCAGACTTCACAGGCAGGGGAAGAACCAAAGTCCTTTTCTTTTGCAGCTGGGAGGCAGATAACCTCCAGGAAATTTTCAAGCCTGTCTCACTCTCTGCCTGGAAACAGACTCAGGGTTGTTGCAGGGGGCACAGTGGGAGTGAGACCAGCCCTTCGGTTTGTATGGAAGCTGGGTGAGGCCTTGACTGCTGTGTTTCCCCCACTTCCCTCCGACAACCTGCATGACTTAGCAGAGGCAGGCATAATCCTCGTAGGTACACAACTCCAGTGACCTGGGAATCTCACCTCCATCCCCCACACCAGCCACAGCAAGACCCACCCAAAGAGAGTCTGAGCTTAGACACAACTAGTCCCGCCCCTACCTGATGGTCCTTCCCTATCCAACTTGGTAGCAGAAAACAACGGGCATAAAATCTTGGGAGTTCTAGGGCCCCACCCACCACCAGTCCCTCTTCACACTACAGCTGATGCTTTCTGGAAAGGGCCACCTCCTGGCAGAAGGCCAACCAGCACAAAATAGAGCATTAAACCACCAAAGCTAAGGAACCTCATGGAGTCCATTGTAGCCCTCTGCCACCTCCACCAGAAAGGCAAGGTATCTATGGCTGACAGACCCATAGATGGTTCACATCACAGGACTCTATGCAGGCAGCCCCCAGTATCAGGTAGACTCGCTGGGTGGCTAGACCCAGAAGAGAGACAACAATCACTGCAGTTCAGCTCACAAGAAGCCACATCCATAGGAAAAGAGGGAGAGTACTACATCAAGGGAACACCCTGAGGGACAAAAGAATCACAACAACAGCCTTCAGCCCTAGACCTTCGCTCTGACAGAGCCTATTCAAATGAGAAGGAGCCAGAAAACCAACACTAATAATATGACAAAACGAAGCTCTTCAACACCCCCCAAAAATCACAGTAGTTCACCAGCAATGGATCCAAACCAAGAAGAAATCCGTGATTTACCTGAAAAAAAAAAAAAAAAAAAAAAGTCAGAAGGTTAGTTATTAAGCTAATCAGGGAGGCACCAGAGAAAGGTGAAGCCCAATGCAAGGAAATCTAAATAATGATACAAGAAGTGAAGGGAGAAATATTCAGGGAAACAGATAGCTTAAAGAAAAAACAATCAAACTCAGGAAACATTGGACACACTTTTAGAAATTGGAAATTATCTGGAAAGTCTCAGCAATAGAACTGAACAAGTAGAAGAAAGAAATTCAGAGCTTGAAGACAAGGTCTTCAAATTAGCCCAATCAAACAAAGACAAAGAAAAAAGAAAAAGAAAATATGAACAAAGCCTCCAAGAAGTCTGGGATTACCCAAACCTAAGAATAGTTGGTATTCCTGAGGAAGAAGAGAATTCTAAAAGCTTGGAAAACATATTTGGGGGAATAATTGAGGAAAACTTCTCCAGTCTTGCTAGAGACCTAGACATCCAAATACAAGAAGCACAAAGAACACCTGGGAAATTCATCACAAAAAGATCTTCACCTAGGCACGTTGTCATCAGGTTATCCAAAGTTAAGATGAGGGAAAGACTCTTAAAAGCTATGAGACAGAAGTACCAGGTAACCTATAAAGGAAGACCTATCAGATTAACAGCAGATTTCTCAGCAGAAATCAAACAAGCTAGAAGGGATTGGGACCCTATCTTCAGCCTCATCAAACAACACAATTGTCAGCCAAGAATATTGTATCCGGTGAAACTAAGCATCAGATATGAAGGAAAGATACAGTCTTTTTAAGACAAACAAATGCTGAGAGAATTTGCCATTACCAAGCCACCACTACAAGAACTGCTAGAAGGAGCTCTAAATCTTGAATGAAATCCTGGAAACACATCAAAATAGAACCTCTTTAATGCATATATCACACTATAAAACAAAAGTACAAGTTAAAAAACAAAAACAAAAAAACAAAATGAAAGTACACAGGCAACAAACAGCATGATGAATGCAAGAGTACCTCACATTTCAATACTAACATTGAATGTAAATGACCTAAATGTTCCACTTAAAAGATACAGAACCACAGAATGGATAAGAACTCACCAACCATCTGCTGCCTTCAGGGGACTCACGTAACACATAAGCACTCACATAAACTTAAAGTAAAGGGGTGGAAAAAGGCATTTCATGCAAATGGAAAGCAAAAGTGAGCAGGGATAGCTATTCTTATATCAGACAAAAAAACTGTAAAGCAACAGAGGTTAAAAGAGAAAAAAAAGGGACATTATATAATCATAAAAGGCTTTGTCCAACAGGAAAATATCACAATCCTAAACACATATGGACCTAACACTTGAGCTCCCAAATTTATAAATTAATTAGTAACAGACCTAAGAAATGAGATAGGCAGCAACACAATAATAGTGGGAGACTTCAATACTCCACTGACAGCACTTGACAGGTCATCAAGACAGAAAGAAAACAAAGAAACAATGGATTTAAAGTATACCTTGTAACAAGGGGACTTAACAGATACGTACAGAATATTTCATCCAACAGCCACAGAGTACACATTCTATTCAACAGAACATGGAACTTTCTCCACGATAGGCCATAAAACAAGCCTCAATAAATTTAAGAAAATTGAAATTTTATCAAGCACTCTCTCAGACCACAGTGGAATAAAAGTGAAATAAACTCCAAAAGGAACCTTTAAAACCATGCAAATACACAGAAATTAAGTAACATGCCCCTGAATGAGCATTGGGTCAAAAACAAAATCAAGATGGAAATTAAAAAATTATTTGAACTAAATGACAATAATGACACAACCTCTCAAAACCTCTGGGATACAGCAAAGGCGGTGCTAAGAGGAAAGTTCATAGCCCTAAATGACTACATCAAAAAGTCTGAAAGAGCACAAACAAGCAATCTAAGGTCACACCTCAAGGAACCAGAGAAACAAGAACAGACCAAACCCAAACCCAGCAGAAGAAAGGAAATAACAAAGATCAGAGCAGAACTAAATGAAATTGAAACAAAAAAAAACCATAAATGATAAATGAAACAAAAAGCTGGCTCTTTGAAAAGATAAATAAAATTTATAGACCACTGGCAAAATTAACCAAGAAAAGAAGACAGAAAATCCAAATAACTTCACTAAGAAACAAAACAGGAGATATTACAACTGACACCACTGAAATACAAAAGATCATTCAAGGCTACTGTGAACACCTTTATGCACATAAACTAGAAAACCTAGAAGAAATGGATAAATTCCTGGAAAAATACAAGCCTCCTAGCTTGTATCAGGAATAATTACATACCCTGAACAGTCCAATAACAAGCAGTGAGTTGGAAACGGTAATTTAAAAATTACCAACAAAAAAAATCCAGGACCAGACAGATTCACAGCAGAGTTCTACCAGACATTCAAAGAAGAATTGGAAGCAATCCTTTTGACACTATTCCACAAGACAGAGAAAGAAGGAACACTCCCTAACTCATTCTATGAAGCCAGCATCACCAAAACCAGTTAAGTACATAACCAAAAAACAAAACTATAGACTGATATCCTTAATGAATGTAGATGCTAAAATCCTTAACCAAATACTATCTAACTGAATCCAACATCATATCAAAAAGATAATCTACCATGATCAAGTGGGTTTCATACCAGGGATGCAGGGATGGTTTAACATGTACAAGTCAATAAATGTGATACACCACATAAAGAGAATTAAAAACAAAAATCACATGATAATGTCAATAGGTGTTGAAAAAGCATTCAACAAAATGGAGCATCCCTTTATGATCAAAACCCTCAGCAAAATCGGCATACAAGGGACATACCTCAATGTAATAAAAGCCATCTATGACAAACTCACAGCCAACATAATACTGAATGAGGAAAAGTTGAAAGCATTCCCTCTGAGAACTGGAACAAGACAGGATGCCCATTCTCAGCACTCCTCTTCAACATAGTAATGGAAGTCCTAGCAAGAGCAATCAGACAAGAGAAAAAAATGAAGGGCATCCAAATCGGTAAAGAAGAAGTGAAACTGTCACTGTGTGCTGATGATATGATCGTTTCCCTTGAAAACCCTAAGGACTCCTCCAGAAAGCTCCTAGAACTAATAAAAGAATTCACCAGTTTCCAGATACAAGATTAATGTACACAAATTAGTAACTCTTCTATACACCAACAGTGACCAAGTAGAGAATCAAATAAAGAACTCAACCCATTTTACGATAGCTGCAAAAAAAAAAAAAAAATACTTAGGAATATACCTAACAAAGGAGTTGAAGGACCTTTACGAGGAAAACTATAAAACACTGCTAAAAGAAATCATAGATGATGCAAACAAATGGAAACACATTCCATGCTCATGGATGGGTAGAATCAATATTGTGAAAATGACCATACTGCCAAAAGCAATCTACAAATTCAATGCAATCTCCATCAAAATACCACCATCATTCTTCACAGAATTAGAAAAAAAATTCTAAAATTCATATGAAACTAAAAAAGAGTCCACATAGCCAAAGTAAGACTAAGCAAAAAGAACAAATCTGGAGGCATCACACTATTTGATTTCAAATTATACTCTAAGGCCATAGTCACAAAAACAGCATAGTACTGGTATAAAAATAGTCACATAGAACAATGGAACAGAACCCAGAAGTAAACTCAAATACTTACAGCCAACCGAATTTCCACAAAGCAAACAAAAACATAAAGTGGGGAAAGGACACCCTATTCAAAAAATGGTGCTGGGATAATTGGCTAGCCACATGTATAAGAATGAAACTGGATCCTCATCTCTCACCTTATACAAAAATAAATTCAAGATGGATTAAGGACTTAAACCTAAGACCTGAAACTCTAAAAATTCTAGAAGACAACATTGGAAAAAACCCTTATAGACATTGGCTTAGGCAAGGATTTCATGACCAAGAACCCAAAAGCAAATACAATAAAAACAAAGAGAAATATTGGGACCTAATTAAACTAAAGAGCTTTTGCACAGTGAAAGGAACAGTCAGCAGAGTAAAGAGACAACTCACAGACGGGGAGAAAATCTTCACAATCTGTATATCTGACAAAGGACTAATATCCAGAATCTACAACGAACTGAAACACATCAGTAAGAAAAAAACAATCTCATCAAAAAGTGGGCTAAGGATATTAGTAGACAATTGTCAAATGAAGGTATACAAATGGCAAACAAACATTTGAAAAAATGCTCAACATCAGTAATGATCAGGGAAATGCAAATCAAAACCACAATGTGATACCACTTTACTCCTGCAAGAATTACCATAATCAAAAAATCAAAAAACAGTAGATGTTGGCATGGATGAGGTGAACAGGGACCACTTTTCCATTGCTGTTGGGAATTTAAGCTAGCAGAGCCACTATGGAAAACAGTGTGGAGATTCCTTAAAGAACTAAAAGTAGAACTACCATTTGATCCAGCAATGCTACTACTGGATATCTACCCAGAGGAAAAGAAGTCATTATTTGAAAAAGGTAACTTGCACATGCATGTTTATAACAGCACAATTCACAATTGCAAAATCGTGGAACCAACCCGAATGCCCATCAATCAATGAGAAGATAAAATGAATGTGGTATATATATATATATATGTATATGTATATATGTGTATATATGTGTATATATGTATATATATGTATATATGTATATATATATGTATATATATGTATATATGTATATATGTATATATATGTATATATATGTATATATGTATATATGTATATATATGTATATATATGTATATATGTATATATGTATATATATGTATATATATGTATATATGTATATATATGTGTATATATATATATATAGTGGAATACTATTCAGCCATAAAAATGAATTAATAGCATTTACAGTGACCTGGATGAGATTGAAGACTGTTATTCCAAGTGAAATAACTCAGGAATTGTAAACCAAATATTGTACGTTTCTCACTATATACAAAAATTAACTCAAAATGGACTAAAAACTGAAACTATAAATCTGCTAAAGGAAAAAATCGGGGAAATGTTTCTTGACGTTGGACTGAGCAATAATATTTTGGATAAGACCTTAAAAAGGTGACAAAAGCAAAAATAGGCAAATGAAAATACATCAAGTTAAAAAGCTTCTATACAGCAATGGAAAAAGTCAACAGAGTGAAGAAACAATATGCAGAATGAGAGAAAACATTTGCAAATTATGTGTCTAACAAGTGGTTAATACCAGAATATATAAGAAACTCAAACAACTTAATAGCAAAAATAAATTTGATTTAAAAATGGGCAAAAGACGTTTCTTAAAAGAAAACATGCAAAGCGGCAACAGATATATGAAAAAATGCTCAGTATCACTAACCATCAGGGAATTGCCAATCAAACCCACAGTGAGTTATCACCTCACCTCAATTAGAATGGTTATTATCAAAATGACAAAAGATAACAAATGCTAGTTAATGTGTAGAGAAAAGAGAAGACTTAATACACTGTTGGTGGGTATGTAAATTAGTGTAGCTATCAGGAAATCTGTATATGGGTTCCTCAAAATATTAAAAAGAGAACTACCATTTGATCCAACAATCATATATGCATATATGCAAAGGAAATGAAATCAGTATGTCAAAGAGATGTACGCAGCCAAGTTTGGTGGCTCACAACTGTAATCCCAGCACTTTGGGAGGCTGAGGCAGGTGGATCACCTGAGTTCAGGAGTTTGAAACCAGACTGGGCAACATGGTGAAACCCCACCTCTACAAAAAACATAGCCAGACATGGCGGTGTGCAACTGTAATGCTGGCTACTTGTGGGGCTAAGGTGGGGGGATTGCTTGGGCTGGGATGTCAAGGCTGCGGTGAGCCATGTTTGCACCTCTGCACTCCAGCCTGTGTGACGAAATGAGACCTTGTCTCAAAACAAAACAAAACAAAACAAAAGAGCTATCTGCACTCCCGTGTTTCTTGCAGCACTATTTATAATAGTCAAAATATGGAATCAACCTATGTGTCCATCAACAAATGAATGAATAAAGAAAATGTCACATACACACACAATGGAATACTACTCAGTCATAAAAAGAATGAAATATTGTCGTTCATGGCAACATGGATGGACTTTAAAGACATTATGTTAGGTGAAATAAGCCAGGCACAAAAAGCCAAATACTGCATGATCCTACTCATATGTGGAATCTAAGAAAATTGATTTCAATAATCAGAGAGTAGAAAAGTGACTATTGTAGACTGGGTAGTGGAGGGAGAAGGGGAATAGGGAAAGATTGGTGAACAGGTACAAAATTATAGTTAAAGAGGAGGAATAAGTTTTGGTGTTCTATCATGCAGTAGGGTTACTACAGTATACAATATTGTATTTTATATTTCAAAATAGCCAGAAGGGAGGATTATGAATGTTCTTACCACACAAAAATTATAAATGTTTGTAGCAGAGAGGGTGGAGTAAGATGGATGAAGAGAAGCATCCACCAATCATCCCCCTCACAGGAACACCAAATTTTCATCTCCTCCCAGGTAAAATGGCTTTTATTCTAAAGACAGGCAATAACAAATGCTGGCGAGGATGTTGATAAAAGGGAGCCCTTGTTCACTGTTGGTGGGAATGTAAATTAGTACAGCCACTGAGAGAACAGTTTGGAAGTTCCTCAAAAAACTAAAAATAGAGCTAACTTACAATGCAGCAATCCTACTGCTGGGTATATACCCAAAAGAAAGGAAATTAGTGTATCAAAGACATACCTGCACTCCCAAGTTTATTGCAGCACCATTCACAACAGCCAAGATTTGGAGGCAATGTAAGTGTCTATTAACAGATGAATGAAGAAAATGTGGTACTTATACACAATGGAGTACTATTCAGCCATAAAAAAGAGTGACATCTTGTCATTTGCAACAATATATATGGAACTGAAGGTCATTATTAAGTGAAATAAATGAAATAAGCCAGGCACAGGAAAACAAACATTGCATGTTGTCACTTATTTGTGGATCTAAAAGTTAAAATAACTGAACTCATGGAGATAGAGAGTAGAACAATATTTAGTAGAGCCTGGGGAGGGTAGTGGGGGGGGTAGAGGAAAGCGAAGATGATTAATGGGTACAAAAATTCATTAGAAAGAATAACATTTAATATTTGATTGCAAAACAGAGGGTCTATAGTCAATAATAATTTAATTGTACATTTTCAAACAACTAAAATAGTATAATGGGAATATTTGTAACACAAATGATAAATGCTTGAGGGGATGGATACTGCATTTACCATGATGTGATTATTATGCTTTCAATGCCTGTATCAAAACATCTCATGTACTCCATAAATATGTACACCTAGTATGTTTCCAAGAAAATTAAAAATTAAAATAAAAAAGTCCTCAGTGATGCATATGCTACATACTGTATTTTGTTGGTTACACAATGTATACCTGTATCAAAACATCACTTTGTATCCCATAAATATGTAAAATTAGTATGTCAATTAAAAATAAAACATTAAAAAATATGAAACAAGATTTAACTGATTCAAAAGACTACTCCAAATGTAAAATTTTAAACCATAACTTCTTTTCTCAAGTTTTCTACCTCTCCCTCTAAGCAACCGTTATCCTCACTGAGAATACTAATGCTTGCCTTTCTTTGTTCTACCTTATTCACCACTTTTTCTCAGCATTTCATTATTTTTGCCTTTGTTATTACTTTTAATTGATACATAACAATTGTACATATTTATGGGATACAGTGTGATATTTCTATACATGCATACAATGTATGATGATAAAATCTGTGTAATTAGCATATCAGTTACTTCAAACATTTATTATTTCTTTGTGTTGGAAACATTCCACATCTGCTCTTTCCTGCTATTTGAAAATAAACAATAAAATGTCATTAATTCCAGTCAGCTTGTGGTACTATAGACCAGTAGAATTTATTCCTCATGTCTAGATGTACTTTTATGTCCATTAACCAACCTTTTCAGCCACTTTAAATATCACATACTTCTCTGCCAAGTATGAATACTCCTATTGGCACTCAAACCCTGTGTCTTCTTATTTCCCTTACCTCTCCTACTCTCCTATGCATATGCATACCTAGGTCAGTCCAATCATCCTTTTTTTTTTTTTTTTTTGCCTCTCCTCTCAATTTGTCCGGTCCTTGAGTTGCTTGTGATGATTACATTGTAAAACAATCTGACATCACTAAATATGTATTGTTTCACCTTTCTTCAGCTGACAGTATTGGTTAGCAATCTTTTTCTTTTTCCTTTTTTTTTTTTAATCTAGAGAGAGAGAAAAATTTATTTTAAGAAATTGGGTTAGGTGTGGTGGCTCACGCCTATAATCTCAGCACTTTGGAAGGCTGGGGCAGGAGGATCACTTGAGCCCAGTTGTTTGAGACCAGCCTGGGCAACAAGGTGGGACCTTGTCTCTACAAATTTTTTTTTTAATTAGCTGGGCATGGTGCTATGCACCTGTAGTCTCAGCTACTCAGGAAGCTGAGGTGAGAGGATCGCTTGAGCACAGGAGCCTAAGGCTGCAGTGAGCCATGATAGCACGACTGCTCTCCAGCCTGGATAACAAAGACCCTGTCTCGAAAAAAAAAAAAAAAAGAAAAAGAAAAGAAAAGAAAGAAAGAAAGAAAAAGAAAAGAAAAGAAAAATAAATTAATAAATTGGATCACACAATTGTGGGGGCTGGCAAGTCTAAAATCCATAGGAGAAGCTGGAGATTTAGGTAAGAGTTGATGTGGTATTGAGTCTAAAGGTAATTGGGAAAGGATTGATTATTTAATAAATGGTGTGGGATGGCTGGCTAGTTAACATGTAGAAGAACGAAACTGCACCCCTACTTTTCACCATATACAAAAATTGACTTAAGATGAATTAAAGATTTAAATGTAAGTCTTTAAACTATAAGAATCCCATAAGAGGACTTAGGAAACACCATTCTGGACAGAGGCATATTTTTGAGACAGGCATATTTTGTGTTTCAGTCTGGAGTTAGTGTTCTTTCTTCAGTAAGCTTCAGTTTTTGCTCTTAAGATTTTCAACTGACTCAATGAGGACTGTGAACATTATTAAAGGTAGCCAACTTTACTCAAAGTCTACTGATATTAGAGGTTAATCACATATTAAAATACAATTACAGCAATATCTAGACTAGTGTTTGTTAAAACAACTGGACGCTGTAGTCTAACCAAGTTGACATATAAAATTAATTATCTTGGGGCTCACACAGGTATACTCTTCAGTGTCATCCTGGATAAAACACAAATGGTCAGAGAGGTCATAGTTCATTCTTGTGAAAAGGGCATGGGATTCAGCCTCAGCTGCCTGCCCTCTGAAGGTTGTCCCTACCTCCTTATCAATATATCTGTATTTGCTGAACTTTGGGAATGAATAAGGTTAACCCAACCAAGCAATATAAATGTTTCTGACTGATTTACATATTTTGACATTTCTCATGAAGCAGATTTTTTTTTGTTTTCTTGTAGTGCTTTTTGTTTTAGTTTATTATTTTTATTTTTAAAGTAATTTTAACTTTTATTTTAGATCCAGAGGGTACATGTGCAGGTTTGTTACATGGGTATATTGCATGATGCTGAGGATTGGGCTACAAATCATCCCATCACCCAGATAGTGAATGTAGTATCCAACAGTTAGTTTTTCAACCCTTTACCCGCTCCTTCATTCCCCCCCAATTAGTCCCCAGTATCTATTCTTGCAATATTTATGTCCATGAGTACACATTGTTTAACTCCAACTTATAAGTGAGAACATGCTGCATGTGGTTTTCTCTTCCTGTGTTAATTTGCTTGGGATAATGGCCTCCAACTGCGTCTATGTTCTTGCAAAAGACATCATCAGTGTATGTGCCTTTGGATATGAACCCAGTAATGCAATTGCTAGGTCAAAGAGTAGTTCTGTTTCCAGTTCGTTGAAACGCCTCCAGACTGCTTTCCACAGTGGCTGAACTAATTTACATTCCCACCAACAGTGTATAAGCATTCCCGTTTTTCAGCAGCCTCGCCAGCATCTGTTGTTTTTTTTGACTTTTTAATAATCATCATTCTGACTGGTGTGAGATGGTATTTCCCTTTGGTTTTGATTTGCATTTCTCTGCTGATTAGTGATGCTGAGCATTTTTTCGTATGTTTGATGGCCACTTGTATGTCTTCTTTTGAGAAGTGTCTGTTCCAGTTGTTTGCCCACTTTTTAATGCAGTTATTTGTTTTTTGCTCATTGAATTGTTCCTTATAGATTCTAGATATTAGACCTTTGTCAGAGGCAGAGTTTGTGACTATCCTCTTGCATTCTGTAGATTGTCTGTTTATTCTGTTGATAGTTTCTTTTGCTGTGCAGAAGCTCTTTAGTTTAATGAGGTCTCACTTGTCAATTTTTGTTTTCATTGCAATTGCTTTTGAGGACTTAGTCATAAATTTTTTGCCAAGGCCAATGTTCAGAATAGTGTTTCCTGGGTTCTCTTCTAGGATTCTTAGAGTTTAATTTCTTATATTTAAATCTTTAATTCATCTGGAGTTGATTTTTGTATACGGTGAAAGGTAGGGGTCCAGTTTCATTCTTCTGCATACAATTAGCAAGCCATCCCAGTACCATTTATTAAATTATGAGTCCTTTCCCCATTGCTTATTTTTGTCAAAAATCAGATGGTTGTAGGTGTGAGGCTTTACTTCTGGGTTCTCTATTTTGTTACATTGGTCTATGTGTCTGTTTTTGTACCAAGTACCATGCTGTTGTGTTTACTGTGGCCTTGTACAGTTTGAAGTCAGGTAATGTGATGCCTCTGGCTTTGTTCTTTTTGCTTAGAATTGCTTTGGCTATTCCCGCTCTTTTTTTCATTCCATATGAATCATAGAGTGTTTTTTTAATCATTCTGTGAAAAATGGCATTGGTTGTGTGCTAGGAATAACGTTGAATCTGTAGATTGCTTTTGGCAGTGTGGTCATTTTAATGATATTGATTCTTTCAATTCGAGCATGGAATGCTTCTCCATTTGTTTGTATCATCTATGATTTCTTTCAGCAATGTTTTGTAGTTCTCCTTGTAGAGCTCTTTCATCTCCATGGTTAGATGTAGTCTTAGGTATTTTATTTTTTGGTAGCTATTGTAAGTGAGATTTCATTCTTGATTTGGCTCTCAGAATGAATGTCATTGGAGAATAGAAATGCTACCGATTTTTATACATTGATTTTTTATCCTGAAACTTTACTGAAGTCATTTATCAGTTCCAGAAGACTTTGGCAGAGTCTTTAGTGTTTTCTAAGTACAGAATCATATACTCAGTGAAGAGAGGTAATTTTACTTCCTCTCTTCCTATTTTGATGCCTTTTATTTCTTTCTCTTGCCTGGTTTCTCTGGCAAGGACTTCTAATAGTATGTTAAATGGGAGTGGTGAAAGCGGGCATCCTTGTCTTGTTCCTTTTCTCAAGGGGAATGCTTCCAGCTTTTGCCCTTTCAGTATGATGTTGGCTGTGGATTTGTCCTAGATGGTGCTTATTTTGAGACAGATTCCTTTGATGCCTAGTTTGTTGAGGATTTTTATCACGAAGGAATGTTGGATTTTATCAAAGTTTCTTTTTGCATCTATTGAAATGATCATATGGTATGTTTTTAATTCTGTTTATATGATGAATCATATTTATTGATTTGGATATGTTAAACCAACCCTACATCCAAAGCCTACTTGATCATGTTGAATTAGCCTTTTGAAGTGTTTCTGCATTCGGTTTGCTAGTATTTTGTGGAGAATTTTTGCGTCTATGTTCATCAGGGATATTGGCCTGTAGTTTTATTTTTTCATTGCTTCTTTGCCAGATGTTGGAATCAGGGTGAGGCAGGTTTTGTGGAATGAGTTAATGAGTACCTCCTGTTCAATTTTTAGAAATAGTTCAGTAGACTAGGTAACAGCTCTTTGCATGTATGGTAGAATTCACCTCTGAATCTATCTCGTCTGGGGCTTTTTTCGTTCATGGGGTTTTTGTTACTGATACAATTTCAGAACTTGATATTCATCTGTTAAGGGTTTTAATTTCTTCCTGATTCAATCTTTTGAGGTTGTGTGTTTCCAGGAATGTTTCCATTTCCTCTAGATTTTCTGTTTGTGTGTATAAAGGTGTTTACAATAGTCTGTGAGGATGTTTTGTATTTTGGTAGGATCAATTGTAATGTCACATTTGTTGTTTCTGATTGTGTTTATTTGTATCTTCTCTCTTTTTTTGTTAATCTAGCTAGCAGTCTAATGATCTTATTTCAGAAAACAACTTTTGGTTTTGTTGATTCTTTATATGGATTCTTGGGTCTTAGTTTTGTTCAGTTCCACTTTGATTAAGTTATTTCTTTTCTTCTGCTTGCTTTTGGGTCACTTTGTTCTTGTTTTTCTAGTTTTCTAAGTGTGATGTTACATTGTGAACTTGAGATCTTTCTAACTTTTTTACGTAGGCATTTAGCTCTATTCACTTTCTCTTAGCCCTGCTTCTGCTGCATCCCAGGTATTTTGGTATGTCATATCTCTGTTTTCATTTATTTCAAAGAATTTTTTATTTCTGCCTTAATTTCATTATTTATGCAAAAGTCATTTAGGAGCAAGTTATTTAATTTCCATGTAATTTTGTGGTTTGGGGAGACATTCTTGGTATTGATTTCTATTTTTATTCTACTGTGATATGAGAGTATGTTTGGTATGATTTCAGTTTTTTGAATTTATTGAGACTTGCTTTCTGGCTAAGCATGTGGTCAGTCTTTGAATATGTTCCATGTAAAGATGAGAAAAATATATATTCTCTGATTGGTGGGTGGAATGTTCTGTAGATGTCTGTTAGGTCCAATTGACCAAATGTTGAATTTAAGTCCAGAATTTCTTTGTTGGTTTCTCATGTTGGAAATCTGTCTAACACTGTCAGTGGGGTTTTGAAGTCTGCAACTATTATGGTGTGGCTGTCTAAGTCTTTTTGTAGGTCAAGAAGTAGTTGTTTTATGAATCTGGGTGCTCCAGTGTTGGTGCATATATATTTAAGATAGTTAATTCTTCTTGTTGAAGTGAACTCGTTATCATTATGTAATGCCCTTCTTTGTCCATGTTTACTATCATTGGTTTAAAATCTGTTTTATCTTATATAAGAATAGCAACCCCTGGTCTTTTTTTATTTTCCATTTGCATGATAGATCTCTCTATAACCCTTTACTTTTAGCCTATGGGTGTCATTATATGAGAGATGGATCTCTTGAAGACAGCAGAAGGATGGGTCTTGTTTATATATCCGACTTGCAAATCTGTGCCTTTTAAATGGAGGCATTTAGACTATTTACATTCAGGGTTAATAATATGTGAAGCTTTGATCAAATCATGAAGTTGTTAGCTGCTTGCTTTTTAGATTCTATTGCGTGGTAGCTTTATAGAGTCTGTGGGCTATGTACTTAAGTGTGTTTTTGTGGTAGCAGCTATTCTTTTATTTTCATGTTTAGAATTCCCTTAAGGATCTTTCATAAGGCTGGTCTAGGGGTAACAAATTCCCTTAGCACTTGCATGTCTGTACAAGGTTTCATCTCCCCACTTATGAAGCTTAGTTTGACAGAATATCAAATTCTTTGTTGGAATTTCTTTTCTTTAAGAAAGCTGAAAATAGGTCCACAATCTCTCCAGGCTTGTAAGGTTGCTACTGAGAAGTCTGCTGTTAGCTTGACAGGGTTCCCTTTGTATGTGGTGTGACTTATTACCTTGCTGCCTTTAAGATTTTTTTCTTTATCATTGACCTTGGACAGTCTGGTGACTATATGCCTTGGTGATGTCATTTTACATAGTATATTGCAGGTGCTAGATTTCTTGTATCTGGATATTTACCTCTCTAGTAAGATTAGTGAAATTTTCTTTGATTATTCTCTCAAGTATGTTTTCTAGATTGTTTACTTTTTCTCTTTCTTTCTCAGGAATGCCAATAATTTGTAGGTTTAGTCACTCACTTTACATAATTTCATATTCCTCAAAGACTGTTTTTTTTTTTCTTTCTTTCTTTTTTTTTTTTTTTTTTGAGATGGAGTCTTGCACTGTTGCCCAGGCTGGAATGCAGTGGCGTGACCTTGGCTCACTGCAACCTCCACCTCCTGGGTTCAAGCGATTTCTCCCGCCTCAGCCTCCTTAGTAGCTGGGATTACAGGCGCCTGCCACCACGCCCAGCTAATTTTTGTATTTTTAGTAGAGACGGGGTTTCACCATGTTGGCCAGGCTGGTCTCGAACTCCTGACCTCAGGTGATCGACCCACCTTGGCCTCCCAAAGTTCTGGGATTACAGACGTGAGCCACTGCACCCGGCTGTATTTTGAAAATTTTTAAGGCAGCTCTTCAATTCAAGAAACTGATTTATTTCTATTTAAAGTGTTTATCTCTTCCTTCATTTTCTGGATTGACTTAGAAGTTTCTTTGTGTTGATTTCCAAACTTGTCTTGGATATTGTTGAGCTTCCTTACAATCCATGCTTTGAATTTTTTATCTGTCATTTTTGAGTTCCATTTTGGTTAGGGACTATTGCTAGAGAGCTAGTATGATCCTTTGGTGGTATCACTGTCTCTACAATCAGATTTTCCATGGTGCCAGAATTCTAGAAATTTTTTTTGTCCTTAGCGATCTTTCTTTTCAAGTCTTCAAGATTGCTGTTTCAAAACATCACTTTGTTCAGGACCTTATTTCCTCCCACCCCTATCATGTCAATATATTCAAATTATTTAAACTCTTGCACCATAGAAGACAAAGGACCTCAGTTATTTTCCCTCTCCTTTCTACAAATTTATGTACAGTTCTACCTACCTGATTCCTTTCCAAGGCTGATCTGTGCCCTTTATCCTATTTCCTCTGCACAACCCAGCCATCCCATCTCTTCACCAGGATCTCAATTTGTCAATTTTCAAATCTCTCTGCTGTACTCCTACCCTTCTTCCTCTACTTGTCGTTTCCTTTCAGCCAGCGAAGAAGTTCAAGTTGTTCACCTTCAGACCCCAATAAATAAAGCAAGCAAAGAAAATAGTAATCCTTTGTTTGACCCAGCTTCTCCCTTAGGCTGCAGCCTTCATTTCTCTAACACACTTCTTAAGGGAGCATTCTATATTTACTTCATTACTTTTGACTCATGCCATAACTTGCTGAAATTTTTTCACTTTGTCACATATTCTGAAAACATACTAGCTTGAGATTTATCTGAATTGACAAGTACAAATACTTCTGGGGAAGCTGGGGAAAGGAGAATGAGTATCATTATTTATTCCCATTGTTTTGTGACAATTTCAATTGGATTGAGTACTTATAATACTGTGCAGCTCTTTTGAGATCATGTCATTCTTTTATAAGTGGGCAGCAATAATTTTGGTAGTTAAGGCTCTTAGAAGAGTAAAAAAATCTAAGTGAAATTCCGCACTGGTGGTGATGAGGTATTTATTGGAGCACTTAGAGTGCATTATGAGGGTGGAGGTCCCTGTGTGATGACTTTAAAAAGGCTTATCACACAAAATGACAGAAAGGCAAATGAAAGGAGATGTGAAGGCCTTAAAGAAAAGTTGTTCTTATTTAGCAGCTTGCCTCAGTACAATTGCAACAAACAGTTAAACCAATGCAGTGCCACAGGGTCAAAGGTACTATGTTTTTGTGGATTTTGTAAAATAATTTTTCCTCATTTCTGGTGCAGTGGGCTTATCAGAGAGGTAAAAGTTGAGAGTTAAAAGGTGTTTGGAAATTATGAAATAATTGTCCTCATTCCGTACTTCTGCTCAGAGGTCATAAACATTAGATGTTTTTCCTCAGGTAAATTGTGAAACACTAGAAATGTGTAATCAAAAACATTTTGGGGACTCTAGGAAAGTCACCTAAAATAGGGATTGAACACACTTGACATTATTAAAACTTTGACATAGTAAACAGTAAGCTTTCCCTTCATCTCCTTTGGTTCAGTGTTTGAGGTGGGGCTGAGGATTAAATTAAACAAATACAGATTAATAGAAGAAAAGGTGCACAGTTTTTATTATTATTTACAGGGATGGGAGTTCACATAAAAGAAGTAAAAGTCAAACAAGCAGCTAGATTTGGGGACCTATATATCCTTAAAAAAAAAAAAGAAAGGTGGTTTGCTCTTTAAGGGATGACAAATCGTTGGGAAGTGACTAGGAAAAATATGGAGAAACTAATAGAAGGTAGTGCTCTTTTGGAAAGGTCTTTTAATGCAAACTCATCTTGGTATTAACTCCCTGTCTTTTTTCTTCTTTTTTTGGTAAAGGCGGAGACACCTTCATGAGGAGAAATTTAATGCCCTCCTTTTAGGTAGATAAGGGGAGAGAAGAGGCATCTTCTTGCATCTGTTGATTCTCAATTGCATTCAGCTCAAAATAATTCTTATGCCAATGTGGTGTATTATGGGGTGGCATATCCTGATCCTCTTCAATACCAAAGCTCATTATTTTTTGACAAATAGGTAACAATTTATTAGAGATTTAAAAATCCTAATATGTTTAATTCAGCATGAAAATGGAAAGATTAAAATAAGTTTAGCATATCATTTTGATATATTAAAGTCTAGGAAAAAGCTTGGGTTTCCCCAAGCTTTTTTTTCTTTTTTTTTATAAGATGAATGAAAGTGAGGGTGAGAGAGAAGGTAATAGATAAAATATAGAAATGGAGCCAGGTGTATAGAGATGCATTGAATGAACTCTTTGTGGTAGGTGAATGCCAGAGTGCCAGGCTGCTGGGCAGAGCTTGTGAGTATGGAAGCTCCTAGGATGTAAATCAAAGGAAAGACTTTTCTTGGGGGAGACAGCAATGAATTATTTCATCCCTTTTGAAATTTGTTTTGGAGTAAGCTCTTCATTTGAGAACCCAGAGTATTTCTATGAATATTGAAGAAGGCTTCCATTTCTTCTTTTGTTCATTCATCCTTTCTCTCTTCTTCTATCAATGTCTCCTCCTCCCCTTCTGTCCATTTAATATATTATGCTTCAGATGTAGGTGGCATAAATAATATAAAAATGCTCCCTTTGAAAAGCAAAGAGCCTTGGTGAGATGGCTTTTCCTGTCCTTCCTGCTATTTATGCATCTGTAAGAAATGCAAAATTCTTAGTTTGACTGTCAGAGTTTGGTTTAGACATCTTTGATGACTTCTTCATCATTTTGGTAAGGTAAAATACTGTAATTATTCTAAAAAGTGTGATTCTTTTAGTATATACATTGTCTCATATTATCTAGCATTGTTCCGGAAAAGGCACTGCTAAAGTGGCTCATCATCGATTGCCAATAGCTTAACTAACTTTACTATTTGACTTTACCCTCTGATCACAATAGTGTCAAGGCACTAAGCTGACTATTCACACTCTAAACACTTTGTTAACACAGCCAAGCCAATTTCCTTAGTTTTGCTCCTGCCCGCAAGATCAGTCAAGACTTGTGTTTCCAAACATGTGTAATGAATGTGTATGTCTTTTTTCATTGAATATAATTTGTCTTTTTTCATTGAATATAATTTGTCTTTTTCTTTCTTTTCACTATAACGACAACAACAGTAACAAAAGATCCACAGATGAAAGGGGTTTCTTATTTCTCTGAGATCTGTCAGGTTAAAGTCATAGTTAGGTCTATTCATGTGAATGTGTTTTATTCTTCCTCTTTAACCCAATCCATTCACAAGCCATTGTATTTAGGGATTGATTGGAGGTGGAACCGACGGCAAAAAGGCAGGTCACAACTCGTTCATGTTTCCCTTGCAGATGATAGTTGTCTGTAGATACAGCCTGAGTGGCTTTATTGTTTAAGATAAGGCAATGGAGCTGGGCGCAGTGGTTAATGCCTGTAGAACCAGCTACTCTGGAAGCTGAGGCAGGAGAATCACTTGAGGCCATGAGTTTCAGGCACTAGTATCATTCTTGTGAATAACCACTTCACTCCAGACTGGGCAGCATAGTGAGACCCTGGCTCTAATTAAATGAACAAATAAACAAAATGATAGGGCAGTAAATGTTCTTCAAATTCAGACATTTTTTAGATTTAAATTTAAACTTTGTATATGTGAAATATATATTGGATGGAGAAATGTTAAATTAAAGAGAAGCAATGTAAAATAGTATTTAGGAGTGTAGATCTGGGTTCATAACCCACTTTCCACTTGCCAACTCTGACAATGGGCTAACCTGTTTGTGTTTTAGTTTTCCATCTATTAATGGAAATAATAATTATGCCTATGTCATAAGGTTGTGAGATTTGATGAGAAACTATATAAAACATGTGGCACATTATTAATGATCAACAAATGTTTATTATTGTTTTTGTATCATTATTTTAAAAGCTCTTTCCCAGCTCATCGTTATATGTTTTCATCTAGTACTTTTATATTTTCAATTTAAAAAGTGTTTAATTTGTTAACTCAGTGATTGTCAGCCCTTTTGATGTCAGAACCCCTTTATACTCTTAACATTATTGAGGACTCCCCAAGAACTTTTGTTTACATAGGTTATGTCATATTTGAGATTGAAGTTGAGAAATTTGAAAAACTATCCATTTATTTAAAAATAATATTAAATCATATTTTTACATATATTACATATTAAAATACACATTTTATTAAAAGTATCTATCTTTTCCAAAACAAAGATAAATTTAGTGAGAAGAGGTCATTATTTTACACTTTTGCAAATCTCTACAATGTCTGGCTTAATAGAAGACACATCAGGTAGCCTCTGGAAAACTCCATGGTACACATGTGACAGAATAAAAATTAAAATGACAAATAATGCCTTAATATTTTTATGGCAATTGTCTTTATTTTGCAGACTTTCTGCAAGAGTCTCAATAACCTCCAGTTGTTCTCAGGCCACACATTGAGAACAACAGGTTTAACTCAATAAGCGTATGACATAGGATGTTCTTTTTCTAAATATCCTAGCTCCAGATATTGGAGTCCTAATCGTTAGGGCTCTTGCTCCACTCCAGATACGAAATGTTACCATTATTATTTGCTCAATGTAAGATAAAACATATACATGGTTTGTTTCTGAGCTTTCTGATCTCTTTTGTATTGGTTATCTTTTTGCATTAGAACTATCCTTTAACTACTTTAAGTTTATATAATTTTAATGTCAGCAGTATAAATTTCACTTCCAATTCTCTCTTCAAGTCATTGTAGTAGGATTCTTTTTATCTCCAAGACTCTACTGAAACAGCTCTTATCAGGGCCATCAATTATCTATATATTGCCAAAGCCAATGGCCAATTTTCTGTTATTATCTTAACCTTTCAAATGCATTTGCCATGACTGACCATTTCTTCCTTTTTGAAGCATTTTCTTCTCTTGGATTCCATGACACTACACTTACCTGGTTTCTTCCTACCACACTGATAGTACTTTTGGAGTCTGATTTGCTTGATCATACTCTCCTATATGACTTATAACTGTTAAATATTTAAGCTCTATTTTAGGCCTTCTTCTCTGTCATCATTGTCTCCTTGGGCATTGCAAGCAGTCACAGAACTTCCAATTCCATTTAAAGGCCAACGACTCTCAAATTCACATCTTTAAAGAATAGTCAAGATAATTATAAAGAAAAACAACAAAGCTGTAGAAATACAGTATCAGATATTAGGACTTTCATGCGCGTCCATGTGAAGAGACCACCAAACAGGCTTTGTGTGAGCAACAAGGCTGTTTATTTCACCTGGGTGCATGCAGGTGGGCTGAGTCCGAAAAGAGGGTCAGTGAAGGGAGATAAGGGTGGGGCCGTTTTATAGGATTTGGGTAGGTAAAGGAAAAAGGGGCGTTGTTCTCTGGCAGGCAGGGGTGGGGGTCACAAGGTACTGAGTGGGGGAGCTTTTTGAGCCAGGAAAAGGACTTTCACAAGGTAATGTCATCACTTAAGGCAAGAACCGGCCATTTTCACTTCTTTTGTGGTGGAATGTCATCAGTTAAGGCGGGGCAGGGCATTTTCACTTCTTTTGTGATTCTTCAGTTACTTCAGGCCATCTGGGCGTATATGTGCAAGTCACAGGGGATGCGATGGCTTGGCTTGGGCTCAGAGGCCTGACATTCCTGCCTTCTTATATTAATAAGAAAAATAAAACAAAACAGTGTTGAAGTGTTGGGGCGGCGAAAATTTTTGTGAGGTGGTATGGAGAGAGAATGGGTGATGTTTCTCAGGGCTGCTTCAAGCGGGATTAGGGGCGGCGTGGGAACCTAGAGTGGGAGGGATTAAGCTGAAGGGAGGTCTTGTGGTAAGGGGTGATATTGTGGGGTTGTTAGAAGAAACATTTGTCATTTAGAATTATTGGTGATGGCCTGGATATGGTTTTGTATGAATTGAAAAACTAAATGGAATAAGAGAAGGAGAAAAACAGGTATTAAAGGTCTAAGAATTGGGAGGACCCAGGACATCTAATTAGAGAGTGCCTAAGGAGATTCAGCATAGTCCTGCCAGCAAAGATTATTTATTTACTTTAAGAGTTAAGAGTGGCGGTTTGGGGATAGCACCAGGAGATATCAGCTGTGATGGCTTGGAGAAACAGTGTAAACCGGCAGTGTAAACAAGAGCAGGGCATGTATGAGTCGTTGAGAACGGTGAATAGGAGTATGACTAGACAGAAGATAGTAGGGATGACAAGTTTTTTGGGGCACAGTCCAACTTGGTTTGGTGTCTGGAATGAGACTGGGGCCTAATAAAAAGGAGCGTCCAAACAGGAGCTCAAACGGGCTGTACCCTGTGGCATTCCAAGGACAGGCCTGAATTCTGAGAAGGGAAAGTGGTAAAAGTATTGTCCAGTCCTTTTTAAGTTGGTGGCTGAGCTTGGTGAGGTGTGTTTTTTAAAGACCATTAGTCCGTTCTACCTTTCCTGAAGACTGAGGACCGTAAGGGATATAAAGGTTTAACTGAATACCAAGAGCCTGAAAAACTGCTTGGCTGATTTGACTAATAAAGGCTGGTCCGTTATCAGACTGTATAGAGGTGGGAAGGCCAAACTGAGGAATTATATCTGACAGAAGGGAAGAAATGACCGCAGTGGCCTTCTCAGATCCTGTAGGAAAGGCCTCTACCCATCCAGTGAAAGTGTCCACCCAGACTAAGAGGTATTTTAGTTTTCTGACTTGGGGCATATTGAGTAAAGCCAATTTGCCAGTCCTAGGCGGGGGCAAATCCCCGAGCTTGATGTGTAGGGAAGGGAGGGGGCCTGAATAATCCATGAAGAGTAGTAGAATAGCAGATGGAACACTGAGAAGTTATTTCCTTGAGGATAGATTTCCACGATGGAAAGGAAATGAGAGGTTCTAAGAGGCGGGCTAGTGGCTAGTACTATAGCATAGTCTGCCTTTGCTGGTGAGTGGTGATTAGGCCTGGTGGAACTGCCATCAATAAACCAAATGTGATGAGGGTGAGAAACAGGGAAGAAGGAAATGTGGGGAAATGGGGTGAACGTCAGGTGGATCAGAGAGATGCAGTCATGAGGGTCAGGTGTGGTATCTGGAATAATGTGGGAGACCGGATTGAAGTCCGGGCCGAGAACAATGGTAATTGTGGGACTCAACAAAGAGTGGGTACAACTGAAGGAGCCGGGGGAGCAGAAAGTATAAGTGTCAGGTGTGAGGAAGAAAATAGATTTTGGAAATTATGAGAACTGTAGAAAGTGAGTTGAGCATAGTTTGTGATTTTGAGGGCCTCTAAAAGTATTAGAGCAGTGGCAGCTGCTGCACGCAGACATGAGGGCTAGGCTAAAACAGTAAGGTCAAGTTGTTTGGACAGAAAGGCTACAGGGTGTGGTCCCGGCTCTTGTGTAAGAATTCTGACCACACTAACCATGCCTAGGAAGGAAAGGAGTTGTTGTTTTGTAAGGGATTGAGGTTTGGGAGATTAGTCAGACACAATCAGCAGGGAAAGCACGTGTGTTTTTGTGAGAATTATGCCGAGATAGGTAACAGATGAGGATGAAATTTGGGCTTGACTGAAGTAATGGGGGCTGTCTGTGAAGCCTTGCGGCAGTATAGCCCAGGTAATTTGCTGAGCCTAATGGGTGTCAGGGTCAGTCCAAGTGAAAGCAAAGAGAGGCTGGGATGAAGGGTGCAAAGGAATAGTAAAGAAAGCATGTTTGAGATCCAGAAAAGAATAATGGGTTGTAGAAGGAGGTATTGAGGATAGGAGAGTATATGGGTTTGGCACCACGGGGGTGGATAGGCAAAACAATTTGGTTGATAAGGCACAGATCCTGAACTAACCTATAAGACTTGTCTGGTTTTAGGACAGGTGAAATAGGGGAATGGTAAGGAGAGTATATAGGCTTTAAAAGGCCATGCTGTAGCAAGTGAGTGATAACAGGCTTTAATCCTTTTAAAGCGTGCTGTGGGATGGGATATTAACATTGAGCAGGGTAAGAGTGATTAGGCTTTAATGGGATGGTAATGGGCATGTGATCAGTTGCCAGGGAAGGAGTAGAGATGTCCCATACTTGTGGGTTAAGGTGGGGGGATATGAGAAGAAGATGCAAAGGAGGCTTTGGGTTGGGGAGAAGGGTGGCAATGAGATGCAGCTGTAGTCCGGGAATAGTCAGGGAAGCAGATAATTTAGTTAAAGTGTCTCAGCCTAACAAGGGAACTGGGCAGGTGGGGATAACTAAAAAGGAGTGCTTCAAAGAGTATTGTCTAAGTTGGCACCAGAGTTTGGGAGTTTTAAGAGGTTTAGAAGCCTGGCCGTCAATACCCACAACAGTTATGGAGGCAAGGGAAACAGGCCCTTGAAAAGAAGGTAATGTGGAGTGGGTAGCCTCCATATTGACTAAGAAGGAGATGGACTTACCCTCCACTGTGAGAGTTACTCAGAGTATTTGTGATGGTCCTGTAGGCTTCCGAGGCGATCGGGCAGCGTCAGTCTTCAGCTGCTAAGCCGAGAAGATCTGGGAAGGAGTCAGTCGGAGAGCCTTGGGCCAGAGTTCCAGGGGCTCTGGAAGTGGCTGCCAGGTGAGTTGAACAGTCCAATTTTCAGTGGGGTCCCGCACAGATGGGACATGGCTTAGGAGGAATCCCGGGCTGTGGGCATTCCTTGGCCCAGTGGTCAGATTTCCGGCACTTGTGGCAAGCTCCTGGGGGAGGAGGTTCAGGCGTTTGGAGTTCTTGTGTGCTGGAGATGTGGCTGGGGTTTGTCTCACAGTGGAGGCAAGGAATTGCAACTCAGAAATACATTGCTACTTGGCTGCCTCTACTTTATTATTGCACACCTTGAAGGCGGGGTTAATTAAGTCCTGTTGTGGGGTTTGAGGGCCGGAATTTAATTTTTGGAGCTTTATTTCATGTTGGGAGCAGATTGGGTAAAAAAAATAAAATGCATATTGAGAATAAGACGGCCTTCTGACCTTTCAGGGTCTAGGGCTGTAAAGCGTCTCAGGGTTGCTGCCAAATGAGCCATGAACTGGGCTGGGTTTTTCATATTTGATGAAAAAAAGCCTAAATGCTAACTGATTTTGGGAGAGGTCGGATAAAGAAAAAGGAGCGTTAACCTTGACTGTGCCTTTAGCTCCAGCCACCTTTTTAAGAGGAAATTGCTGGGCAGGTGGGGGAAGACTAGTCGAGGAACAAAACTGTAAGCTGGACCCGGTGTGAGGAATGGAGGTGATAAAAGGATTATAGGGTGGGGAGCAGAGGCTGAAGAAGAACTGGGACCTGGCTCGGCCTGGCGAGGAGGTCAGATGGGTCTGTAGAAAAGGAAGATTAGAAAGACTCAGCGACATTTGGAGTTGTGACTGAGGGGACAGGCAGGAGGGAAAGAAGGAGGATTTGGGACGAGTTGCCTTGGGAACAGAGACTAGGGAGGGACTGATGTGTAAAAGAATGCCTGGACGTCAGGCACCTCAGACCATTTGCCTATTTTACGACAAGAATTATTTAGATCTTGTAGGATGGAAAAATTGAAAGTGCCATTTTCTTGCTATTTGGAACCACTGTTGAGTTTGTATTTTGGTCAAGCAGCACTGCAGAAGAAAATAAGGCATTTAGGTTTTAGGTCAGGTGAGAGTTGAGAGGTTTTAAGTTCTTAAGAACACAGGCTAAGGGAGAAGAAGGAGGAATGGAGGGTGGAAGGTTGCCTATAGTGAAGGAGGCAAGTTTAAAGAAAAGGGAGAGTAAAGACATGGAGGGAAGGGGTTCAGGGGTTCTTACCTTCCAGAAAAGCAGGAAAGGGGTCGGGGCATGGAAATAAGGGGTTGGGGCACAGAGATAAGAAGTCGGGGTGCAGAAATAAGGGATCGGGGCACAGAGCGGGGTGTGGAAATAAAGGATCGGGGGGTTCTTGCCCCCAGAAAAGCAGAGAAGGGGTAGAGACACAGAGAGAAGGGGTTGGGGGGTTCTTGTCCCCCAGAACAGTGGAGAAGGGGTAGAGACATGGAGAGAAGGGGTTGGGGGGTTCTTGCCCCCCAGAAAAGCGGTACTTGCTGCTAAGGGTGAAGGACCAAGGCAGGCGTCCCCGCGTGGTCAGACACCTCTGAAACGTGGGTAATAATCAGGCAGTTGTCCCCGTGTGATTAAACACCAAGGGAAGACTGTCTTCCCAAGTCCGTGACCGGCGCCAGAGTTTTGGGTCCACGGATAAAACGTGTCTCCTGTCTCTACCAGAAAAGGAAAGGAATTGAAATTAAGAGAAGGGAGAGATTGAAGGGTGGCACCAAGATTGAAAGGAGAAAGTGGTTGAGGGAGAGTGAGAGAGGTTGGAGAAGAGAGTAAGAAGAGGCCGCTTACCCGATTTAAAATCGGTGAGATGTTCCTTGGGCTGGTGGGTCTGAGGACCCGAGGTCATAGATGGATCTTTTTCACGGAGCAAAGAGCCGGAGGACAGGGGATTGATCTCCCAAGGGAGGTCCTCCGATCCGAATCACGACACCAAATTTCATGTGCGTCCGTGTGAAGACACCACCAAACAGGCTTTGTGTGAGCAACAAGGCTGTTTATTTCACCTGGGTGCAGGTGGGCTGAGTCCGAAAAGAGGGTCAGTGAAGGGAGATAGGGGTGGGGCCGTTTTATAGGATTTGGGTAGGTAAAGGAAAAAGGGGCGTTGTTCTCTGGCAGGCAGAAGTGGGAGTCACAAGGTACTGAGTGGGGGAGCTTTTTGAGCCAGGATGAGCCAGGAAAAGGACTTTCACAAGGTAATGTCATCACTTAAGGCAAGGACCGGCCATTTTCATTTCTTTTGTGGTGGAATGTCATCAGTTAAGGCGGGGCAGGGCATTTTCACTTCTTTTGTGATTCTTCAGTTACTTCAGGCCATCTGGGCGTATATGTGCAAGTCACAGGGGATGCGATGACTTGGCTTGGGCTCAGAGGCCTGACAAGGACCTATTATAAAACTGTAGTTAAAAACTGTACTGATTAAACTAAGTATAAGAATGGATAAACTATCAAATGGAACAGAATTCAGTGAAAAACAACAACAATACTTTCCTTATATAAAGTCACCTGATTCATGACAAAATGAAACTGTAGTGCATTAGGGGTAAGATGCTCTTTTGAATAAATGGTGTTAGCTCAATCAGATATCCAAGTGGGAAAAACTGAATCTTGACTCTTACCTTACACCATACACAAAAATCAATTCCAGATGTATTATAGGTGAAATATAAATCAGTGAAAGATTTTAGAGGAAACCATGATAAAATATCTTTTTTATCTTGAAGTAGGCAAAGATTTCTTAAAGAAGCTAACCAGAAAAAAATGACAAATTGTACTACATTAAAATTTATAACTTTTATCAAAAAATCCATTCAGAGAATTAAGAATTAACTCACTAAATGGGAGATATTTGTGAGACAACGTAACTAACAAATGACTATTAATAAGAATATATAAATAACTCTCACAAATTAATAGAGTGCTAAAAATAGAAAAATGGGCAAAAGATTTAAACAGATATTTTACAATAGAGGATATCCGATGACCAATAAAAATAAGAAAAGTTACTCAACTTCATTAGTCACTAGAGAATGCAAATCAAAATCACAATACAATACCAAATAACCAGTAGAATGACCTAAAGTCAACAAGAACGACAACAACAACAACAGGAAAAAAAAAAAAAAAGGTCTGGTAAGAATATAGAGCACTAATGTTTTCTAACTACGCTAGCAAAGGTGTCAATTCCCATCTTAGTTTATTTTGTCCTCCTATAATAGAATACCACAGACTGGGTTATTTATAAAGAACAGAAATGTGTTTGCTCAGCCTTATCTATTTGGATGTGGTTAAAAAAATTTCAACCAAAGACAGGCACCTAAACCTGAAAGGGGTATGGGTGTCTTGAGTTTTACAGGTGCTATTGTTAGGACTCCTTCAATTACTGGCTATTCTTTCTATGCTGCTTATTTACAACCCAGTTATTGAATTCTTAGAGCTAAGTAAATCATTTTTTTTAGTTGAAAAATAACAAATATATTTGCTCCCAGTTGCGGAGGCTGAGAAGTCCAATATTAAGGACTGGTGCCTGGTGAAGGCTTTCTTGCTGTGTCATTTCATGGCAGAAGGGCAAAGAGGCAAAGGGGATGAGAGAGGGAGAGAGAGACAGAGCAAGAGAAGATTGAACTAATTCTTTTGTAAGGAACCTGCTCTCATGGTAACAAAATTAGTCCATTCATGAGGGCAGAGCTCTCATGGCCTAATCATCTGCCATTAGGCCCAGCCTCCCAGCACTGTTGCATTGGGGATTGTTTCTGTGGGGACACAGGCTTTCTGTGGGGACACATTCAAACCATAGCAATTGATATAATCACTTCGAAAAACTGTTTAATAGTACAGTGGTGGAATATGTTCTATGTTCTATGACCCCCAGTGGATGCCAGGTAACATGGATAGAACTGTATCCTATGTATACTATATATACTATGTTTTTTCCTATATGTACATGCCTATGACAAAGTTTAATTTATAAATTAAGCATAGTAAGAGATTAAAAGCAATAACTAATAATAAAATAGAACAGTTATAGCAATATACTGTAATAAAAGTTATGTGAATGTCGTCTCTCTCAAAATATCTTATTGTACTATACTCATCCTTTTATTTCTTGTGATGATGTGAGATGATAAAATGCCTACATTATTATCAGATGAAGTGGAGTGAATGATGTAGGTATTTTGACATAGCATTAGGCTACTATTGAATTTCTAACAATACATTACAAGAAGGTTTGACTGCTTTGGGTGATACTGAGTTATCGAACGATCATGGTGTTGATGGTTGGATGTCAGGAGCAGATGTCAATGGCTAACAGGCAGATAGCAACTATAGCTTGTATATGCTGGACAAAGGGATGATTCACATCCCAGGCATGACAGAGCAGGATGACGTGAGATTTCATCAAGCTACTCAAAACAGCGTACAATTTAAAACCTATTAATTGTTTATTTAAATAATTTTCCATTTAATGTTTCTGGACAAGGTTGACCATGGGTAAGTGGAACTAAAGAAAGCAAAATCACAAAAAAGAGGGGACTACTATACTAATACAACTGAATAAATCCATACTCATAACAGCAGTTCCACTCCTAGGTAGATACCAATGGAAATGCATACATATGTTCAAGAGAAAACATGTGCAAAAATGTCCATAGAAGACTAAAGTAGCCAAGACTGAAAATTACATGAACAGTAGAATAAATAAATAAATGGAGAAAAATTCACCAATACGACACAGTCATAAAAATGAATGACATTATTTATGCATCTCACAAATATAATGTTGACACAAAATACATTACAGTTTCATTAATAAAAGAGCAAAACCAGATAGAACTAACATTTGCCATTAGATATCAAGGTGGTAGTTACTCTGGGAATGAGAGGACTGTCCAGGAGGGGGTACAAGGAGTGCTTCTGTACTGCTGATCATGTTGTGCTTCTTGATCTTGGTGTTGACACCTACTTGCTTAAACCAAAACCTAGGAAACATTCTTGATTTCTGTCTTTCCTTCACAGCTCACATCCAATCTTTCAAGTCCTCTTGGATTTATCTGCAAATCATATCCTAATTATGACCACTTCTCACCATTTCTAATGTTAAAATATTACTCCAAAACACCATTATCTCTTACCTGGACTTTGCTGCAGCCCTCTAATTAGTTTTCCTGCCTTTATACCTGCCGTCCTTGAGCCCACAGTCCATCTTTCTAAAGCGTAAATCAGATCTTATCACTCTACTGCTTAACACCTCCTAATGAGTGTATTTTAGGGTTCTAAAATAACTGTAGTTTATGAGTGAAACTTCTCCTTTTCAGAAGAATTCCAGCCAAAAATGGGAAAGAAATGATAGATTATAAAATAACTATTGTGTAACATGTAATGAGATCATTGATTTAGGTAATTATCTTTGATGGATGGAAGTGTAGGGGCCAAGACTTGGCCCTCTGAAGGTTCACTAGAAAATCAACTCATGAAAGGCAGGTTAGTAGGAGAAAAGGCATACAAAGGAGTCTTCAGAATGAAGACCCAGAGATACAGAGGAAATTGTCCATTTTAATGCTTAGGTCAACAAAGTATGGACACCCATGTAGAAATATGGTTGGACAAAAAGGATATGATCAAATGCTTATAGACTGAGTGGGGAAACTCAGCAAGGCCTCTCTGTCTAGGTTCTTCTTGACCTCTCTGAGCAAGCATTCCTTCCTTCTGGGTGTGAAGCAGAACCCTCTCTGGAATAGGGGTCTTATGACCTACAGCCAAAGAAGATAGGTAGGATCATTTCTTTATGACCAGTTTTTACACAGAAAGTTGGAGGGAAAATTAAAGCAGTATTTTTAAGTTTTATGGCTGGGTGGAGAAAAGAGCTTCTGGTTTCTCTGACCCACCTTCGAGAAAAAGGATTCTAGTTTCTATGGCTAGCCTCAGGGGAGGATGGGACTGAGAGACACGAGAGCAAGAGAAGGTCAAAGAAAAACTTTTGCTTCTGAGGCTGCTTCTGAGGCCTTCATTTTGTGGGATTATTTTCTGAGCCACAACAGAAGCATTGAATGAAGGACTTACGGGGAACTTTACAATGGAGGGATCAGGCTGCTACCACATGAACCCACTGATCAATCACTAAAAATGACACCCAGAAACTAAGTGTTCCCTCAAGGTGGATTACACAGTACAGTCTATAAAGTAATTTTGTCTAAAAGTGGAACCTGAAACCAATTAAGAAGTAGTTTTCATTTAAAGAAATGTGGGAGTTAGTGGGACAAGTTAACAGCATCACAATTCATTGACTCCGTTATATTGGAGCATTCACCAAGAAAAGAGACTCGTATTCTTTTATAAGTCAGTAACAGGAACAAAAGGAGGGGGTTATTGCTTTAGGGTGGAAAATGAATAAAAACAAATGTAAAGAGTGGAACTTGTTTGGATCCTGCTTTAAATAAAGCAACAGTGAAAAGTGATTTGTGACCTAACTGAATAAATGTAATTATTGTTTAGTTATTAGATGACGATAAAGACATTGTTTTCTAAGTTAGGTGTGACAATGGCATTGTGGTTATGTCAGAAAATATTCATACTTTTCAGAGATGGATGCTAAATTATGTATATAGAAGTGAAATACCATGAAGTCTGGGATTTAATTTAAATGCTTAAGTAAAGCAAAGAAGACAGATGAAGTAAATATGACAAAATATTGATAATTATTAAATTTGGTTAATAGCTCTATGAGGATTATTATGTCATTCTCTCTTTTATAAGTATGTTTGGAATTTTTGATTAAAAACAAATCTCCAATGACTCCTCATATCCACTTATAATAAATTACAAATTCCTCATATACATCTTACAAGATTTACATAATTTGTCTATTTCTCTGACTCATCCCTCTCTACTCTTCCCCCAGTTCACTACCTTTCAGCCACTCTGCTGACCTTTTTATTCTTGAACACAACCAGCTCTTTCCTGTCTCAGAGTATTTGAATTTATTGTTTCTTCTTCTTAGAGTACTCTTCCCTCTCTGGTTACCTCCTCCTTATCATTGGCAGTTCAGCTTATACATCACCTCCTTGGAGGCTGTGCACAGTGCTTCATGCCTGATATCTCAGCATTTTTGGAGTCTGAGAAGGGAGAATTGCTTGAGCCTGGTGTATAGAGGCCAACCCAGGTAACATAGTGAGACCTCGTCTCTCCAAAAAATGAACAAAATTAGCCAGGCATGGTGGCACACACCTTTAGTCCCTACTACTGGGGAGGCTGAGGTGAGAGGATTGTTTCAGCCTGGGAGGTCAAGGCTGCAGTGAGCCAAAATGCACCACTGTACTCCAGCCTGGGCGACAGAGCAAGGCCCTGTTTCAAAAATCTCCTTGGAGAGTTTGTTCCTAACAATCCTAGCTAAATAAGTCTCCATATTCATATTCTACTACAATAGCCAATCGGGAAGATCAGATGATTGTTCAGCAAATACTCACTACCCACCTTTTGGAAGGTTTCCAATCCTATTCTATGTATTGCGAGGTAAGATAAAGAAACTTTGTCAGCGAAAGGGAAAGGTCAGATTTCTTGGCTTGTGGTAGCTTGCATTATGGACTTTAGCTGCCCTCTAAGAATGCTCCTAAATCCTTACTGTGGAGAAATGCACAGTCTCATTCAGCCAACAGTATTCTTGACACTGTGAGAAAATGGCTAGAGGAGAAAAAGTAATGTAGATATGGTATGGGTAGGTCTTTCCATGAGATAGTTATCTTATGATTTATTTGTATTTTCTACCGTAATGTAAATTTTTGTAGTCACAGAACAAATAGTAATGTGCCTCTTATTTTAAAATCCAGAAAGCTTTCATATACCTTTGACATAATTTTTTTCCTCTCTGATGTAAAGATATTATGTTGGGAAATAATAGGCCCCAAAGTGTCCTGTGCTTCTATTTCAGACCCTTAGGAAAGTTGTATTTAGGAATCAGGTAATTATTCCACATGTAAATGAATGATGGAAAATTTTCTGCATTTCCCATGAATTTCTTCCCATTCTGTCTTGTAAAAGTATCCCCCTAGGACAGAAAGAGAAGGATGTAGATAATGAAGCATTATTGATAGGCTTGAGTGCTTACTAACTCTCAGAAATGAGTGGAAAGGGCAAACAAAATTAATTTCTTGCATGTGCTAAAATCGCAATATCAGCTGATGTAACATACATTTACAGTTATGATTATTTTAAAATGTAATTCTTAAAGATCATGGTTTACTTTGAAAGTTACATTGCTGTAACATAGGATTGTGTACCATGGGCTAATTCAATTAATCACTAGTAATTGTTAGCCAAGCTATTTTAAGAACCTAAACGTCCACCAACAGGTAAATGGGTGAAGAAAATGTGTTATACAATACAATTGAACACTATTCAGCCTTTGAAAAGAAGGAAATTTGGCCATATATGTGACAACATGGATAAACCTTGCAGATATTAAGCTATGTGAAATAGGCCAGCCACAGAAAGATAAATTCTGCATGAGTTCACTGATATCAGATATCTAAAATAGTCAAATTCATATAATCAAAGAGTAGAATTGTGGTTACCAGAGGCTGAACAGAGGGGAAAATGAGGAATTACTAATCAATGAATGTAAAGTTTGAGTCAAGCTAGATGAATCTAGAGTGCTCTAGAGTGCTGTTGTATAACACTGTACTTGTAGTCAACAGTAATGTATTGAAAATGTAATGTAAAGAAATGTGGCACATATATACACCATGGAATACTATGCAGCCATAAAAAAGGATGAGTTCATGTCCTTTGCAGGGACATGGATGAAGCTGGAAACCATCATTCTCAGCAAACTAACAGAAGAACAGAAAACCAAACGCTGCATGTTCTCACTCATAAGTGGGAATTGAACAATGAGAACACATGGACACAGGGAGGGGAACATCACACACTGGGGCCTGTTGGGGAGTGGGGAGCTAGGGGAGGGGTAGCATTAGGAGAAATACCTAATGTAGATCATGGGTTGATGGGTGCAGTAAACCACTATTGCACATGTATACCTATGTAACAAACCTGCACGTTCTGCACATGTACCCCAGAACTTAAAGTATAATAAAAATAATAAAAATTTAAAAAGTAAAAAAGAAAAAGAAAACAAAATGCCATCTAAGAGAAATCCTCAATTCTTTTTATTTAATCTGATAGCTGTTCTGCTTATTTATGTGTTTTTTCTTACCATTTTTCTTCATTCCTCCCACCCATCCCCATACTTTCCCATTTGAATCATGCTGACTCCAAAATCCAGTGCATGTTCCAATCTAATGTCTCTTTATTTGTTTATAAATATTTATTGAATACCTGTTATGAATAAAGCATTGTGCTGGATACTGGATCTTAAGATAAAGCAAGAGTTTTAGTCTTCCATTCCTGGATGTTTTTCAATCTAGCTTTATGGTTAGCACTTTAATGCTTTTCTGGGCCAATAACCCACTGTGTTCTTTCAGTTACTAAAAGTTTCTTTTATGGGATTTTTTTTTCCTTGCTATTTGTACGGTATATCCCAACAATTAATCATTGACCCCATGGGTAAAGAATGGAAAATGTTTGAATGTTAGTAGGATGTAAATGCAGGTCTGAGTTGGGGGCTAGAAAGAGAAGAAGCACAGCATATGTTAGAATAATCTACAGAAGCTGGTGAGCATGTAGTTGTCTCCTGTGAACTCTACCACTGAGCTTGGATGTAGACCTATCCCAGAAACTGTTCCATAGTGTTTTGGCAGTGGTAAAGAAAAATCAGCCTTAAGCTGGCATCAAGGTTTTTGGAGTTTTGAAAAGCTTATAGTCACTGATAATGCTTGAGAGAAGAATGACAGTGCTTTTTAGGTTGCCAAAATTTTACTCTTCTCAATTTAACCTTCCTTATTAAAAACAAAACAAAAAATCCTGTAGATTAATTTTGTCAAGAGACAGGAATTTTATTTCTGACTCTGTCAATAACTAGTTGTCTCTTCTTTATCTATTTCTTCTGTAAAATGAGGAAAGATTTCTAATATTTCTTGCAATGATGATATTCTCCATTTCTATGGGCATATAGTGAGCCCTAGAAAGATACTAGCTTTTGTATAGATTTACATGACATGTACAATTAGAGCTAAAGAACACTGAAAATGGAAACCCATGACTCAAGACGTGGGACATCATAAAATGTCATAAATTTATTATTGTCCTTTGTAGTCACTTTAATAAATGTTTTATGTCTCTAACACATGCATATCTGTTTGTTTAAACAACTGGTCACTAATCTAGCAATAATGTCCTGAGGTAATTAGGGAGCACCCCTCCCCGTGCAAAATCATAAGATATAAGAATTGAGAGGGTTAATTATTGCCATGTGCCTCATGTGAAGAGACCACCAAACAGGCTTTGGGTGAGCAATAAAGCTTTTTAATCACCCGGGTGCAGGCAGGCTGAGTCTGAAAAAGGAGTCAGCAAAGGGAGATGCGGTGGGGCAGTTTTATAGGATTTGGGTAGGTAGTGGAAAATTACAGTTAAAGGGGGTAATTCTCTTGCGGGCAGGGGCAGGGGTCACAAGGTGCTTGGTGTTGTGGTTCTAGGACTCATTGTCTAGGAGAAGGAATGTCACAAGGTTAATCAGTTAGGGTGGAGCAGGAACAAACAGCAATGGTGGAATGCCATCGCTTAAGGCAGGAACTGGCTATTTTCACTTCTTTTGTGATTCTTCAGTTGCTTCAGGCCATCTGGATATACACGTGCAGGTCACAGGGGATATGATGGCTTAGCTTGGGCTCAGAGGCCTGACAATTATTTATAAAGTAATTGAAGAGTGGAATACACTGATCATTCTTTTTCAAATTGTATCTTATTTTCCTCTTGAAAAAATAGTGAGTAAGAGCTTTTATTATACATAGAAGAGAATGCATATTGAATTTTCAAAACACTCCAAAGGCTTTCATTATATGGGTTATATAACCTCAGAAATGACAGAGAAGGCTTGGTGACAAAGAAATGGAGAATGTGAATGCTCTAATTACTAAAAATATTTAGCCATAATGAAGCAGAGCTGATATAAAGTCTCAATGACCAAGCAAAGTGGTAGCTAGAATTGTCTCTTTCAACAAAGCATAAGTGAACCTTTTGTGCCAGTAGCTGAAACCTTGTCCTACTCCTTTTTCCCCATAAAAGCATTTGAGGGCTGGAAACATATTAGTGTTCTCTATGAGTGAAAGCCCTGCACTGACGTTCAGTTTACAGCAGAAAAAAATACACCTTTCAATGTAATTTTTGTGCTATCAAAAAGGCTTATAGCACAGAGCAGTTAAGCTCTTCCTACCTATCCTTTAAGGCTCAATTTAAATCCTGTCTGTATGGTGAAACCTTTTCTGATGAATTCTCCTTTCTTTCCTCTCTTTTTAAAAAAAATATTTATTGTATATATTGTAAAATAGGATCTTATTGTTTACTTTTGACATCATAGACTTTACTATATACTTACACATTTTTTATATACTTTATGAGTGTGTAAGTCTTCTCAGCTAGTTTTCAAGTGCTTCAATAACAGGATTTTCTTTGTCTACTTCCTATGATTTCCTACAACATCTAGCATGCTTCTGTGCACATAGAAGGTGCTTGATTAAATGATTGATTAATCAATGTGGCTCGATGAAAAATGATACAAAATGACATGGACTATGTGCAAATTTGAGAAAACAAATGTGACACTTGGATGCCTTGAAGGATGTGTTATTAGAATGTCTGATTAATGGAGAAACTTTAATTCATCATCTTCTCATCATTGACAAGCAGGCATACAACGTCAACATAAATGCTGCAGAAAATTTTATTTCAGGAATATAGCAGTGTCAGTTATATTATAAAATAAAAAATGGGATCAAACTTGATCAAACTGCATTTATTTTAATTGTTCAAACAGGTTCTATTCATTTTTATTTCTATAAAATGTCAAACATCTGGATATTCTTAGGTTCAATACTAGTTCATTAGTTCAGTTCATTTGGGCCACTTTAATTGTTGCTGTACAAATGTAACAGAGCTATCTCCTTATGGTTATTATCTCACAGAGTCTGGTAGGGTCTGGGATGGTTAATTTTATGTGTCGATCCTGACTAATACAGGGTCTCAGGTGTAGTTGGCCTTGTAAAGAACCACTCCTGCTTCACCCCAATCTTGCTTTGGGCTGGCTTAGCACAATGTCACATCAGAAGTAGGTAACTCTACTAGAGCTTAATGGGATTTAAATTCCATATGCCAGCTCTCATATGCTGGCTCTTCCTTGCTTTCCTGAGCCTGACTCAGGACTACTGCCTTTTTAGTTGTATAGATTTTTAACTGCATTGAAGCACCAGGATGAGTGGAGGAAATGGAGTCTGGCATGGGGATTTATTGCCTGGAGAAACAGGATTCTTAATAATTTGCACAAAGGCACTAGCAGTGGCACTGACCTGACTATTGTAGGGGCCAAGGAAAAACCTCCCCCTAGTTCTATGAAAATTCACTGAAAAATCAACTCACAAAAGGCAGACTAATAGGAGAGAGGGCATACAAATTTATTAACGTACACCAGAGAACCGTGGAGTGATTATCTCAAACCCCAGGTGGGGTACAGAAACTTATATGCCATCTTGAGGTTAGAGATAGAATGGGGGCTTAGAACATGGCCAAAACCAGGTTATGTTGGGAAATCAAGTTGTAATGGTAAGACAGGTTATGGGAGGGGAAGAAGAGGCCTGGCTAGCAAAGGTGGTCTTGTTATGTAGATGAAACCTCACAGGTAGCAGCCCTCAGAGAGAGTAGATGGCAAATGTTTCTTTCAGACTTTTAAAGTGACAGACTCTCAGTTAATCTTTCCTAGATCTGGACAAAAGAGAGCCTCAGAGAAAGCCTGGCTGTATCTATGCAGATTCTCTACATATGCAAATCTCCCTGACAAAGGATAGCTGTGCAGGGCTACTTAGGTTTGCAGGACCTGGAACAACCAAATCAAAATATACCAAAGAAGTATATTTTGGGGTGAAGTATTTTGATTTTCTTAACTATGACTCAGTTTTCATCTGTGGTTTAATTTTAGCCTTAATCACTATGTATTGCTTAAAATGTCCTATCCCCTTTCCTACTGGCATCTCTTAACTCTCTATACTTGGTTCACTTACTGTGCCCATTTAGATAATTCCCCTGAGTCCACCCTTTTTGCACACTATGATAACTGCCAGCACAGCAGGCTTATTTCCTCCCAAGTGAAGGAATTATTCTGATTGTTGGACTCTTGACTATTTGTTACTGTCATCTCATTTTGGGGAAGTGTCAGACACTTCGCATGCTAGAGGTCGATTTCAGTTGTAGATAAGGTTATGCCACTCTTCAAAAACACCTTATGATTTGGTTTCTTGCCACCAGTGATGTTAGTGTGCTGCAGTGAGTAATTTTCCTGAAACTAAAGATAATGGTTCTGTATATGAAGTCTTAAGCACAGACTTTTCATAGTCACAATATGTAAAAGGTAGATTTTTTGACCCCAAATAGTAACTCTCTGCAAACATTAAACAGATATTCAAAACCATAATACTTTAAAGTGAGCTGTTCTCAAAGGCAGTTAAATCCCAAGATAAAGGTAAATATCAGGGGAAAAAATAGCTTTTACAACTATTACTATCACAGATTATTCATCTGTACCAATTTAAACACAAAAAGAATGCATATTCCTTGAAACAAAATTCAAACAATACGTAAGTGTACAGAATAAAAGTTGAAACCCTTCTTATCTCACCCACCAAACTTGTTCTATTTTATTGGGATAACTACTGTAAAAAGGTTGGTGTGTTTTCTTCCAGACTTTTTCTGTGCACATTCAAATATATATATATACATATATATATAGAGAGATATAATATACATTTTGTAAATGGATATTTTCTTTTTCTTTCTTCTTTCTTCCTTTCTTTCTTTCATTCTTTCTCTCTTTCTCTTTTCCTTTCTTTTCTCTCTCTCTTTCTTTCTTTCTCCTTCCTTCCTTCCTTTCTTCCTTCCTTCCTTCTTTCCTTCCTTCCTTCCTTCTCTCCTTCCTTCCTTCTCCTCTCCCCTCCCCTCCCCTCCCCTCCCCTCTCCTCCCCTCTCCTCCCCTCTCCTCTCCTCTCCTCTCCTCTCCTCTCCTCTCCTCTCCTCTCCTTCCCTTTCCTTTTTTTTTGTTTTTAATCAGAGATAGGATCACATTATACTGCCAAGACTGGACTCAAACTTCTGGACTCAAGAGATCCTCCTGCCTCAGCCTCCTGAATAGCTGGAACTACAGGTGTGTGCCACCATACCCAGCTTGGATATTTGGATATTTTCTTTATTACAAAATATGGTATATGTTATCCATATTTTGGGGGGCAAAGTAAAATTTCCCTTCTGTCCCCCAAAGGTTGCTGGAAATGATCTGACAAAAGGTAGATTAATAGGAGAAAAAGGCATACAAAATATATTTAATGTGCATAGGGGGAAATTGTGGGAAATGTGATTACCCAATAACACAATGAGGTGTAGATGCTTATGTACATTTCTTCATAAGGAAAGGGAGATTGGGGGTGCCAGAGTCAATGATTCTCAGGGGAAATGAATGAGACCAAAGAACAATAGGATGGGACAAAGTTGCTCTGAGCTCTCGGGGAGGTGGTAGAAGGTAAGCAGTGGAACTTCCCTGTGAACAAAGGTTGTCTTATTTTGCAGATAAAGTTCCCCAAGTATTACCTTTGTTCACAGTGAAGTTCCACCCCTTGCCTTCCCACCACTTCCACTAGAGCTTCCTCAGAAGAATAGATGAAAAGTCTGTCTGGACTTGCTGATGACTCCCAGTCTCTTCTCTTCTCCAGAGGTTAATCTTTTCTGATTATTTGATGAAATTCCTAGGAAGGGGGTCTTAAGACACTTGCATTCTTTTAAAGAAGTTTTTTTAGTCAAATAAGGAAATTCCAGAGAGAATCCCTCCAGTGTCAAAGCACCATATTTTGTGGTATCATCTTCTAAGTAAGCCTCGACATGTTATTCTGTCAATGGCTCTTTTTTACATAACACACTACCAAGAACATATTAGTATGTATTATCACATATTAGTACTTCTATATTTTAGATGTAAAGAACTTTATAAAATGGCATCATGGTATTCCATAGTCCAAATATTTCCTAATTTATTTAACAAATTTAGTTTAGACATTAGAGTATTTCTTATATTTCACTGTTGCAAATAGTGTCCTTGACATTCTCATTGAAATACCTTGTATTAGTTTTCTACTGCTGCATAGTAAATCATAACAAACTTAGCAGCTTAAAACAAGAAGGATTTATTATCTCACAATTTTCATGTAGCCTTGACTAGGGGAGGATCTGCTTCCGTGCTTCTTCAGGATAATGATGGAATCATTATTTTGCAGTTCTATGACTGAGTTCCTTGCTTTCTTACTGGTTGTTGGCCAGGCACCATGCTCAGCTCCTAGAGGCCACTCTTAGGTTCCTGCTGCATAGTGCCTTCCATAGGTCCTCTCACACTCTGAAGCTCTTTGATTTCAGGAAAGGCTCAGTCTCTTTACAGGGTTCACCTAATAATGTCAGATCTATCTGTAGAATCTTCCTTTAGGTTAACTCTAAAGTCAGCTGATTAATAATATAAATATAGTAAAGGGAGTGATTCCCATTATATGCACAGGTCTTGCTCACATTCAAGGGAGAGAATTATGGAAGACATGTACACCAACAGGTGGGAACATTGGAGGTTATCTTATAATTCTACTTATTACATATCCTTAGATCCTGTGTGAGTTTATCTGCAAGATAGATTCACCGAAGTAGAGTTGCTAGGCCAAAAGGTATGGGTACTATAAATTTGGATCTATATCTAATTTCCAAAATATTTTATGTCTTTATACTCTCACCAAAGCCTAACAGATTCTTCTAACCCTAATCTTACATATTAGAAGGTAAGCTCTACAAAACAGGTATTTTTGTTTATTTTGTTCATAGAAGACATATCTCAAATGTCTAGAACAGTTCTTGGCATATGATAGGTACTGAATATTAATGGAATGAATGAATAAACATGCAGAATATATCTTGTTTAGAACCATAATCTTGGTAATTTACTTTGAAACTTAATGTGGCATCAAGGATTGCCAGTGACTTGTCCCTCAGCTGCCACCTTATAAACATTTATAATTTATCATTATCTAGTTTTAAGAATCCTGGTTAAGCACTTTTTATAACAATGTTTTGATACTTTATAGCAATTTCATTTTCCTATACAGTATCTGTCTCTGTTTTCCTGCTGTAAAAGCTGCTCCTCCATTTACCCTTTAGAGAAAGACTCCAAATATCTCTTTATTTCAGGAAGTATTAAAGTACTATTTGTTCTCGGGCTATGTTTATTTATTTTTTTGAGACAGGGTCTCACTCTGTCACCTAGGCTGGAGTGCAGTGGCACTATCATAGCTCACTATAATCTCAAACTTCTGGGTTCCTTGCCTGCCAAGTTCGGTGACCAATTAATACCTGCTTCTGTCATTGGAACAGGCGTGTAGGTGCTTCTGTATTCTCTCTGTATATTTTCTTAACCAAAATTTTGAATAATTTCATCTGCAGCCACAGATGTGTGGTTTTACTTTGGTGTTTTTATTTTAGTGTACAGTTTTATGAATTTTAACACATGTATGTATTTGTACAAGCACTACCACAATCAGTACAGAATTGTTCCATCATCTCAAAAACTCTCCTGTACTATCTCTTTATAGTCACATCTTCACTCCATCCATATCCTCTGGCACCCACTGATCTGTTTTCCTTCACTATAGCTTTATCTTTTCAAGAATGCCAAATGCATGGAATCACACAGTATGTAACCTTTTGACACTGTCTTGTCTTACTCAGCATAATGCCCTTGAGATTCATGCAAGTTGCTGTGTGTTTCATTCCTTTTTATTGCTGAATAATATTCCATGGTATGAATCTACTACAGTTTGGTTAAGTATTCATCCATTCAAAGACATCTGGGCTGTGTCTAGTTTTGGATTATTATGGAAAATTCTGCTATGAACATTTATGTACAAAGCTTTCCGTGGACATATTTTTTTTTTTTTTTTTTTTTGAGACGGAGTCTTGCTCTTTCGCCCAGGCTGGAGTGCAGTGGCACGGTCTCGGCTCACTGCAAGCTCTGCCTCCCGGGTTCACGCCATTCTCCTGCCTCAGCCTCCAGAGTAGCTGGGACTACAAGCACCCGCCCCTGCGCCCGGCTAATTTTTTGTAGTTTTAGTAGAGACGGGGTTTCACCTGTTTGCCAGGATGGTCTCGATCTCCTGACCTCATGATCCACCCGCCTCAGACTCCCAAAGTGCTGGGATTACAGCCGTGAGCCACCGTGCATGCCCCGTGGACATATGTTTTTATTTCTCTTGGCTATGTATCAAAGAGTGAAATTGCTTACTCATATGGTAACTCTATGTTTAACCTATTGAAGAACTTGCCAGACTGTTTTCCAAAGCAGCTGCATGATTTTATCTTCTCAACAGCAGTGTATATGAGGGATCCAATTTTTCCACATTCTTGTCAACACTTATTATTGTCTCTGTATTTTTTCTTTTTTCGAATTATAGCCATCCTAGTGGGTATGAAGTAGTATCTCATTATGGTCTTGATTTGCATTTCTATTTCCCTAATTGGTTGGTGGTGGTGAGTATCCTTTCATGTGCTTATTGGCCATTTGTATATCTTCTTTGGAGAAATAGCTATTAAATCATTTGTCCATTTTTAATTTGGGCTGTTTTATTGTTGAGTTATAATTGTTCTTTATGGACTCTAGATACTACCCTTACCAGGTATATGATTTGTAAACATTATCATCATTCCTGTTGTCTGAGAGTATAAGTGTTATATTGGGCACTGGGGATAAACAGATTAAAAAAAAAATCATAGTTCCTTCTTTCTAGGAACTGAAAGTACCTGAGCTGTAAAACTAGAGAAACCTTTCATATGGAAAGGGCAAGGGAAAAAGGAGTTAACATGTATAAGCCCGAGGAAGTTGAAGGCTTAATTGTTCACCTAACAGTGAAGGGTCAATAGGGAAAATAAGAAGACTTGGATTAGTAACATTTTAAGTACTTTTTCTACTTTGGTTGATTGAAGAATTGTCTTCCAAAGAGATTAATCTATAGATAAGTGTCTGTTTGGAATGCTGTGAAAATCTTCTGTGTAAGGATCATGCTTGGGCCAATCTATATAATATTTGCTGTAATTTTCTAGATCAGTAATTACTAAAGTAGGTATGGGGATAAGTGCTCCATTGGACACATAATCACCTAGTTCTTAAAAATATGCTTTTCAGATCCCATATTAGATTTACTAAAATGAAAACTTTGAAAATAATACTTAAGAATATGCATTTTTAAGTTCATTTCCTTGGTGATTTAGAGGTATGGCCAGATTTCGTGTTCACTCTACATGATGAACTACATACTATCAAGGTGGAAGGAATAGCTGCTGCCATGCAGACAGACTTGCTCTGCGATGTGCCCTCCCCAATGAAGAAGGACAGGCTGCTTCATTTATTTTCTTCACTAATTAAATATGTTTACATATTTATCAGTTCTATATTCAGAAGCTATATAGGAATCTATCAACTTACTGGTTGAGTGAATAACAAACATGGGAGGGCACACTTTAAGATCTATAATTTAGCTAGACTCATGTGCCCCTCAGGTGTAATTGATGCATATTACCTGTAGAATTGTATTAATGAGATCTTTTAGTGCACTTTCATTAATGGGGACAACACACATGGAGGCAAAGTAGGCCACTGCTTTTGTCATTTGATTTAGGTGTTAGAAGTGGAGAGTCCTGTTGTCTTCTGTAAATATTTCTGCTCTCTCACTGTTTGATCATTGAAATTCAACAGTAGGGCTGAAGGCTTTAATCCTTTTTAATAATATAAATGAAGGTGAGCCCCAATTTTCTGATAGTACAGGTTTCTGGAGACTGTAGTACAGCTGGCCACATCCAGAAGTTGCTTTCATTCCTAGTATTTTTTTATTCCCTAATTTGTAGCAAACAGCTTGGAAGGTATATGCCAGGCTTTTAAAATTTATTTAACTACTAATAAAAATACTGACACATTGGATGATTTTACTTAAAATTTTTCGTTGCAGATTAAAGCTTTATGTAATTATTTTCTCCCTCTCTGTCACTTATATTATTTGTTATGGTAAATCTAAAGCTGCTGTAACAAAGGGACTCCCCAATGTAGTGGCTTCCAGAATAAATAAATTTCTTGTATAGCAACAAATCCAGATACTAGTGGTTCAGATTGATCGCTGGCTACGCTGAAAGTAGTTATTCAGGTATTCTGAGGTCCTTTTCATCTTGTTGTTCTACCATCCTTTAGAGTAGGGATCAGCAAATTGTAGCCTGTGGGTTAAATCTGGCTCTCTGTCTGTTTTTGGTAAATAAAGGTTTATTAGCACGCAGCCTCACTCATTTGTGTATCTGTTGCCTATGGCTGCTTTTGTACTGCAATAGCAGTGTTAAACTGTTGTAATAAAGACCCTATGTGGCCCTTAAAGCCTAAAATATTTACTGTCTGGAACTTTACAGAAAAAGTTTGCCCACCTCTGCCCAAGAGAATTGTCTTGATTAGCATAGTCAAAAATGGGTCCCAGACACCTCACGTTTAAGTTTAAGAGACAGTGGAAGAGCCAGGGTTTGTTTTATACTAGAGATGACACAGAAGTTACACATATCACTTTAATTCACATCCTATTGACCAAAATTAGCCGTAAGCCTCAGATAAATGCAAGGGAAGTTTGAAAATACAGTATCTAGTTATTATTGTTCTTGCTTTCTGGAAAAATAGGATAGCTGGTTATGTTGGACAACCAGTAGACTGTCACATTTGTGTTTTTGTAGATGTTCTTAAGGACAAAATAATATATCTTGAATCACAATATCAATGGAAGTATATGCCATTTGTGAACTTGATCTGTTGAGTGATTTGCAATCAACAAATGATTTGAAAAATAAAAGGGTTGAAAAAAGTTAGTGTACTATATGCACTGTTTTGTTTTGTGTCTTTAGTTACACTGGCTCTTGTGTGGTGTGTGTTGATTTTGAACAGTAGTAGGGAGTGGGGAGGGGAAAAGAGCCAAAGAATAAACAAAGCTCTCAAGAAGTACAGGGTAGGTATACTGTAAATAGCAGGATAAAGGACAGAGAATTGGAAAATGGACCCAGAAATTAAAGAGACCACATCTCGATTATAGCTCTGCCAGTTGATAGCTGTGACAAGGTTTGGGTTTCAGTTTTGTCATCTGTAAAATGGGGATAATAATAGCACCCAGTCTGTATGGTTGTTGTAATGATTAAATTAGATAATGCAAATATAACTGTGCTTCACAGGGGGGCTGTCAAGAAGTTAACATTCTTTAAAAGTGTGAGTTAATATTATTAGCAGCTTTGACTTATAAGAGCAGTGGAAAACAAAGCTATAAAAAAGGGAAACTTGCTAATTATTAATCACCTACTTGGCATCAAGAATTGTGATAGGGAGTGTATGTGTGTTATCTCGTTGGAGTAGTACAGATGTGTACCACTTTAAAATTATTATTAGTCACTTATGCCTCTGTGTTAAGTATCAGAAAATATCTTAATGGGGCAGGTGTGGAAACTAGAGATCATAAAATAAAAGAGCAAGCATGGGGGAAGGGAAGGATAGAGATCACATTGGGGAAGGGTCAATTACATTATCTTGCCAAAGGCCAAAACTGATCTATTACTTTAAAAATATGAATGAACTCAGAAGCAAATTTGAAATCTATAATGCCAAATATTGAAGAAAGAGTTTACATCGAAATAAAAGTCAAATTTGAAAAATAGGTGCATTTTTTTTAAATTACATGACACCTTGGAAATAGGTGTGTTTTTAAATTTTGTCTTTTAAGAGAAGTATTGATTTTCTAGTTTGATTTTGGCTATTTATTTTCATGAACGTTTTCTGAATAAGGAATTTAATTTTTATATTATGATTAAAATTCTCTTTTGCAATTATTTTAATGTATTGTAGTTCATCAAATTTTTGGCATTAAGAATATTGACATTTCACATTCTACTTTCATCATTTTTAAAAAGGATTATGCTAATCAAACATCATCATTGATTTTTACTTTTGAAGTCTTAACCATATATTACTATCGGGTCGCATGCTCAGAAGAAGAAGCCTGCCTTCAGAGATTTATTTTTAGAATGTAATAAAGAATAATTAGAAGAAATAATTTTTCCATAGAGCCAAATATTACTCAGTGGAAGACGTAGAGGTATATTTAAAATACCTTTGCCAAAGTTTAATTTCTTGAAAGAAACATAATACTCTATGCAAAATTTTCCTGAAAGTTAAATATGATTTATTAAATAAGCTGGTGTCATGTATCATTAACAAAATTGATGACTCCTCAAATTTGTGTTAATGTTAACCCAAGTGTTCATTGTAGGTAGTGAGGGATAATTAGTTATGCCTGGGAAGTCTCATATGTTTGCATTAAAAATTTTGAAGAGGAGGAACATTCAATAAATATTGTTGATAGCCTCAAAAATGACCCCCAATGATGATCTATGTTTCCTGCTATTTACACCCTTGTATAGTCTCCCTGCAAATTGTATGAGGCTTAGAATTTGTGACCAATAGCATATGGTAGAAGTGATGTTATGTCATTTCAGAGATTAAGTTATACAAGACTGAGCCTTCTGTCTTTGGTGTTCTCTGTCTCTCTCTCTCTCTCTCTCTCTCTCTCTCTCTCTCTCTCTCTCTCTCTCAGAAGATATGCTGTTGGGGAAACCATGCCATGTGCAGCTCTATGGAAAAGCCTACATGGCAAGGAACTGAAACCTCCTGGCAACAGTCACATAAATGTGATTGTAAATGGATGCTTCAGCCCCTTTGGAGAGTGCCTCCCTGGTGGATAGCTTGACTACCACTTTATGGGAGACCCTGAATCAGAAACTCCTAGCTAAGCTGATCCCAGATTCCTGATTCTCAGAAAGTATGTGATATAATAATTGTTTGTAGTTTTAAGATATTAAGCTTTAGAGTAATTTGTTACACAGCAGTAAATGACTAATACAAATATGATGGCTTTAGGCATTTCAAAGAATTTCTCTATAACAGGAAGAAAACAATATTTCATATTTTGCTGGTACGCCAGACAAACCTTATACATTAGTGATTATTAAAATAATAATAATTTCATCTGTCATTCATTGAATCCTCACTATCTGTCAAATAGTATACCGAGCATTTGTTGACCAAAAAAAGCAAGCTCTGTAAAATTTTTAAAGAGGTTTATTCGAAGCCAATATGAGTGTCCATGGCCTGGGAAGTAGTCTCAGGAGGTCCTGAGAAAGTGTGCCTGAGGTGGTCCGGTTTGTTTTTATACATTTTTGGGAGACAGAAGTTACGGGCAAAGACATAAATCAGTACATGTAGGATATGCATTGGTTCAGCCCAGAAAGGCAGGGCATCTTGAAGTGGGGGGCTTACAGGTCATAGGTGGATTCAAAGATTTTCTGGTTGGCAATTAGTTGAAAGAGTTAAATTAAGACTTGACATTAGTAGGAAAAAATACTTGATTTAAAATAAGGGGTGCCGTAGAAGCCAAGGTTCTTGTTACGTAATCGTTACCAGCAGCAAATCCATATGGGGCTGCAGCAACCTTAATTCTTGTTTCTTCAGAAGAGAGAATTCAACAGAGGGGACATAAGACGAGTGAGAGACCGAGGCAAATTTTAGAGCAGGAGTGAAAGTTTATTAAGAAAGTTTCAGAGCAGAAACAAAAGGAAGTAAAGTACACTTGGAAGAGGGTCAAGTGGGCAACTTGAGAGTGGAGCTCACAGTTACATCTTTGACTTGGGGTTTTATATGTTGGCATGCTTTCAGGGTCTGCGTTACTTCTTCCCTGATTTTTCGCTTGGGGTGTGCTGCCCACACGCACAGTGGCCTGCCAGCACTCGGGAGGGGCTGCACTATGCAGTGTGCTTGCTGGAGTTGTACACATGCTCACTTGAGGTGTTCTTCCCTTACTTGTTGAATGCTCTTAGAAGGTCATAAACCAGTTAAACTCTGCCATTTTTCCTCTTAGTAAGCATGCTTGAACCCACTCGCCTAACTCCTGAGATCTTACTGGAAAGCTGCTGATTACCAGTTTCAAGTGTTTCTATCTATTGGGAGACGGCCTTTCCCTGGCACTGGCTATGACCAATGATTATTTTAGAGAGACAGTTTAATAACTACCTGACAGTCACCTGATGGTTGTCTGAGACTCCTGGTGGTAGTGGTGGGGTTGGGTGGGGGGGCTTCTCCTGCCCTGCTCATGTCTGACTAGCTACCTATTATAACACAATAAAGGCTCCAGGTAGCAGGCTTCAGAGAGAATAGGTGGTAAATGCCTTTTTTTGGACCTTAAAAGGTATCATACTCTTAATCTCTCTGAGATTCAGGAAAGGCCTAGTTACATTACTGGAGATTTTATACAGATGCAAAATTTCCCCCACAAAAGATAGCTTTGCAAGACTATTTCAAAATATGTCAAAGAAATATATTTTGGTGTAAAATATTTTGATTTCCTTCAAGGTCTACTATATGTCATATGATGCTATACCAGAGTCAGGTTGCAATTTGGTATCTTATTGCCAAAGATTGTTCTGTCAGTCTTATGATTTCTATTTTAATGTTAATGCTGGTCGGTTGTGCCTAAACTCCAAAAGGGAGGGGGTATAATTAGGTGGGTACAGCATCCCTTCCCATCATGGCTAGGAATTCAGTTTTTCAAGTTTTCCTTGGTCCAGAGGGGGTTTGTTCAGTCTGTTGAAGAGCTTAGGATTTTATTTTGGTTTACACATTTAACATATATTATCTCCTTTAATTATTTCAAAAATCTTATAACACATTATTATCTTCATTTTATAGATAAGGAAACCAAGGAAGGCTAAGAAAGTTTAAGCAGCTTGCTTATAATCATATACCTGAGAGGTACAGCTGGAACTAAAAATCCTAGTCTCTTTGACTCCAAATTTGGCTTCTAATAAATATGTCAAAAAAGGCCACTATGTCAGATGGCTACAGTGTTGTTGGGAAAGATCCTACTACACCCCGAATCCTCACCTAACCATTTATCTCGCTGTTTTCCAAAGTTGTTTTTACCAAGACTCCCAGAAAGATATGTATTAGCCCGTTTTCACACTGCTATAAAGAACTACCTGAGACTGGGTAATTTACAAAGAAAAGAGGTTTAATTGACTCACAGTTCTGCAGGCTGTACAGAAAGCATGGCTGAGAGGCCTCAGGAAACTTATAATCATGGCGGAAGGTGAAGGGGAAGCAAGCACTGTCTTCACATGGTGGCAGGAGATAAAGTTGGGGGAAGTGCTATACACTTTTAAACAACCAGATATTATGAGAACTCCGTCATGGGAACAGCAAGGGGGACGTCCACCCCCATAATTCTGTCACCTCCCACTAGGCCCCTTCTCCAACACATGAGGATTACAATTTGACGTGAGATTTGGGTGAGGACACAGAGCCAAACAATATCAAGATAGTTTGCATCATGTCTGGTGTACATGCTCATGCACACACACGCACACACACACAATTGAAATAAACACGACAAAATTTACTCTTATGTACTCTGACATTTTCTATTATAATCAATTTTAATCAGTTTGATTAAAACATTGCTGATCACAATTTCCCAAATATCCAACCCTCATTTTGAAAAGCTCATTCTAGGCTGATGCTTGAAACCTTTTTTCAATGATAAATTCTTAAATTTAAGGGCTGCTTTTTGTTAAAATGCAAATGTAACACTAGGCTACATAAAGGCTAGCCTTGCATTACAAGTCAAATCCATTCATTTGAAAAGTAAACACTGCAGCCTGCTGCCATTTCTTTAGCCCGTACAATTTTCAAAAGATGTTTTTGTAATGTAAATGTCTTTAGGTGGGGCCATTTTCTTTTGTTCATCACAGGCCCCACAAACCCTGTTGTTTCATATCCATCCATTGCTCAGTTTTCTATGATCTGTTAGGTTCCTTAGAGCACTTGACCTTGCATCCTCTGTTATTTACTTTTGAAGCAGCAGTTATCCAGTTGAATAGTACCATTTTTAGGGGATGTTTCAAAAATGGGGAGAGTGCTTTTTTTTTTGCTTGTCACAATGCTGGAGGTGGATGTCGCCCTGGCATTTAATGGGAAGAGGGAGCCAGGGATATTAGATACTCTGCAATATGTTTGGACAAGCCCACATGACAAAGATGTTTTTTCCCCTGTATCCCACATGACTTTCAACTGCTTCCTCCTGACATTCCCATAGGTAAAAACCTAAAATTATCTGGGTCTAGATTATAGATCCGTTTTTCATATAAATGCAAAATGTTTTGTATAGTTTTAATTTTCCAGAAATGCAACTGTCGTGCAGACCAAGGGAAGATTTTACTTTGTTTTGTTTAGAAATTATCTAGGGTTGTTTGCCATTTCTGAAAGTCATGACATTAGTGTGAGTGCCCATTTGTGATATTTGAGTTGTCAGTACAACTCTCCATATTCATCTGCATTTGTGGTTGTCACTTACATGGCAATTTTGTCACATTCATGGTAATTCTATGGTGTATTAGTTAATTTTTTGTTGCTGTTAAAGAATACCTTAGACTGGGTAATTTATAGAGAAAAGAGTTTTACTTAGTTTACAGTTCTGCAGGCTGAGAAGTTCAAGGACATGGCCCTGGCTTCATTCTGCATCAAAACATGATAGAGAAGTTCAAAGGGGAAGTGGACATGTGTGATGAGGAAAATTTGAGAGGCATCCTGGCTTTTTAACAACTTTCTCTCACAGGAACTAACCCATTCCTGTGAAAAATAATCCAGTTTCAAGAGAATGAGAACTCATTATCACAAGAACAGCACCAAGACATTCATGAGGGATCTGCTCCCATAGCCCAAAACCTTCCACTAGGCCCCACTTTCCAACACCTCCACACTGGGAATCAAATTTCAACATAAGCTTTGGTGAAGACAAACTATATACAAACCATAGCATATGGATATATTTTTATAGCCCTTATTTTGAAATGTCAAATATAAATAAAAATAGTAAAATATTCAATTCAATATTGTTTTACTTATTTATCTTAAATCCAATGTCTTTAAGTAGGTACAAGATCTAACTAATTCATTATGTCTTTTGCTATATTGATGCCTGTATTAGTATGTTTTCACACCACTATAAAGAACTACCTGACACTGGGTAATTTATAAAGATAAGAGTTTTAATTGATTCACAGTTCTGCAAGGCTGGGGAGGCCTCAGGAAACTTACAATCATGGTGGAAGGTGAAGGGGAAGCAAGGCACGTCTTACATGGTGGCAAGAGAGAGAGAAAGAAGGGGGAAGTGCCACACTTTTAAACGATCAAATCTCATGAGAACTCACTCACTATCATGAAAACAGCTTGGGGAAAACTGCCCACATGATCCCATCACCTCCCACCAGGCCCCTTCCTCAACACATGGGGATTACAATTTGAGATGAAATTTGGGTGGGGACACAGAGCCAAACCATATTATTCTACCTCTGGCTCCTCCCAAATCTCATGTCTTTCTCATATTTCAAAACACAATCATGCCTTCCCAACAGTCCTCCAAAGTCTTAACTCATTCCAGCATTAGCTCAAAAGTCCAAGTCCAAAGTTTCATCTGACACAAGGCAAGTCCCTTACACCTATGAGTCTGTAAAATCAAAAACAAGTTAGTTACTTCCAAGATAGATACAGTGGGGGGGTATGGGCATTGGGTAAATGCTCCCATTTCAAATGGGAGAAATTGGCCAAAATAAAGGGGCTACAGGCAGTCATTAAATCTTAAAGCTCTGAAATGAATTTCTTTTAATCCATGTCTCACATCCAGGGCACACTGATGCAAGGGGTGGGCTCCCACAGCCTTGGGGAGCACTGTCCCTGTGGCTCTGTAGGGTATAGCCCCCAGTGCTGCTTTTACGGGCTGGCATTGAGCACCTGAGGCTTTTCCAGGAGCACGGTGCAAGCTATCTACCATTCCAGGGTCTGGAGGATGGTGGCCCTCTTCTCACAACTCCACTAGGCAGTGCCCCAGAGGGGACTCTGTGTGGGGGCTCCAACCCCGCATTTCCCCTCTGCATTGCCCAAGTAGAGGTTCTCCATGAGGGTTCCACCCCTGCAACACACACCTGCTTGGATATTCAGGCATTTCCATACATCCTCTGAAATCTAGGTGGAGGTTCCCAAAGCTCAAATCTTGTCTTCTGTGCACCCATAGGCCCAACACCACATTGAAGGCACTAAGGATTGGGGCTTGCATTCTCTGAAGCCATGGCCCAAGCTGTATCTTGGCCCCTTTTAGCCATAACTGAAGCTGGAGCAGCTGGGACACAGGTTGCCCAGTCCCGAGGCTGCACAGAGCAACACTGGGGCCCTGGCTCAAGAAATCATTTTTCCCTCCTAGGCCTCTGGGCTTGTGAATGGAGGGGCTACCACAAAGATCTCTGTTATGCCCTGGAGACATTGTCCCCATTGTCTTGGCTATTAACATTCGGCTCCTTGTTACTTACGCATAGCATATGATCTTATTATGAAGCCCTTTCCTGGCATTTCTCTTTTGTGTTTTAATTAAACCGTTTTATTGATTTTCTGAAATTTCATGCTTAGATGGGCTATATTTCTATAATTTTGATTTTAGGATCATAAAGAGGGCATTACAAAATATTTGACAAAACAAGGAGGCATTGGTCTGATAGAGGCGAGGACCAATGCTATATAACTGTGCAACAGTGGTGCTTGAGCAACTATTTAAATACAGTCATGCATTGCATAGTAACTCTTCAGTAAATGCCGGGCTGCATATATTAATACAATGGTGATTCCATAAGGTTATAATACCATATTTTTACTGTACCTTTTAAATATTTATACCTTTTATAGATATGTTTAGATACACAAATACTTTCCATTGTGTTAATATTGTCTACAGTATTCAGTACAGTAACATGCTGTACAGGTTTGTAGCTTAGGAGCAACAGGCTATACCATATAGACTAGGTATGGTAAGCTATACTATTTAGGTTTGTGTATAACGTTCACACCATGACAAATTGCCTAACAATGCATTTTTCAGATCCTATCTCTTGTTAAATAACATATGACCGTATACAGATTTATAGGCCGAAACTAAGGCCTAATGAATTAGAACCTGTGAGGGCTGAGTTCCAAAGTCTATCTTTTAAATAAACTCCTGGGGTTTAGAAGTTTCTTACATATTTTGGAAATTAACCCCTTTTTAGGTATATGGCTTGCAAATATTTTCTCCCATTTCATAGGTTGCCTTTTTACTCTGTTGATTGCTTCCTTTGCTGTGCAGAAGCATCTTAGTTTGATGCAATCCCACTTGTCTATTTTTGCTCTTCTTGCCTGTGCTTTTGGTGTCATATTTAAAAACGTGTTGTCCAGGCGAATGTCAAGAAAGTTTTCCTCTATGTTTTTCTCTACTAATTTTACAATTAATAAACACAACACACAAATAAAAAACCCAAAGGAACACAAGAAAATATTTGGAGGTGATGGATATGTTTATTACCTGGATTGTGGTGACAGTAACATGTATGTATACATATGTCCAAATTCACCAAATTGTAAACATTAATTATATGAAATTTTTATATACAAGTTTTACTTCACTGAAGATGAAAAAAAGAAGCTCCTGGGATGATTCTGATGCAGTTCTTCTAGAATCAGTTCATGAACTGGAATTTGTATAGCATTCTTCTTTATCTCATCATCTACCTTTACGATCTTATAATCAGTCCTAACTTCATGTCATCTCTTTTTTTCTTTTTCTTTTTTTTTTTTTTTGTGAGATGGAGTCTCGCTCTGTCGCCCAGGCTGGAGTGCAGTGGCGTGATCTCGGCTCACTGCAAGCTCCGCCTCCCATGTTCACGCCATTCTCCAGCCTCAGCCTCCCGAGTAGCTGGGACTACAGGCACCCGCCACCACGCCCGGCTAATTTTTTTTATCTTTATTTTTTTAGTAGAGATGGGGTTTCACTGTGTTAGCCAGGATGGTCTCGATCTCCTGACCTTGTGATCCGCCCGCCTTGGCCTCCCAAAGTGCTGGGATTACAGGCATGAGCCACCATGCCTGGCCCTTCATCTCTTTTTTTCTTAAGAGATTGGGTCTCACTCTGCCACCCAGGCTAGAGTGCAGTGCAATGGCACGATCACAGCACTATCATGGCGTGATAATAGCTCGCTGAAACCCTGAACTCTTGGACTCAAGCAATCCTCCCTCCTCAGCCTCCGGAGTTGCTGAGACTACAGATGTGCACCACCACGCCTGGCTAATTTTAATTTTTTTTTTTTATAGAGACAAGGTCTCACTATGTTGTCCAGGCTGGTCTCAAACTCCTGGCCTCAAGCAGTACTTCTGCCTTGGCTTCTAAAAATTTCTGGGATTACACATATGAGCCACCATGCCTGTCCTTCATTTCTTCTTAGGAAAGAAAATAAATTACTTATTCCATCTTTTATTTTATTTCATTTTATTTTTTATTTTTTTAATATTTATGCTTTTTTATTATTTATTTATTTTTTACTATAAGTTTTAGGGTACATGTGCATAACGTGCAGGTTAGTTACATATGTATACATGTGCCATGTTGGTGTGCTGCACCCAGTAACTCGTCATTTAACATTAGGTATATCTCCAAATGCTATCCCTCCCCCCTTCCCCCACCCCACAACAGGCCCCAATGTGTGATGTTCCCCTTCCTGTGTCCATGTGTTCTCATTGTTCAATTCCCACCTATGAGTGAGAATATGCGGTGTTTGGTTTTTTGTCCTTGTGATAGTTTGCTGAGAATGATGGTTTCCAGCTTCATCCATGTCCCTACAAAGGACATGAACTCATCATTTTTTATGGCTGCATAGTATTCCATGGTGTATATGTGCCACATTTTCTTAATCCAGTCTCTCATTGTTGGACATTTGGGTTGGTTCCAAGTCTTTGCTATTGTGAATAGTGCCACAATAAACATACGTGTGCATGTGTCTTTATAGCAGCATGATTTATAATCCTTTGGGTATATGCCCAGTAATGGGATGGCTGGGTCAAATGGTATTTCTAGTTCTAGATCCCTGAGGAATCGCCACACTGACTTCCACAATGGTTGAACTAGTTCACAGTCCCACCAACAGTGTAAAAGTGTTCCTATTTCTCCACATCCTCTCCAACACGTGTTGTTTCCTGACTTTTTAATGATTGCCATTCTAACTGGTGTGAGATGGTATCTCATTGTGGTTTTGATTTGCATTTCTCTGATGGCCAGTGATGATGAGCATTTTTTTCATGTGTTTTTTGGCTGCATAAATGTCTTCTTTTGAGAGGTGTCTGTTCATATCCTTTGCTCACTTTTTGATGGGGTTGTTTGTTTTTTTCTTGTAAATTTGTTTGAGTTCATTGTAGATTCTGGATATTAGCGCTTTGTCAGATGAGTAGATTGCAAAAATTTTCTCCCATTGTGTAGGTTGCCTGTTCACTCTGATGGTAGTTTCTTTTGCTGTGCAGAAGCTCTTTAGTTTCATTAGATCCCATTTGTCAATTTTGGCTTTTGTTGCCATTGCTTTTGGTGTTTTAGACATGAAGTTCTTGCCCATGCCTATGTCCTGAATGGTATTGCCTAGGTTTTCTTCTAGGGTTTTTATGGTTTTAGGTCTAACATGTAAGTCTTTAATCCATCTTGAATTAATTTTTGTATAAGGTGTAAGGAAGGGATCCAGTTTCAGCTTTCTACGTATGGCTAGCCAGTTTTCCCAGCACCATTTATTAAATAGGGAATCCTTTCCCCATTGCTTGTTTTTCTCAGGTTTGTCAAAGATCAGATGGTTGTAGATATGTGGCATTATTTCTGAGGCCTCTGTTCTGTTCCATTGGTCTATATCTCTGTTTTGGTACCAGTACCATGCTGTTTTGGTTACTGTAGCCTTGTAGTATAGTTTGAAGTCAGGTAGCGTGATGCCTCCAGCTTTGTTCATTTGGCTTAGAATTGACTTGGCAATGTGGGCTCTTTTTTGGTTCCATATGAACTTTAAAGTAGTTTTTTTCCAATTCTGTGAGGAAAGTCATTGGTAGCTTGATGGGGATGACATTGAATCTATAAATTACCTTGGGCAGTATGGATATTGATTCTTCCAACCCATGAGCGTGGAATGTTCTTCCATTTGTTTGTATCCTCTTTTATTTCATTGAGCAGTGGTTTGTAGTTCTCCTTGAAGAGGTCCTTCACGTCCCTTGTAAGTTGGATTCCTAGGTATTTTATTCTCTTAGAAGCAATTGTGAATGGGAGTTCACTCATGATTTGGCTCTCTGTTTGTCTGTTATTGGTGTATAAGAATGCTTGTGATTTTTGTACATTGATTTTGTATCCTGAGACTTTGCTGAAGTTGCTTATCAGCTTAAGGAGATTTTGGGCTGAGACAATGGGGTTTTCTAGATATACAATCATGTCATCTGCAAACAGGGACAATTTGACTTCCTCTTTTCCTAATTGAATATTCCATCTTTTATTTTTAATACCTTTCCACTCGCTCATTTATATCTGCCTACAGTATGCTTAAAGGGTCAGTAGCTTAAAGAAGTCTTTATTTGACTTAATGTTCTTCCTAAAACTGTCCTTTATCATTCACATTTCCTCCCAAACGAAGGTCTTGAAAAAGTAGTGTATCATCTCTAACTCCACTAATATTTCTCTTTTCTCAGTGACTTGTGATATGTCTTCTGCCCTCACCACATTAATAGAGCTGCCCTTTCAAACCATTCTAACTGACAATACAGTGGCATCTTTTCAGTACTCATTCTGTTTAGATTCTTTGCAGCATTATTACTTTTAGAATAACTCCTCCTACTAGAATATTTTTTTCTTGGTTTCTAAAAGACTGAGCTCTCCTGATTCTCCTCTTACCTTTCTGATAAACTCTGATGAAGTTTCTTTCTGACTCATCTTTCATCTACTCATTATAAATCCCCTCAAAGATTCCATCCTAAGATCAATTTTCTGTATGTATGTATCACCCAAATTGTATCACCAACCATTTTTTGGGGGGGATTCAAGACTGTATTTTAATCTGCCTCCTGGTTATTTATTTATACCTAGTAAATCTTTAAGATATTTCAGTTTTATGTGTCTAAAGCTGAATCCCTCATTCCTCATAAAAAAGTTACAATTCCTTTTTCCTAGTTAGTTAATATCACTACCAAATTACTCAGACTTGAAACTGCGGTCAATGTAAACAACTCTTTCTCACTCTTCATATACAATCAGTTATCAAATCCTACTGATTCTTCTTTTGCAAAATTTCCTATAAATCATTCAAATTCCTACAACAACTATCATTATTTCAAGTACTATTTCTTCCACTTAGACTGTGGCCTCCTAACTGCTCTTCTTCTAAGCTCTCTTGTGGGAACTATAGCTTAGCAGTTAACTACTTGGCCTTCAGAGCCAGACTATCAATGTTTGACTTTACCACTTACTGCATGACCTTGTACAAATTACTTAGTCTCTCTCTATGCTTTAATTTCCCCACCTATAAAATAAGGCCATCAGGAGCATTGACCACATAAGATTGTTCTGATGATGAAAAAGGATGCTATATATACAGTGCTTCAAAAATTGTCTGATACAGGTTAAGCACTCAGTAATTGTCAATCATTATTAAATTACCAGCATTTTTATTCAGGTTTATGTTTTTCCATTCAAACTGTCCTAGTGTTCTCTGCTCTTAGAAGTCTTTATGATTGTAAGTAGCCTCAATTATTTAGGCCCATTTGATGTTTTGCATAAATTAAGCATGAAGAAATGAATTGCCTTTCACTTTGCTCCCTTTGTAGTTTTGTATAAACTATTTCATAATAATAATTACTCTGTCCAGGTTAGAATATGTTAAATATTACCATTTTATAGTATTATTTCTATTTATTAGATCACTTATAGTTCATCTGTGAAATCTGGCTGATGTGGCCTCACATTTCTGGGTAAAGAAGCGAACATTTCATGAAATCTATAACCATGTATTTGATGTATACCCTCTGTTATGCATTAGATGCTATAATTTTTGCTATCAGATAGTGTAGTTGCTTCTTATGAGGCAAAGGAAAAAATCTAATTTTAATTAAAAAATGTAACACTGACTTTGAGAATGATATTCCTTGAAATATTCCTATTTTCAGTAGACTAAGAAAATCTTTCTCTTTGGAGGTGAATATTTATATATGCACTTTACAGTGTGTTTCCCTTCTACCTTTCTTTGTTAATCATTTTGTGTGTACTTTATACCGTGTATGTTGAGTTTTCGAGGATAAGTCAATCTCTTCTCTCTGATTAGGTTTAACTTTTATAATCAGGGTAGATGGATTCCCACCTCAACCCTCACCACTCTTATCCTGGACAAACTATGTGGATTTTGAGTTCTTGGAAGTTAGACATAGGTTACACAGAGCTTATGCACAATATAGCTCACCCCATGATATATTCAATGCTCAAACTTAGAAAACGGCCATGGGTGAGAGAGGGGAATACAATGCATTTGCCTTATTGTCCTTCACAGTTTTCAGGGTGTTAAATGCAGAGTTGAGGAGAGAAGTGGAGGAGAAAAAGGATGGAGAAAGATCACCAGGTAGGGAAGAGGGAAAGGGTATGATGGAAAAGAAACTCCTCAGCCTCTTCATCTATCTCCTGGAAGACCTCCTGTAGTATTACCCATCTCCATATAAAGGAATTGATCAGACTTTTGGTATAGGCCCCTTCATCCACTGTAGGTAGCTCTGAAAAGCAACTAATTTATGAATCCAGTACAAAAGATCTTTAAAATCCTTATACTCTTAACTTTTCCAACTCCCCCAGTCACCCCATTCTTCCTCACACTTTCCAGTCTTCTCTCCTTGATTTTACCCTCGATCTTTTTCCGTAGATCCCTTCTTCCATCTTCTTAGCCCCCTCTCGATTCCTTCCTTTCTCGCTACTCCCTTCCCTGACTTGCTTCTATAGAAGCTGAGATTTCTGCTTATTAGCAGCTGTTAAAGCAGCAGGTGGTGAAACAGCGGGGTGAAGGCCTACCTATATAGTGCAGAGGTCAAAATATAAATTTGCATGGAGAAACGTGCCGATATATCAGTAAATGAGCATGATACTTATATATCAGTAAATAACTAAGTTGTCACTTAGTTATTAGAACTTTAAAAATAGGTACATCTTCAAATTCCCTATATACCATTTACTTTCCACAGCTTGTTTGACTCTTTTCTCATTCACTGCTCACTAACAATCTCTCACTAGGTTGGTTTCTTCCAGTCTACTGCTTCCCTTCCATAGTCTGCCTAGCTCTTTCCCTGAGTAGTCACAGAATGAAAAGTATACTTTTACATCGATGAAGCTAGTGAAAAAGCAGAATGGTTTCATTGTCTTTGATTGATGAGGCTGTCTTATCAGTTAAATCAAATCTGCAAACTGAAAGATGCTGCAGCATTTATTTAAGAAGAAACAAGGAAAATGTTGCATCCTATGGTGTACCTCACCCCTTGTATGCTTACAGTGACTACTGTAAAAACTGAAGACATGGCCTCTGCCTTTAAAAAGTTGATCATCTACTTGGTATGATTGAATATACACAATGAGAAACATTTAACAATCAAAATATCAACAAATGCCGAGGCTGGGCACAGTGGCTCACTCCTATAATCCCAACACTTTGGGAGGCCGTGGTGGGTCCATCACCTGAGGTCAGGAGTTCAGGACCAGCCTGGCCAACACGGGAAACCCCATCTGTACTAAAAATACAAAAATTAGCCAGGCGTGGTGGCACGCGCCTGTAGTCTCAGCCACTCGGGAGGCTGAAGCAGGAGAATTGCTTGAACCTGGGAGGTGGAGGTTGCAGCAAGCTGAGATAGCATCACTGCACTCTAGCCTGGGCAACAGAGCGAGACTTCCTCTCAAAAACCAAAACAAAAACATAAAAAGCAAATACAGGTTGATATTGTTCCAAGTTGGGCCCCTAGTAAAGGTGGGACCCTCCGGTGGGAGTAATGAAGGAAGGGGTCTGATAGAGGTGCTAGTTAGATTTTGAAGAGATATTTCATGGAATTATGTGAGTGAATGAATTTAGATGGCAAAAAGCCAGAGGGCTTAGGACTGAACTATAGGGCCTTCCAAAAGTCAACAGGTAAATTGACACTTGAATCCAAGTGATTACCCAGTGCTTTAGGCTTAGTGTTTTTACATATGTTAGCTCATATAATTAAATTCTAACAACTTTGTGATTTTACTAAAGCTCAGAATGTTTATGTAAGTAGACCCAAGGTCCCACAGCTGGAAATTGATCAGTTGGATTCTAATGATTGATTTCTGACCCTAAATCTAGTACCTTTTTGATTATACTCCATGTAAAAGAAGGGAAATCTAGGAAAGAGAGAAATCAAACCTCAAAGATAGAAATGGTAATGCAGCTAAGAATCAACCTGATAGAGGACCATTGGATTTAGCTAAGTAATTGCTTCATGTTGAGTGAAGGATCCACACAAAAACAAGGTAGCGGATAGGTGCTAACTCTTACATGGGGAGAGCGCTTTGTGGAAACTTCAGGAGCATTTCTACATTCTTTGCATTAAGAAGGATTAAATACAAATTATTCAGGCTACAATGTTTTCCTTGGTAAGTTATGATTAGTGTCTTTCTCCAATAATGATGTGTGCAAACTGAATTCACAGTAATGTGGTTTCTATTTGTACCGTACGTTGCCTTTACATTCTGACAACTTGAGGTCTGTCACCAGGAAAGAAAGAAAATAATTAGCAATCATCACTGAGGGTTTAATATTTTAATTCTCCAGCTGTTGTACAAAATGTTTTTGTGCATATAGATTCAATTAGTCATAAAGTAGAGAATCAGAATAATGCAGCTGCATTATATAGCTTTGGAACATGCGCTCCAGGTAGAAATTGATAGGTTCTTTAGTTTATTGCCACTTTTTAAAAAGGGGATGCAGACATTAAAAGTCTTTCAAACAAAAGACTATTAATGTTGACATGGGAACATTAAGAGAATAGAGATGGTAACAGTAGAATCATAGAATATGTAGAATTTATAGAATATACATTGAGAAAATTTAAAAGAAAATATTATAATTTGACTTTAACATAAAAATAAATACATATAATGGAAACATCTGTCCACCTAAGTGAATAATAAACAATATTTAATGGCATATGATAATCTGGGGTGAAAGTTTTACAAAAATATGGTAAAGGGCCAATGACCTTAATATGTAAAGAAAATTTGCAAATTAGTAACATTTAAAAAATACACATAAAATAATATGCCAATAAAAATTGGGCAAAGGCTATGAACCAAACATTTAAAAAAGAAGAAATATAAACACAAATAAATGTGCAAAAAGGTTTATCTTGATAAGTAAAAAAAATTGTAGGCAATAAAATGCACCATAAATTTAAGCCTTAATTTTATTTTTCCCCCATTTAAGACACATAAAAATAATAATAGAAAACAAAATTAGAAAGGCATGGTTATACTCAAAAAGATAAACCACTCAGCTGGGTGTGGTGACCCATGCCTGTAATCCCAGCAGTTTGGGAGGCCGAAGCAGGCGGATCATTTGATGTCAGGAGTTCGAGCAACAACATGGTGAAACAACATGGTGAAACCCCGTCTCTACTAAAAATACAAAAATTAGCCAGGCGTGATGGTGGACACCTGTAATCCCAGCTACTTGGGAGGCTGAGGCAGGAGAATTACTTGAACCTGGGAGGTGGAGGTTGCAGTGACCCAAGATAGTGCCACTGCACTCCAGCCTAGGCAACAGAGTGAGACTCCATTTCAAAAAAAAAAAAAAAAAAAGGATAAACCACTCAGTGGACCAGAAATAGAATGGAGACATCCTTGATGGTGAAGCCACAGTTTTAGATGCAGGCAGAAGTCCCTGAAAATTTGACTTCTGTGGATAAAAGGGGACCAGAGGCTTGCTTGAGTGGAGGGATGTGAATCAAAAGCAGGGATGGTGACCCGTGACCTTGGAAGGAAGATGAGAAATGTGGTGGGGTTAGGTGGCAAGAAGGGAAAAGAAAAAGGGAGGACCAGCCCTGCTGGGGGCTATGGCTTGTTTAAAGCTACATTACATATCAAGCCCACCTATTTCCTGGCTGCCAAATAGGAGTGAAGAAGAAGCTCTTGGGCTCTCTCTTTGCCCCGAGAAATATCTACGCACATCCCATCCATCAAGGAGTGAAGTGGAGACGCCAGCTCTAGAAGCTCTTGAGAAACCCCTTTTCAATCATTCCACACACACTCACAGTGAAAGGCAGGCCTATCCTAAAAATTTGCAGGGCCCAGAGCAAGCATGCCAACAAAAGCTCATGTACCATATTCATACATATTTAAAAGCTGCATATTGAAATAATTTGATCACTCAGGTAAGGCAAAGGATTCTCTTCTAGTCCAGAGATAAGTATCTGCAAAAAAAACCTAACAAAAATTACATTAAAATTTTAGAAAAAGGTTGCACATAAAGCTAAGTAAATGTTAAATGATAGTCTATCTCCTACCTTGATGAATATAACTTTATATTGATAAAATTGAAACGTGTAAAACTGTATTTTTCATATGCTGAATGTTAGTAAAATGCCCAAAACTACTAAATTTAATTATTAGTTTATGTATCTGGCCTTCTGTTTACAGTCTCATGGTGTTTGGATAAGTAATAACATAAATACATGTATAATTTATAGATTAGTATATGTTTGTACTATTAAATTTACTTTTCTTGCTTTCACTGCTGAAAGATCACTATTATGTTGTTATAATCAAGATTTTCACATAATCTGTGCTCAATTTGCAGTTCTGGTTTGAAGGATTACAAATGAAAATGTACTGAAAGTTTACAAAATTTAACATATTTTATATAAAATGTAAATTCGAATAAAAACTATTTTTAAAAAAGTTATTTTTCTTCCAAAATATTAAAATTAAGAAATTAAAAATCAAAATTAATACAACCCTTCAACCAAATTTATGTAGCATTTAAACATTTTGCTCAATTTAAAAAAATGTATAAATTTACCTCTTAAACATTTGTGTATTAGATTATCCACAAATATTTATTTTGACACACATTAGGGGCATCACAAAGAATTGGTGTTATGTTTCACCTATGTTATGTCTTGATGGATGTATATACAAGTTTAGGAATATTATGAATTGTTTAATCATGTAAAATGTTCCTCAGTCAACGTGTGCAATTGCTGGATTTGTGAGAATCACAAGAACCACAAATTGTAATAGGAAGAGAGCAAGCAAATGGATGCTGAGCACTGTTTCAAGATGAAACTGTGTCAAGTTATGCAAAAATCTACTGTATTTGTACCACATGAGGATTTGACTAGTTAATCTTTTCTACTACTGAAGTGATTCTGCTACTCAAATCCTTCCCACATTCTAAGGTAGTGTCCATCTCTGACTTAGCAGCAGCACAAACCACAAATCTTCATGGCATGTGTTAGTTTGGATCCTTCGAGAAGGAGATACCAAGACAGGGTTAGACATATAAGAACTTTATTGGGGAAATTCCCATGAAGGACAAAAGGAGGCCATCAGGATTAGGCTGTGAGAGTCTTCAGATAGTGGTGCAGGTCAGACCCCTGTAGAAGGAGAGTGCCGAAAGAGGGGATATGGGGAAGAGTATCAGATTGCAGTGCAGTTCTAAGAAAGCTTCAGCCAAGTCAGTGGGTATTTCTTGACCCAAGGTTGTCTATTAAAGAAGACCCATGTCCTGCAGGAATAAGCCTGCACTTGTTTCCCTTCCTTACTTACATTTTGGCTAGGAGCAGCATGGAGAGAGTGTAGCATTGACACAAATGTGATGGTGGACCCACAGCTGGGGCTGATGGTCAACTATGTTCCATGAAGCAGGAGATTCAGGCAGCCCATTTCTTGGTGGCCACAGTTCATGGGTAAGAGGACTCCAAATTGTTAATATGTCAGTTCTCCAAAAATTAACCTATGGATCCAAGTAAATGCTTATCAAAAGCCCAGGAGGCCTTTTTGGTAGAAATTGACAAACTGATTCTAAAATTCATAGGCAATGCAAAGGACCTAGAGCAGCCAAGACAACTTCCGAAGAGATGAACAAAAGTCGGAGGACTAACATCACCTGTTTTTAATGACTTATAAAACTATAGTAATAAGGGCAATGTTGTATTGATGTGAAGATACACAAATAGATCAATGGGGAAGAATAAGGAGTCCAGAAATAGACCCATACCTATATGTAAATGCTGAAATCTGAATGTTTGTGTCCCCTCAAAATTCATGTTTTTGTTTTATTCATTTTTGTTTTTACACTGACATATAAAAATTATACATCTTTATGGTATACAACATGTTTTGATATATGTATATATTGGCTAAATTGGCTAAATATGTATACAATGACTAAATTAAGCTAATTAACATATCCATTATCTCACTTATATATCATTTTTTGTGGTGAGAATGCTTAAAATCTATTCTTTTAGCAATTTTCAAGTGTACAATACATTGTTATTAACTATAGTTACCATGTTGTATAACAAATCTCAATTTATTCCTCCTATCTAACTAAAATTTTATATCCTTTAACCAACATCTCCCCCAAACCCCCACCACCTCTGGCAACCTCCAATTCTACTCTCTGCTTCTATAAGTTCAACTTTCTAAGATTCCACATATGAGTGAAATCACATAGTATTTGTCTTTCTGTTTCTGGCTTATTTCTCAAGATTCATATGTTGAAACTTAATCACCAATGTGATAGTATGAGGAGGTGGGTTATTTGGGAAGTAAGTAGATCATGAGATCAGAGCCTTCAAAAATGGAAGTAGTGGTTCCCTTATAAAAGAGGCCTGAAGAAAACCCCTTTTCCCTTCCACATGTGAGAATACAGCAAAAAGACACTGTCTATGAGCCAGAAAGTGGTCTCTCACTAGACACTGAATCTGTTAGCACCTTGATCTTGGACTTGCCAGCCACCAGAACTGTGAGAAAGAAATTGCTGTTGTTATAAGCCACCTAGTTTATGGTATTAAGACAGTAAAAGTGATTTTTTAAAATGGTGTAATGACCATTTAGTAGGCAAAGTAGAGTCTTTTCAACAAATGGGGCTGGAATATTTGGATATCCATATGCAAAGATAAACTTCAGTCCACACCTTATAATACATTTTAAATTTTACTCAAAATGGATCATAGACCTAAATGTAAAGATTTCTTAGATTAAGGGCTGGCGAACTACAATTTTTAGGCCACATCCAGCCCACTACCTATTTTTATACATACAGATGTACTGGAACACCTCCTTATCTATTCATTATGTATTTAGCCACAATTACTTTTGTGTCACAAATGCAGAGTTGAATAATTGTGACAGAGACCATGTGGTCCTCAAAGCTTAAGCTATTTACTCTTTGGTACTGTAGAGAATTAGTTTTCTGATCTCTGTATTAGATACAACAAAATCTCAATCCATAAAAGGAAAAAAATGATACATTGCACATATCAAAATTATAAATTTATCCATAATTCTTTATAAGACACTGTTAAGAGAATGAAAAGACAAGCCATAGACTAGGAGAAAAAATTGCAAATCATATATCTGACAAAGAACTTGTACCGAGAATACATAAGGAACTCTTACAACTCAACAATAAAAAGTACAGACAATCCAATAGTAAGATGGACAGAAGACTTGAACAAACACTTCACCAAAGAAGATATATGGGTTGAAAATAATCACATAAAAATGCTCAACATCATTAGCCATTAGGGAAATGCATATTAAAACCACAATGAGATACAGCTGCATACTTATTAGAATGGCTAAATTTAAAAACACTCACCATGCCACATATTGGCAAGGATGTGAAGGAACTGAAACTTTTTACACTGCTGCTGGAAATATAAAGTTGTACAGTCACTTGGGAAAACAATTTGCTACTTTCTTATAAGGTAAATGTCCACCTATCATATGATCCAGCCATTCTTCCCATAAGTATTTACACAATAGAAATAAAAATGTGCACTAGTACAATTGTTTGTATGTAAATATATAAAGCAGTTTTATTTGTAATTTTCATAACCTGTAAACAACTCAAAGATCCATCCACAGGTGAATGGATGAACAAACTGTGGTACATACACCATTGATGCATGCAACAACATGAATAAATCTCTAATTATGCCGAATGACTAAAGCCAAACAAAAAGAGTTCATACTGTATGATTCAATTTATATACAATCCTAGAAAATGAAAACCAATTTATATTGATGGAACACAGACCAGTCGTTGTTTGGAGGGAAGCTTTAGGAGGGGCAGGAGAAGAGTTACAAAAGGGCACAAGTAAACAGTTGAGGGAGGTGGATCTATTCATTAGCTTAATTGGAGTGATGGTTTCATTCTTGCGTAGATAAAATGTATCAAAATGTACAATTTGAACATGCGAAGTTTATTGTATGCCAATTATACTTCAATAAATCTTTGTTTTAAAGTTAAAAAAAGTGTTCACTGACTTTTCTGGTTTCATATGAATTTTAGAATTGTTTTTTTCTAATTCTGTGAAGAATGGTGGTGGTATTTTAATGGGAATTGCATTGAATTTGTAGATTACTTTTAGCAGTATGGCCATTTTCACAATATTGATTCTACTCATCCATGAGCATGGAATGTGTTTCCATTTGTTTTTGTTGTCTGTGATTTCCTTCAGCAGTGTTTTCTAGTTTTCCTTGTAGAGGTCTTTTGCCTATTTGGTTAGGTATATTCCCAAGTATTTTATTTTATTTTTTGCAGCTATTGTAAAAGGAGTTGAGTTCTTGATTTGATTCTCAGCTTGGCCGCTGTTGGAGTATAGAAGAGCTACTGATTTGTGTACATTAACTTTGTATCTGGAAACTGTTGAATTATTTTACCAGTTCTAGGAGCTTTCTGGGGGAGTCTTTAGGATTTTCTAGGTAAACAATCATATCATCAGCAAGTAGCGACAGTTTGACTTCTTTACCGATTTGGATGCCCTTTTTTTTTTTCTTTTGTCTGATTGCTCTGGCTATGATTTCCAGTACTATGTTGAAGAGGAGTGCTGAGAATGGACATCCTTGTCTTGTTCCAGTTCTCAGAGGGAAAGCTTTCAACTTTCCCTCATTCAGTATTATGTTGGCTGTGGGTTTGTCATAGATGGCTTTTATTATATTGAGGTATGTCCCTTGTATGCCGATTTCACTGAGAGTCTTAATCATAAAGGGATGCCAGATTTTGTAGAACGCTTTTTCTGCATCTATTGAGATGATCACGTGATTTTTCTTTTAAATTCTGTTTATGTGGTGTATCACATTTATTGACTTGCATATGTTAAACCGTCTCTGCATCACTGGTATGAAACCCACTTGATCATGGTGGATTATCTTTTTGATATGTTGTTGGATTCAGTTAGCTAGTATTCTGTTAAGGATTTTAACATCTATGTTCATCAGGGATATTGGACTTTAGTTTTCTTTATCGTTGTGTCCTGGCTTCACAGAATGACTTAGGGAGGGTCCCCTCTTTCTCTATCTTGAGTAATAGCGTCAATAGGATTGGTACCAATTCTTTGAATGTCTGGTAGAATCCTGCTGTGAATTTGCCTGGTCCTGGACTTTTCCCTGTTAATAATTTTAAAATTACTGTTTCAATCTCACTGCCTGTTATTGGTCTGGTCAGGGTATCTAACTCTTCCTGATTTAAGCTAGGAAGGTTGTATTTTTTACAGGAATTTATCCATCTCTTTTAGGTTTTCTAGCCTATGCGTGTTAAGGTGTTCATAGTAGCCTTGAATGATCTTTTGTATTTCAGTGGCGTCAGTTGTAGTATCTCTCGTTTTGCTTCTTATTGAGCTTATTTGGATTTTCCCTTTTCTTTTCTTGGTTAATTCTTCTAATGGTATATCAATTTTATTTATCTTTTCAAAGAAGCAGGTTTCTGTTTCATTTATCTTTGGTATTTTTTTTATTTCAATTTCTTTTAGTTCTGCTCTGATATTGGTTATTTTCCTTCTTCTGTTAGGTGTGGGTTCGGTTTGTTCTTGTTTCTCTAGTTCTTTGAGGTGTGACCTTAGATTGTCTGTCTGTGCTCTTTCAGAATTTTTGATGCAGTCATTTAGGGCTATGAACTTTCCTCTTAGCACCGCCTTTGCTGTATCCCAGAGGTTTTGACAGATTGTGTCATTACTGTCATTCAGTTTGAAGAATTTTTAAATTTCCATCTTGATTTTATTTTTGAGCCAATGATCATTTAGGGACTGGTTATTTAATTTCCATGTATTTGCATGGTTTTGGAGGTTCTTTTTGGAGTTAGTTTTCAGTTTTATTCCACTGTCATGTGAAAGAGTGCTTGATATAATTTCAGTTTTCTTAAATTTATTGAGGCTTGTTTTGTGGCCAATCCTATGGTCTATCTTGGAGAAAGTTCCATGCACTGTTGAATAGAATGTATATTCTTTGATTTTTGGATGGAATGTTCTGTATATATCTGTAAAGTCCATTTGTTCCAGGGTGTAGTTTAAATCCATTGTTTCTTTGTTGACACTCTGTCTTGATGACCTGTCTAGTGCTGTCAGTGGAGTATTGAAATCCCCTATGATTATTGTGTTGCTGTCAATCCCATTTCTTAGGTCTATTAGTAATTGTTTTATAAATTTTGGATCTCCAGTGTTAGGTGCATATATGTTTAGTATTGTGATATTTTCTTATTGAACAAGGCTATTTATCATTATATAATGTCCCTCCTTGTCTTTTTTAAATCCTGTTACTTTAAAGTTTGTTTTGTCTGATATAAGAATAGTTACTCCTGCTCGCTTTTAGCGTCCATTTGCATGAAATGTCTTTTTCTACCCCTTTACCTTAAGTTTGTGCGAGTCATTATGTGTTAGGTGAGTCTCTTGAAGGCAGTAAAGAGGTGGTTGGTGAATTCTTATCCATTATGCAATTCTGTGTCTTTTAAGTGCAGCATTTAGGCTATTTACATTCAATGTTGGTATTGAGATGTGAGGTGCCATTCCATTCATACCTTGCTTTTTTGTTTTTTGTTTGTTTGTTTTTTAAATTGTATTTTTTATAGGTCGTGTGAAATTTATGCTTTAAAGAAGTTCTGTTTTGATATGTTTGCAGGATTTGTTTCAAGATTTAGAGCATCTTTTAGCAGTTCTTGTAGTGGTGGCTTGGTAGTGGCAAATTCCCTCAGCCTTTGTTAGTCTGAAAAAGACTGCACCTTTCTTCCATATTTGAAGCTTAGTTTCACTGGATACGAAATTATTGGCTGATAATTGTTTTGTTTTAGGAGGCTGAAGATAGGGCCCCAATACCTTCTAGCTTGTAGTGTTTCTGCTGAGAAATCTGTTGTTAATCTGATAGGTTTTCCTTTGTAGGTTACCTGGTGCTTTTGTCTCATAGCTCTTAAGGTTATTTCCTACATTTTTAACTTTAGATAACCTGATGACAATGTGCCTAGGTGATTGTCTTCTTGTGATGAATATCCCAGGTGTTCTTCGTGCTTCTTGTATTTGGATGTGTAGGTCTCTAGCAAGGCTGGGGATGTTTTCCTTGATTATTCCCCCAAATATGTTTTCCAAACTTTTAGATTTCTCTTCTTCCTCAGAAACACCAATTATTCTCAGGTTTGGCCATTTAACATAATCCCAGACTTCTTGGAGGCTTTGTTCATATTTTCTTAGTCTTTGTTGAATGGATTAATGTGAAGACCTTGTCTTCAAGTTCTGAATTTCTTTCTTCTACTTGTTCAGTTCTATTCCTGAGGCTTTCCAGAGCATTTTGCATTTCTATAAATGTGTCCATTGTTTCCTGGAGTTCTGATTGTTTTTTATTTATGCCATTTATTTCCTTGAGTATTTCTCCCTTCACTTGTATCATTTTTTGGATTTCCGTACATTGGGCTTCGCCTTTCTCTGGTGCCTCCCTGATTAGCTTAATAACTAAGCTCCTGAATTCTTTTTCAGGTAAATCAGGGATTTTTTCTTGGTTTGGGTCTATTGCTGGTGAGCTAGTGTGATTTTTTTTGGATGTTAAACAACCTTGTGTTGCCATATTACCAGGGTTGGTTTTCTGGTTCCTTCTCATTGGGGTAGGCTCTATCAGAGGGAAGATCTAGGGCCGAAGGCTGTTTTTCAGATTCTTTTCTCCCACGGGATATTCCCTTGATGTAGTATTCGCCCCCTTTTCCTATGGATGTGGCTTCCCTGGATCCGAGCTGTAGTGATTGTTATCGCTCTTCTGGATCTAGCCACCCAGCATGTCTACCAGGCTCCAGGATGATATTGGGGGTTGCCTGCACAGAGTCCTGTGATTTGAACCGCCTATGGGTCTCTCAGCCGTGGATACCAGCACCTGTTCCGGTGGAAGTGGTAGAGGGGTGAAATGGACTCTGTGAGAGTTCCTAGCTTTGGTGGTTTAATGCACTATTTTTGTGCTAGTTGGCCTCCTGCCAGGAGGTGGCGTTTTCCAGCGAGCATTAGCTGTGATTCTATGGGGAAGAACAGATGGTGGGTGTGGCCCTAGAACTCTCAAGAGTACAAGCCCTTTGTCTTCAGTTACCAGGGTGCGTGCGGAAGGACCATTGGTTGGGGGCAGGGCTAGGCGTGTCTGAGCTCAGACTCTCTTTGGGTGGGTCTTGCTGTGGCTGCTGTAGAGGATGGAGGTGAGGTTCCCAGGTCAATGGAGTTATGTTCCTAGAAGGATTATGGCTGCCGCTGCTGTGTCATGCAGGTTGTCAGAGAAGTGGGGAAAAGCTAGCAGTCACAGGTCTCACCCAGCTCCCACACAATCCAAAGGGCCGATCTCAGTCCCATGGTGCCCCTTCCAACAGTATTGAGTCTGTTTTCAGGCAGTGGGCAAGCAGGGCTGAGAACTTGCTTCAGGCTACCCACCTCCCAGCTGTGAAAGCAAATATACCTTTCCTTCTTCCATGGCCTGTGAAGCATACAGACCGGATTCATGCCTTCCCCTGCGTTCTGGCCAGGAGGCTTCTTGATCAGTTCAAATTGTTACAAAGTTTAGCTGGAGATTTCCTTCTCCCTTTGGCCTTTTCCCAGCTCCTCTGGCTACCCTTCCAAAGGACCCCTGTGAGGCCCAGCAAAAAATGACTTCCTAGGAGACCCAGCAATCTCCCAGGGGTTTTCCCACTGCTTCTTCTACCCCTTATTTATTCTGGCTCTCTAAATTGACTCAGCTCCAGGTCAGGTCAAAATCTTCTCCCATAATCTAGGCCTTCATTTTCCCCAGTGAGGGTGTATGTTCAGGGTTGGATGATCTCCCTTTCCCACTTCCACAGTTTGGGGACTCACAGTATTTGGGGTGTCTCCTGGTTTCTGCAAGAGCAATCCACTTCCTTCTGGGGGTCTGTTGGTCCTCTCATGTTTCCTGATTTATTCCTGCAGTCATTATGGAGCAAAAATTCATGACGTGAGCCTCCACGCAGTGCTCTGTTCATCCAAGTTGGAGCTTTCTATCTCCCTAATTTCAATTGTTTTGATTTTTAAATCCCACAAATAAGTGAGAACATGTAATATTTGTCTTTTTGTGCCTGGCTTATTTCACTTAGCTCAATGACCTCCACTTCATTTATGTTGCTGCAAATGACTGGATCTCATTTTTTTATGGCTGAATAGTACTCCACTGTGTCTATATACTACATTTTCGTTTTTAAAATTTCCAACTTTTAAGTTCAGGGGTACATGTGCAGGATGTGCAGGTTTGTTACATAGGTAAACATGTGCCATGCTGGTTTGCTGCACAGATCATCCCATTACTCAGGTATTAAGCCCAGCATCTACTAGCTAATATTCCTGATCCTTTCCCTCTTCTCACACCAACACCATCCAACAGACTGTAGTGTGTGTTGTTCCCTACCATGTGTCTATGTGTTCTCATCATTCAGCTGAGAACATGCAATATTTGGTTTTCTGTTAATGCATTAGTTTGCTGAGGATAATGGCTTCTGGCTCCATTCACATCCCTGCAAAGGACGTGATCTTTTCCCTTTTTATGGCTGCATAGTATTCCGTGGTGTATATGTACCACATTTTCTCTATCCAGTCTATCATTGTTGGGCATTTAGGTTGATTCCATGTGTTTGCTATTGTGAATAGTGCTGCATTGAACATACATGTGCATGTGTCTTTATAATAGAACAATTTATATTCCTTTGGGTACATACCCAGTAATAGGATTGCTGGGTCAAATGGTATTTCTGCCGCTATGTTTTTGAGGAATCACCCCACTATCTTCCACAATGGTTGAACTAATTTACACTCTCACCAACAGTGTAATAGCATTCCTTTATCTCCACAAGCTCACCAAAATCAGTTATTTTTTGACTTTTAAATAGTAACCATTCTAACTGTTATGAGATAGTATCTCACTGCGGTTTTGATTTGCATTTCTCTAACGATGAGTGATGTTGAGCTTTTTTTTTTTCCATGTTTGTTGGCCATATGTATGTCTTCTTTTGAGAAATATCTGTTCATGTTTTTTGCCACTTTTTAATGGGGTTATTTGTTATTTCCTGTAAATTTGTTTAAGTTCCTTATAGATACTGGATAATAGACCTTTGTCAAATGCATAGAGTGCAGAAATTTTATCTCATTTTGCATGTTGTCTGTTTACTCTGTTGGTAGTTACTTTTGCTGTGCAGAAGCTCTTTAGTTTAATTAGATCCCATTTGTCAATTTTTGCTTTTGTTGCAATTGCTTTTGGTGTCTTTGTCATAAAATCTTTGCCTGTGCCTATGTCCTGAAAGGTATTGCCTAAGTTGTCTTCTAGGGTTTCTACAATTTGGGGTTTTACATTTAAGTCTTTAATCCATCTTGAGTTGATTTTTGTATATGGTGTAAGGAATGGGTGCAGTTTCAATCTTCTGCATATGGCTAGTCTGTTATCCCAGCACTCTTTGCTGAATAAAGAATTCCTTCCCCATTGCTTGTTTTTGTCAGGTTTGTAAAAAATCAGATGGTTGTAGGTGTGCAGTTTTATTTCTGGGCTCTCTATTCTGTTCCATTGCTCTACCAGTACAATGCTGTTTTGGTTACGGTAGTCTCATAGTATAGTTTGAAGTTGGATAGCGTGATGCCTCCAGCTTTGTTCTTTTTGCTTAGGATCCTCTTGTCTATTTGGGATCCTTTTGGGTTCCATATTAATTTTAAAATAGCTTTTTCTAATTCTGTGAAGAATGTCAATGGTAGTTTAATGGGAATAGCATCAATCTATAAATTGCTTTGGGCAGTATGGCCATTTTCACGATATTGATTCTTCCTATCCATGAGCATGGAATGTTTTTCCATTTGTGGGTGTCATCTCTGATTTCTTTGAGAAGTTGTTTGTAGTTCTCCTTGAAGAGGCCCTTTACTTCCCTTGCTAGCTATATTCCTAGGTATTTTATTCTTTTTTTTTTTTTGGCAATTGTGAATGGGAGTTCATTAGTGATTTGGCTCTCAGCTTGCCTGTTGTTTCCGTATAGGAATGCTAGTGATTCTTGTGCATTGATTTTGGGTCCTGAGATTTTGCTGAAGTTGCTTGTCAGATTAAGAAGCTTTTGGGCTGAGACAACAGGGTTTTCTACATATAGGACAATGTCATTTGCAAAAGAGATAGTTTGACTTCCTCTCTTCCTATTTGAATACCTTTTATTTCTTTCTTTTCCCTAATTGCCCTGGCCAGAACTTCCAATACTATGTTAAATAGGAGTGGTGAGAGATGGCATCTTTGTCTTGTGCCAGTTTTCAAGGGGAATACTTCCAGCTTTTGCCCATTCAGTATGATATTGGCTTATGCGACATTTCTTTTATCTATTTATTGGTTGATGAGCACTTTGGTTGATTCCATAACTTTGTAATTGTGAATTGCACTGCAATAAGAATTTAATGCAGTGGTCTTTTTGATATAAAGATCTCTATTCTTTGGGTATTCAGTAATGGGATTGCCAGATCCAATAGTAGATAGATCTTCTTTTAGTAATTTGAGAAATCTCCATACTGTTTCCCATAGAGTTTATACAAATTTACATTCCCACCAGCAGTGTATAAGCATTCTCTTTTCACCATATCCCAGTCAACATATATTGTCTTTTGACTTTTTAATAATGGCCATTCTAGCTTAAGTAAGGTGGTATCATTGTGGTTTTAATGTGCATATCCCGGCTGATTAGTAATGTCGAGGGGTTTTTTTTATATGTTTCTTGGCCATTTATATATCTTCATTTGAGAAATGTGTATTCATGTGAATTGCCCACTTTAGAGATTTTTTTTTCTTGCTGATTTGTTTGCGTTCCTTGTAGATTCTAGATATTAGTCCTTTGTCAGATGAATAGCTTGAAAATATTTTCTTCCATTCTGTATGTTGCCTGTTGACTCTGATGATTATATCTCTTGCTGTGCAGAAGCTTTTTAATTTAATTAGGTCCTATGTATTTATTTTTGTTTTTGTTGCATTTGCTTTTGGGATCTTAGTCATAAATTCTTTGCCTAGGCCAATGTCTGGAAGATTTTTTTTGTTTTCTTCTAGAATTTTTGTGGTCTCAGGTCTTAGATTTAAGTCTTTGATCCATCTTGAGTTAATTTTTATATATGGTGAAAATTAGGGATCAAGTTTCATTCTTCTACATGTGGCTATCCAATTTTCCTAGCACCATTTATTGAATAGGGTGTCCTTTTTGCAGTTTATGTTTCTGTATGCTTTGTCAAAGCTTAATTGGTTGTATTTGGCTTTACTTCTTGGTGATTCTGTTCCATTGATCTATGTATCTACTTTTATGCCATCGTCATGCTGTTTTGGTTACTATAACCTTTTAGTATAATTTGAAGCTGGGTAATGTGATGCTCCTAAATTTGTTCTTTTTTGCTTAGGATTGCTTTGGCTATTCATTGCCCACTTTTTAAATGGGCTATTTGTTTTTTGTTTGTTGAATTGTTGAAGTTCCTTATAGATTCAGGATATTATACCTTTATCAGATGCATAGTTTGCTAATATTTTTTCCCATTCTATAGGTTGTCTGTTTACCATGATGATAGTTTCTTTTGCTGTAGAGAAGCTCTTTATTAATTAAATCCCACTTGTCAATTTTTGGTTTTATCACAATTGTTTTTGAGGACTTAGGCATAAATTCTTTCTCAAAGCTGAGGTCTAGAATGGTGTTTCCTAGGGTTTCTTCTAGGATTCTTATAGTTTCAGGTCTTACATTTTAATCTTTAACCCATATTGAGTTAATTTTTGTATATGGTGAAAGGCAGTGATCCAGTTTCATTCTTCTGCATATGGCTAGCCAGCTATCCCAGCACCATTTATTAAATAGAGAGTATTTTCCCCATTCAAACTCTAAGTGCTGTTGACTATTGTATAGAGTAGTAGTAATATTTCTATACTTAGTCAGCAGATAGGGAAAAGTAGAAAATGTGCTTGGAAACAACCTGATCAACCTAGAAATATACTATTTAGATTTGCTAAAATGCCACCAAAGTCTTCAAGTTAGCCAACTGTGGATGTTTCCCTGTGCAACCTCTTCCATATTCTTTTTTCTTTTCATAAATCCTATTTCTCCTGTAGAATTTCTACAAAAAAGTGAGGAAACATGGATAAATACAATTTTATTCCACAGGCTGACCGTGCACCTTTTCATAAGCTAAGTGAAATAGATAAGAAGCTTATTATTATTATTTGAAAATAAGGTGTTTGTTACAGCAGTTTCCCACAGAAATAATGTGATTCGACTGGAGAAAATGCATTTTGATCAGTCAGTCTGTATCTTTTAACAGATCAGGACTGAGCCTCAGTAAGTATGTAAGAATTCTGTTTCCTGTAGACTGCTTTTTGTCCCCCAGAGACGTTGCTTATTATACATTTTCATTTTCCATTATCTGAATATTAATGGTCTCTTTTGCTTCCTTTTTATCATGCTGATAAAGAATTCAAATAGAAAGTTATTTATTGCATGCATGGAGGAAAATATAAATAAAGTGTCAGGATGTTTGCAACTTATACAAACACCACCTTGTAAAGAAAATCTTGTCCTTAAACCTCAATGGCTCAGTGATTTTTTATAAGAGTACTCTCTAGTTCCCTTCAGGTTAGGCATATTGAAAATGTTCCATTATTTTTGCTGGAATGTTCTTGATGGAATTCACCTTTTCTCTCATCTCTTCTTAAATTCTGTCTTCAGAATATAAACTTTTGCAAAAATGTGAATATTGTAGGCTGCTGTATATATTTTTACATATATATTTTTGTGTTTATTTTAGGTCTACTAGTTAGATAAATAAGCAAAGCCTTGTAGCTATATTTTCTTAAGCTAGGTTTCCACAGTCAGAGCTTTTGACATTGTAGCCATTTGAAAGCTCTATAAAGACCAATGAGAATATGGTAAATTTAGAGGATATTTTTATATAAATTAGAATAAAGGCAGTGTCTAATCAAATATACCAGGCTAGATAGTCACCAGGATCTAGCATCCAATGAGGCATCTTGTTCAAGGAAAATGAGGAATTTTAAAAGAGGAGACAACTAATGACATTATTCTTAATTTTTTGCTTTTTCTATGTTTATGACGTACATTAAAAGTCTAGATCACAGAAGCCACAGAAACTATCCGTTAAGAGAAAGTTAGTTCAGTAAGTGTGCTTTAACTAAGTTTACTTTTCTTAAAAACGTAGCCAAAAATACCACATAAATAAACTAAGAGTCAGCACCCTCAGGACCCTGGCTTGTGTTACCCTTCTGTTCCAAGCTCTGTAACTTATAAATTCTGTGATAGGAAAATTGCTTAATCTCTCTGAGCACCACTTTCCTCATTATTTGATGCGATGTTGTAGGTTCAGATAAGATATTGAATGGGAAAGAGCACTAGAGTTGTAAAACAGTGTGTAAGTATGGGAGTGAGGGTAAAGTAATGGTATTGAAAAATGATACAGCTGCTCAACTGGGGCCTGCTCTGTTGCCAGTAAGTCAGTTTCCTTAGTAGAAAGCAAGTCACATGAACGCATGTGTGGCCTAGAACCAGAGTTGAATGGAAAGGAAACAAATTATGAATCTTTGTCATGGTGAACTTGTAAAACATGTCTGTGCTCCCCCAAATCTGGGGGGGAGGGGTGGTAGCTGTCCAAAGATCGTACATCACATCAGATATACCAATTGGTTTAAGTGAGATGAAGTCTAGGTGAGTTCACAACCTTTGACATGACTGGCTCAGAGAAGTGTTAGTTAGCTGCACCAGCACAGTCAGTCAGCTGCCTAGGCTTTAGTTTTTGTTGTTTTCATGATTTCATGAGGTTTTTTTTTAATAGTCTGACTTAAGAAAAAATCAATGTTATTTATCCTTGTAATAAACTAAAACAACATATTAATTTATAAAGTTTTCTGAACCCATTTCCTCATCCCCAGATGTAGCTGCCATTAAATTTTTGGAGTATATTCTCCAGAGCTTTCTCTTTTCTTCCCCCACCTTTTGGCTTTTTAAATAGCCTTCTCGTTACCTGTGGAAAACACTGCTAATTACTTACTCATTATTCATTTTTTTTCTTTGTTAGCCACAGAATTCGTACGAAATTCAGGATGGTAAAGTCAAAACAGCTTGACTTCCCGGGTTCTTTTGCAGTTATGATTGGCGATGTGATCCAATTCTGGTCAAGGAGATATATACGACATTTTATTGGATGGGGCTTCCAACAAAACTTGGTTTCTTGATTAAAAGAGACGAAACTCAACTGGCATGTGCTTTTCCCCACTTTCTGTTTTCCTTCTTCCCGCAACTATCCTGTGAGCACAAAGAAGGAAGTCTGTACCCCTAATTATATCGTAAAGCTGCCACGACAGTCCTTAAAAGCTACCTCCAGAATTCTGGTTACATGAGAAAAGGAAATTTAAGTATTTAAGAATGTTATTTGGATTTTCTGTTACATAAGGCATAGAACTATTAACTGATATAGAACGTTTTCTCTTTGTGTGGTTTGCGAAGTCCTGAAAACTTCAGATGGAAATGACATGTATCTGATCCTCACAGGAAAGATTTCATAACTTCTGAATATTCTACACAAAGACAAATCTGTATAGCAAGGCAAGAAAGGGCTGATAGGGAGGCTTGTTGCTTTGAGATCTATGTGAATAATGGCAATTCCTGAAGTTTTATGGCTACATTGTTGGTCCTAAGCAAACCTGTGGAAGAGAGGAAGAATGTCCTTTGTGCCTCACTCACTCCATAGTAAAGTTAACCTTTAGGCTCTAGTACCAAGATAAAGAAATGTGATAACTAAATTCCTTCCAAGCTTCTAGTGATGGCTAAGTTTTCCTTTTCTTTTTTGTGAAAGGATAAAAAAATTTCTAAGAAATATATGACTTAATCTGTTGATATTAATTTCTCCTGATAAAAGTGTTGGAGTCTGCCGCACCAGGTGGATGATGCTCTTCTAGATCAGAGGGTTTTTCTGTGGCTGCTAAACTCATATAGCATTGGTGGTTCTTTAATCCACCCACACCTACTACTGTCTGGTAATGTGGAAGAAGAAAAAAGTCTTACTTCAGTTCTTGTTGGCCCGGTAGTCACATTTATACAATGTTAAGAATTAACTTATTGGCCAGTAAGTCTCCTTTTTATTTTTTATCTTTTTTTTTTTTTTTTTTTTTTTTTTTGAGACAGAGTCTTGCTCTGTTGCCCAGGCGGGAGTGCAGTGGCGTGATCTCGGCTCACTGCAACCTCCACCTCCTGGGTTCAAACGATTCTCCCACCTCAGCCTCCCGAGTAGCTGGGATTAGAGGCATGCACCACCACACCCAGCTAATTTTTGTATTTTTAGTAGAGATAGGGTTCTGCCATGTTGGCCAGGCTGGTCTCAAACTCCTGACCTCAGGTGATCTGCCTGCCTCGGCCTCCCAAAGTGCTGGAATTACAGGTGTGAGCCACCGTGTTCGGCAACTCTCCTTTTTAAATTTCAGCCTTCAAGAGTTTCCAGCCTTCATTTTTGGATAAAAACGTTTAACTCTTCTGCAGATTTATGGTTTCTAGATTCTGTTAGGCCTTCAACATTGCTTGGTGATCACTGGACTCATACCTAGTCAACCCAGTGATGCCCTATGTGGCTGTTTCAAACCTCTATGACTGTCTTCCACATTCCTATATCATGTATTCCTTCTTGCCTCCCAAAGGGGAGGCTATCTTTGGAAAGTCTCCAACTTCTCTTTATGATCTTACATTTATTTCCATACTTTCATGCATCTTAACTTTTTCCTTCCTGCTCAGAGCAAAGATTTCCTTCTTTCTCAAGGCTAATTTCTTTAGTACCACATTGCCTCCTGTGTTTTCAGGGATTTTTTTTTTTTTTCATTAAATTTGCCCCTCAGTCTGGTCAAAAGTGTTTCTTCCACAGAAGAATTAATGGGAATTCATGTCAGTTAATGACATCTCAATCAATGGCCTTTCAATTAATGGCAAATCCATTATTTCAGTTGCCTGGGCCAAAAACCTTGGGGTCATACTTATTTTCTCTCACCCCTCATCTAGTTTATCAGCAAATCCTCTTGGTAAAAAGTGGTTGTATGCAGCACAAATTTCAGAGGTAAAATGGATTGGATTTTCGGATGCACTGTATGGGAAATATGAGAGAAAGAGACAAGGAAAAGTTATTGCCAAGGATTTTGGTATGAGCAACTGAGAGAATGGTGGTCCCACATAGTAACATGAGAACCACTATAGGAGTTACAAATTGTGGATGTGGCTCAAATGTTCTGTTTTGCACCATTATATTTATATTCCTATTAGACAATCAACTGGATACATATGTTAAGCAGTTAGTTACGTCTGGTGTGCAGACGTAAGATTAGAGCTGGTGATACATGCTTGGCAGATACAACAAAAGCTATTCATTATCTACATAACCTTCCCTCTTTCCATTAAGGTACTTACTAGGCTGAGGTTGGTGTGTATCCTTTCTCTGAATTTTTGTTTGTTTTAAATTTTACAATATAGCCATATCAGTGTATGGTATTACTTTGTATACGTTCAAATTAAATGACATGTTGTAGAAAGAGTTTTTGCAATTTTCTCTTGTAACTTAGTTTTTGAGATGTATTTGGTTGATCCAAGTATCTATGGCTCATTAACTTTTACTATTCTCTAGTAATTTACTGTATGACTAAATAAGATTTTAATTATCTATTCCTTCTCTGAAAGAGTTAGTTTCTGATTTTTTTCTTCATGTAATCAGTGCTGCAATAAATATTCTTGTACATGGGATTTTCATGTGACCAAGTGCATACGTTTCTCTTGGGAATAAAACCAGAAACTAATTGCTGGATAAATTATTCACATATTTAGCTTTACAAGATGTTTTCAAGCTTATTTTTAAAGGTGTGTACCAACTTATATATCCTATGGCAGGACTTTAGAGTTCCCACTCTCCATATCTGAAAAAAGAATGTGTGATTAAGCACAATATTTACATTATGTTTTGGTAAATACATTTTCTATAGTTAAAAAAACTTCATCGATTTCTAATTTAGATGTACATTTTGTCAAGAATTGATGTTGAATTTAATCAGTTGCATTTCTGCATCTATTGAAATGATCATTTTTTGTTCCTTTAATCTGTTAATAAGATAATTTACATTAGTAGATTTTCTAATATTTATCATGCTTGTATTTTGGGATATATTATACTTGGTATCTATCTATATCTATGTATCTATGTGTCTATTTATAGCTAAGCACCCATCTATGTATCTAATCTATCTACTTAAATATTTCCAGAGGGATATCAAGGTTGCAATGCATAGATTTTTCTTCTTTTCTATTATCCGGAACACAGTGATTAATCTAGGGATTATCTATTAGTTTGGTGGACTTTCCTGAAAAATTGTATGGGCCTGTTACCTTTGTGTGTGTGTTGGGGGTGGGTGTAATAGATTTTCAATTTATTATTCAATTTTTTAAAATAATTACATATCTATTCAGGTTATCTATGGGTCTTTTTCTGTTTTGCAAGTAATGTTTATCTAATACATTGTCATTTTCATTTGTTTTCAAACATATTGGTATAAACTTGTTATTAGAATTTTTATATGGTTTATAAACTTTCTATGGTATATTCTAAAGTTCTTTTCATTTTTAATGAAATGCTTATTTTTGCTTTTCTTTTATTCTTAGTAATTCTTGCGGAAGTTTGTCTGCATTGATTTTCTTTTCTTTTTTATTTTTGAGACAGAATCTTGGTCTGTCGCCCAGGCTGGAGTACAGTGGCATGATCTCGGCTCTCTGCAACCTCTGCCTCCTGGGTTCAAGCGATTCTTGTGCCTCAGACTCCCGAGTAGCTGGGGTTACAGGTGTGCACCACCATACCTGGCTTGTTTTTGTATTTTTATTAGAGATGACGTTTCACCATGTTGGCCAGGCTGGTCTCAAACTTCTGAACTCAAGTGATCCGCCCACCTTGGCCTCCCAAAGTGCTGGTACACAAAGTACAGGTGTGAGTCACTGCATCTGGACTAATAATTTTTTAATGAAGCAACTTTTAGTTTTGTTGATCCTTTCGATGCTTTCTTTGCTTTTCTATTTCATTAATTTCAGCATTTGTTATTATTTATTTCTCTTATTATTTGTGTTTATTTTTCTTGTAAAAAATATCAAGTTGAATGGTTAGCTCACCAATATTATATTTTTGTTATATTGGATATATTTACATATACATATTCAAATATAGATTTTTGAAGAATACACATCATGTGTAAGAATATCTGAAATGCATAAGTAAATTGTGAATCCTCATAATAAACATCTGTGGATACACTATCCAAACAAATAAATAGAACATAACCATTAATGTTCAATAAAAGTCCTTTTTTTTTTTTTTTTTTTTTGAGACAGAGTCTCGTTCTGTCACCTAGGCTGGAGTGTAGTGATGTGATCTTGGCTCAGTGCAGCCTCTGCTTCCTGAGTTCAAATGATTCTTGTACCTCAGCCTCCCGAGTAGCTGGGGTTACAGGTGCACACCACCATGCCTAGCCTTTTTTTTTTTTTTTTTGTATTTTTAGTAGAGATGGGGTTTTGCCATGTTGGCAGGCTGGTCTTGAAATCCTGACCTCAAGTGATCTAACCGCCTCGGCCTTCCAAAGTGCTGTGATTACAGGTGTGAGCCACTGCTCTCGGCCTAAAGTTTTATTCTTTTAAAAAATGTACCTGGAATTTCGGTTTCACTAAGATATAGTGAAGCCAATAGATCAGGAGACAATTGCATTTAAACGAGAGTTAATTATTCACAGTTCCCAAGAGGAGGGGAAAATGCCATACCATGCAGAGCCACAATACAGAGAATACTCAGGTCAGTTGCAGGCAGGGTGAGCAAAACTTCTGGAGAGCCTTCATTGTGGTTTTCTCAAGAATGAATAGGTGAGGCAGTATAAGTGGATTGACCAAATTTAGGATTGGTTAGTTTCAACAATTTCAGTGTACTCCAGGATGTAGGGGCTGCCCCTAGTTATCTCATGTCTGGCCCTACAGCGATTAGGGCAGAAGGTTAGTGTCTCACGAATGTAAAAATTAGATAAAGCAGGTAGGTGGACGGCAAGGCTCTGGATTGGTTAGTTTGTATATGAAAAGCATACTCACTGGAGAGTTGCTTGATATCTCTAAGACTCTGCTAATTCTTGGAGGGGCAGTCCCTCTCTAGTTATCAAGGCCCTAATATGTCAAACATCGGATACAAAAACTAGAAAACATGGTTAGTACACATCCCTAGCAAATTCACTTGGTTTTTGTTTTTATTGTTATCTTTTTTACTACACACAGTAAGATACAATTTGTGTATGGCTGAAAACAAAACTAATCAATATATCATTTAAGTGCGTACACATATGCTACAAAACTAAAAAAGCTCATTAATTTTGTACAATTTTTTCTAATATGTAAATTTAAAGCTGTGTATTTCTTTGTAATTTCTGTCATAGATACATCCCCATTTTTCTACATTTTGTTTTTAATGAAATTCAGTGATAAATATTTTTATATTTTTATCATTTCTTCCTTGACACATGAATAATTTGGAATTTTTCCTTTATTTTGCTGAAGGTAATAGGTTGGTTTGGTTATATTTTTATTATTAATAATTTAAGGAACTTAATCTTTATTCCATAGATTCTTTGGTATTTATAAAAATTTTTTGGTGGCCTAATGTATGTTCAGGAATACATGATTTTATTACTGCATCCCACAGTCTTGTAAGTTCAATTATATTTTTTGCCAAAGTATATTTGTTAATAGCTCTTTCTGCAAGGATTTATATGTGATAAACTAAGTATTTGTTTTCAAATGACTTTGTTTCATTCTCACTTTTGAATGATAGCTTAGGTGGGTGTGACATTGTAGATTGACAGTTATTTACCCTCAGAATTCTGAAGATATAATTCTACTATCTTCTGGCCTCTATTATTGCTTCCAAAAGGTCTTCCATCATTCTAATAACTTCACAGATAATCTGTTCCTCTGCCCCTTTATATGGTTTGATTTTCCTTTTATTTCATTTACTGTTTTGAAATTTCACTAAATTTATTTAATAATAATAATAATTACTATTATTATTAATGTTATTGTTGCTCATTATTTAAATCCTGCTTGACATATGGCATACTTCAATTTAATAATTCTTTTTTAAAAATTATTTCTGGAAATTTCTAGCCATTGCCATTTCGAATATCAACTGGCACTCAAACCACATGATGCAGTTCTTCCCACCCTTCCCTCCCCTTTCCAAAGGCAAAGGAGCCTCACCCTGTAGCCATGGCCATCCTGGGCTACCAGTAGTACTGTCAGACTACTGCAGATATTTCCTTAAAGCCCAAGGTCTCTTTAAGTCAGCTTGTGGCAAATGCTGCCTGGCCTGGGACTCACCCTTCAGGGCAGTGGGCTCCCTTGTGGCCCAGGGCAGGTCCAGAAATGCTTTCCAAAGGTCAAGTCCTAGAATCAAGGACCCCAAGAGCCCACTTGGTACTCTACCCATTGTGGCCATTCTGTACCTAAGGTTCAAGACAAAGTCCTTTTTACTTTTCCCTCTGAAATGTTATACCGTATGTATACTGGTACAAATTGGTTTTGCTTAATATTATACTTTAGATTTTTATCTACATTGATATCTGTAGTTCTAATATATTTATTTTTACTGCTACCTAGCATTATGTTGTATGAATACGTCACTAATTATAGTTGACTGAAGTGTCCCTGGTTCTTTGTTGCTTTTAATATATCATGATATGTTTCAGTTTACCTGTGTCAAGTTAATTTATGAATAATATAATCTAATTTTAAAGAAATTTAACTTCACAAAATAGAAAAGTATCAACATTTCTGGAAAAAATATTAGATTTAAGACAATACTAATAATGCAAGCTTAAATTAATAAGCAGAACATGGTAGAGGTTACAATTCTACTCTTAGTACAAACTTATACAAAACAATCTAGCAAACTGTATGAAATATGTATATAAACAATATTAAGCTATAGAGACACTAATAACTAAATCAAATCAGAAAATAAGTCATCTAAAAACTTTTAGTACAATCACAAAGAATATCTGAAATATGGATTTGCATCTGTTGTTATAAACAACTTGACTTCAGCATATAATGTGCCTTGACATAGCAGCTTGTAATGACCAAGACAGCTAAAAACTAAGCATCTAGGCCTGGCACAGCGGATCATGCCTGTAATCCCAGCACTTTGGGAGGTCAAGGCAGGAGGATTGCTTGAGGCCAGGAGTTCAAGACCAGCCTGGGCAATATAGCAATAACCTGACTCTACAAAAAATAAAAAATATTAGCAGGGCATGGTGGCCCACACCTGTAGTCCCAGCTACTTGGGAGGTTAAGGTGGCAGGATCCCTTGAGTCCAGGAGTTCGAGGCTGCAGTGAGTCATGATTGTGTCACTGCATGCCAGCCTGAACAACAGGGTGAGACCCTTTCTTTAATCCCCCCACCCCCACCAAAATCCCCAAAAAACAAAAGACCCCAAAGCATCTAGAACATTTAAAATGGTAATAATGATTGTATTAATAACATCAACATTGATATCATTACATAATTTCATTTTTTCTCGTTCTTGTTAATTTCTATTTTATGAATTTTAATGTACATAATGTTTAGTAGAGTAGAACATATGAATAATTTGGAAATAAATAATATATACATGTTTATTGACGGTATATGTTCAAAATATTTTTCAGATGGTGTGATGGCTAATTTAATGTGTCAACCTGACTAAGTATTACTTAGATAGCTGATAAAACATTATTTCTCAATGTGTAGATGGGCATTATCCAATCTGTTAAGGGCCCAGATAAAACAAAAAGATGGAGGGAGGGAGAATTTGCTCTCTCTCTCTGGAACTGGGGCATCTATATTCTCCTGCCATCAGACATCAGAACTTCAGGTTCTCAGACCTTCAGACTCAGGGATTTACACCAGTGCCCCCAACTCCACCTTGCCCCCATTCTCAGGTCTTTGGCCTTGGACTGAGAGTTACACCATTGGTTCCCTTCAGACTGAATTACAATACTAGCTCTCCAGTTTCTCCAGCTTTCAGATGGCAGATTGTGGGACTCCTTGGCTTCCATAATTATGTAAGCCAATTCCCATTATAAATCCTGTCATATATATACATATATATGTATATATATGGATGGATTATATATATATAAATCCATTATAAATTCTGTCATATATAGAGAGACACATATATTTGTGTGTATATATGATATGTATATATATATCATATATATATCTCATATATATGAGATATATATATCTCATATATATATCTCATATATATGAGATATATATATCTCATATATATATCTCATATATATGAGATATATATATCTCATATATATAATGGATTCCCATTATAAATCCTGTCAGATATATATATATATATATATATATACACACACACATATATATATCTGACAGGATATATATACACATATATGTATCTGACAGGATTTATATATATCCTACTGGTTCTATTTCTCTGAAGAACCTTGACTAATAGAAGCCATAATAAAAAATTACATAGAGCCTTTTTTCTGGAGGATAAATATGAAACTCATTAGTATTAACAAAGTCTTCATTTTTAGTCCTTGACCTTATATGTTTATCTTGACTCATATCCTAACCCCTGTTCTCTTCCCTCCACCCTTGTCCCTGGGCATCTTAGACTCACTTTAATAACTATCTCTAAGTATACTGTATCTTTTCACAGATTTCTCTTTAATGCAACTTTTCATATTTTAGATGAACACTTACTTTTCCTTTAAGCCTTAGCTCAAATTCTACCTTCTCTTTGAAAGCTTTGACTTACTTAGAGTTAAGTTAGTATTAGTAGTATTGTTGTCATGTTGCAAGCACTTAATGGAAGACATTTAATGTATTCCTTTTTTGTTTCTACTACTGGTTTGGAATTTATATATTTGTAGTTTACTTCTTTTTACTAATTAACATTAAGCATGCATATTTCAGTCAACACGGTGAAATATTAACTAGTATTTCTTCTCTCTTGAACATTACAAGGTCCTTAGACTGCTTTAACTTAGATAAATTGTTTCACATATTTTGTATCATTGTCAATATTTTAGTTCCACTTTGCTTTTATATCCCCTCGAATTAGTCATTATTATTTTTCTTCCCTTTTAGGCTGACATTGTTTCTTTAGATTTATCTACATTTGCTTATTTCTTTACTCACTGTTTATTGTTTTCATTTGTCTGAATATGTCTTTTTTAACCCTTCATTCTTAAATATTGATTTAGCTAAATATAAAATTCTAGGTTAGTATTTATTTGCTCTTAGCACTATAAGACAGGTCATTATATTCCTGTCTTCTGGATTCTATTCTTGCTGCTCAAAAGTCTGCTATTAGTCCAATTGACATTCCTCTGAAGTTAATATGCCTTTTCTTATTAGTTGCTTTTAATATATCTTTGTCTCTAATTTTCTTTTGCTTTACTATGACCCCCCCCAATCTAAATTCTGATTGAAACCTGGCATTCACTTCAATCTGAAGATAAAATGTTTTTAACAAATTCTGTGAAGTTCTCTTTGTTATAGTTTATATGCCACATTCAGGTGTTTTGTAGAGGGACAGATTTAAAGTTACATAATCTGCTTTGTTGCCAGAAATGAAACTGGTTTATATTACTTATAATATTGTACTGAAAATTTTGTTTAAACCTTTCTTTTCTGCTAGAGAAGGAGATGATTGGATATTATATTCCTTTTTGTTTTCCTGGCACCTGCCATAGTACCAGGGACATAGTGAGATTCAATTATTGTTACTTGACATAATGCTTATTGGATAAATTTAAAGCAAACTACAGATGGCCCCTGACTGATAAAAGTTTGACTTACAATTTTTTGACTTTACAGTGGTATAAAAGTGATACACGTACAGTAGAAAGTTGTATGATACTCTATTGCAATACTGGGCAGTGACAGCAAGTCAAACTCCCAGTTGACCCTGGGAACACAAGAGTAAACAACCAATACTCTACAGCATACTGTGTTGCCAGATTATTTTTTCCAACTGTAGGTTAATGTAGGTGTTTTGAGGATGTTTAACATAGGCCAGGCTAAGCTATGATACTATGATGTTCAGTAGGCTAGGTTTATTCTGTGCTGTTTCAACTTAGGACATTTTCAACTTACAATGGGTTTATCAGGATGTAATGCCATTGTAAGTTGAGGAGCATCTGTAGTGCCTTTTCTGAATTGTCTGAACTGTTTTTAAATCAAAACAGGTTTCCTTTGTTGTCTGCTACTTGGGTCATTTAACTAAATATACATTTTATTTTGGCTATAAAGCATTTACTTGAATTTCTTCCCCCCCCCATTTTTACTTAAGTATAGCAAAGTTGTTACAAGATTATAAGTAGAATTGATAATTTCATCTCTTTTTGACGATGTATTTTAAGCTCATAGAGCAATAGAAATTTGTTATAAAACTCAGTTGGCACATGGTATCTTCGTTCATTTTAGAGAGCAAAAAGAACACAAGTTTATCTTTAAAATAAACAAAAGAAGATAGATTATAGAAGCTCTTTTTATACACCTTGGAAGTTATTATTGTGCACTAGCCTCTTCTTTAAAGCTGTTGTGCTCCATGCATATTCACAGATATTTTTGGTAACTAGAAAAACATATATTAGTAGTTATTAGAAACAATTACTCTCCATGCCAACGTGTTCAGAAGTCTCTTATATCGAGACATTTGTTGAAAATGCCGAATGAGCTCTGTTTATGATTCCACTACTTACTACTCAGTGGGAATTATTCATTGAAATGAAAATAAGAGAACAAAATTCATGCATGGTAGCAGCTGATTTAGTACTGCATCGAGGTTTTAGCACATTTACAAAATCTATAAAAGTATTTTAAATACCTATATTTTCCAGTGCTCTAATAGCAAATTAAATGATACATATCTCTGTTTCATCATGCCAGTTAAGGATACATTATTTTCCAGGTGCTTTTCTCTATTTTTATTCAAAAATGATATTGCATTTGAACTTCCATATGAGTTAACAATTAAGAAAGTGATATTTGAATAGGTCTATTTTTATTACCCCAAAGTTAAATCAGATTCCTCTCTTTTCTTCAGAGGAGGAATGAGAGAATATGTGTGTGAGAACAGACATCATTTGTGAAATTAGAAAAATCTGACTGGGTCTACATACTTGACAACAGCACTAATATCGAAACTTTGTAACTGTAATTTTGGTCAAATTAATCATCTGCCGCCTGTTTTCCAAAAAAACAAGAATGTCAGTGTCATAGCTGTAGGAGTTATACAATGTCAATAGAATACTAGTTCAATCCAATACTAGCTCAATGCATTTACTAAATTTCACTTGCGTCCGTGTGAAGAGACCACCAAACAGGCTTTGTATGAGCAACAAGGCTGTTTATTTCACCTGGGTGCAGGCGGGCTGAGTCCAAAAAGAGTCAGCAAAGGGAGATAGGGGTGGGGCCGTTTTATAAGATTTGGGTAGGTAAAGGAAAAAGGGGGGTTGTTCTCTGGTGGGCAGGGGTGGGGCCGTTTTATAAGATTTGGGTAGGTAAAGGAAAAAGGGGGGTTGTTCTCTGGTGGGCAGGGGTGGGGGTCACAAGGTGCTCAGTAGGAGAGCTTTTGAACTAAGATGAGCCAGGAGAAGGAATTTCATAAGATAATGTCATCGGTTAAGGCAGGAACAGGCCATTTTCACTTCTTTTGTGGTGGAATGTCATCAGTTAAGGCAGGAACCGGCCATCTGGATGTGTACGTGCAGGTCACAGGGGATATAATGGCTTAGCTTGGGCTCAGAGGCCTGACATTCCTGTCTTCTTATATTAATAAGAAAAATAAAATGAAATAGCGGTAAAGTGTTGGGATGGCAAAAATTTTTTGGGGTGGTATGGAGAGATAATGGGTGATGTTTCTCAGGGCTGCTTTGAGTGGGATTAGGGGCAGCGTGGGAACTTAGAGTGGGAGAGATTAAGCTGAAGGAAGATTTTGTGGTAAGGGGTGATATTGTGGGGTTGTTAGAAGAAATATTTGTCTTGTAGAATTATTGGTGATGGCCTGGATATGGTTTTGTATGAATTGAAAAACCAAACGGAATAAGAGAAGGAGAAAAACAGGTATTAAAGGACTAAGAATTGGGAGGACCTAGAACATCTAATTAGAGAGTGTCCAAGGGGGTTCAGCATAATTACTTGCTTGGTTGGCAAGTTTTTAGGCTCTCTCCTTGAGTTTTTTATGTTGTCATACACCAGGCCAGATTGATTTAGGTAAAAACAACGCTCTTCATTTAAGAATATACAGAGTCCTCCTTTTTCAGCAGTAAGTCAAGGCCTTGGCGATTTTGGAGGACAACTGCAGCTAAAGAGTCAACTTGGGACTGATAAAGTTTGTGATAGGTCTGTGATGCTAGCAGAGAAGTCATTAGAGAGGCTACGGAAGGTTGTGACAGAGGTTGAAATGCCTGCTATTCCAGTACCGAGAGCACTAGTGGAGGCAGAAAGTCTTAAACCAACAAGCAAGAGAATTAGTGGAATAACTCTTTTTTGTTGTGTCGGTGTCATGAGGGGAACAGGGAGCTCTTCGGTCCTATTTGCAAATTGAATTTTGGAAGTAAGGAAAACTAGTGTGCATGTGCCTGTCCAATTAGCAGGTAGATACATGTAGGTGGAGCATCCACAGAGGAAGAAGAGACCTTGCGCGAGGCAAAACTGGAGATGCAAAGTAAAAAGATGAGAAGGAGTGCTGAAAGGGGTGTCTTGTACCTAGACTCCTAGGGATGCAGCTAGGGCGGCAGCCGTCAGAGGTTGTAATGGGGACTGATGAGGTAACTGCGTAGAGGGGAAGGTTTGATTTTCATGGTGTAGCCTTTCACTGTTATTTATGGGGCTGGATATAAGTAAACAAGAAGAGGGCTTTGGAGATGAAGAGTAAAGGAACATCGAGAAGGTGAAAGGTTACCTAGGGGAATTCCAGTGGGTCTTTGCCGAGACGTACATAAAGGAGTGGCCACAGGAATAGTAGTTTGTGTTGTGAGAGGTCTAAATATGGGAGGAGTAGAGTTGATATAAGGAGAAAGTTTTTTTAAGTAAGTGCGGAGGAGGGTGGCAGCTTGCTGCTATGAAATGTCTGGGGAAGTCTTGCTGGACCTGTCTAGAAAGTAAATGAGTTCTTCAGGAGGGTAAAGATGAGGGCTGTTAAAGGAAGTTCGGAGGTGTAGGAGACAGGAGATGTTTCCTAGTCTGCATGTAACACGGAGACAGCTGTGTAGGCGCTGGAAGAAAGGGAAATGCAAAGCCAGTGGTTGTTCGCTAAGGACGGATTAGAAACGGCTAGGAGAGAATGAGTAAGGTTGATATTGTGGTGGAGATAGCTGGGGAGAGGTAGAGGGTGGCATAAGAATGGGAATGAGAATAAGAGTGAGTATAAAAGTAAAGAATAGAACTTCATCAGGGTGAAAGTATTGGAGGGTTCCCTGCCAGCAAAGATCATCTATCCACTCTAAGAGGGAATTAAGAGTTACCAGTCCTGGGTGGGGGGCAAATCCTCCAGCTTGATGTGTAGGGAAGGGAGGGGGCCTGAATAATCCCTGAGGAGTAGTAGAATAGCAGATGGAACACTGAGAAGTTATTTCTTTGAGGATAGATTTCCACGATGGAAAGGAAATGAGAGGTTCTAAGAGGCGGGCTAGTGGCTTGTACTATAGCATAGCCTGCCTTTGTTGGTGTGTGGCGATTAGGCCTGGTGGAACTACCATCAATAAACCAAGTGTGTTCAGGGTGAGGAACAGGAAAGGAGGAAATATGGGGAAATGGGGTGAATGTCAAGTGAATCAGAGAGATACAGTCATGGGGGTCAGGTGTGGTATCCGGAATACTGTGGGAGGACGGATTGAAGTCTGGGTCAGGAACAATGGTAATTGTGGGAGACTCAACAAAGAGTGAGTATAGCTGAAGGAGCCGGGGAGCAGAAAGTATATGCATCAGGTGGGAGAAAGAAAATAGATTTTGGAAGTTATGAGAAATGTAGAGAGTGAGTTGAGCATAGTTTGTGATTTTGAGGGCCTCTAAAAGTATTAGAGCAGTGGCAGCCGCTGCATGCAGACATGAGGGCTAGGCTAAAACAGTAAGGTCAAGTTGTTTGGACAGAAAGGCTACAGGGTGTGGTCCTGGCTCTTGTGTAAGAATTCTGACTGCACTAACCATGCCTAGGAAGGAAAGGAGTTGTTGTTTGGTAGAAGGGATTGGGGTTTGGGAGATTAGCCAGACACGATCACCAGGGAGAGCACGTGTGTTTTTATGAGAATTATGCCGAGATAGGTAACAGATGAGGAAGAAATTTGGGCTTGATTGAAGTAATGGGGGCTGTCTGTGAAGCTTTGCGGCCGTACAGCCCAGGTAATTTGCTGAGCCTGATGGGTGTCAGGGTCAGTCCAAGTGAAAGCGAAGAGAGGCTGGGATGAAGGGTGCAAAGGAATAGTAAAGAAAGCATGTTTGAGATCCAGAACAGAATAATGGGTTGTAGAGGGGGTATTGAGGATAGGGGAGTATATGGATTTGGCACCATGGGGTGGAGAGGCAAAACAATTTGGTTGATAAGGCGCAGATCCTGAACTAACCTGTAAGGCTTGTCTGGTTTTAGGACAGGTAAAATGGGGGAATTATAAGGAGAGTTTATAGGCTTTAAAAGGCCATGCTGTAGCAGGCGAGTGATAACAGGCTTTAATCCTTTTAAAGCATGCTGTGGGATGGGGTATTGGCGTTGAGCGGGGTAAGGGTGATTAGGTTTCAATGAGATGGTAAGGGGCGCATAATCGGTCACCAAGGAGGGAGTAGAGGTATCTTATACTTGTGGGCTAAGGTGGGGAGATACAAGGGGAGGATGTGAATGAGGCTTTGAAATGGGGGAAAAGGCGGCAGTGAGGTGTGGCTGTAGCTCAGGAATAGTCAGGGAAGCAGATAATTTAGTTAAAATATCTCGGCCTAACAAGGGAACTGGGCAGGTGGGGATAACTAAAAGGAGTGCTTAAAAAAGAGTATTGTCTAAGTTGGCACCAGAGTTGGGGAGTTTTAAGAGGTTTAGAAGCCTGGCCGTCAATACTCACAACAGTTATGGAGACGAGGGAAACAGGCCCTTAAAAAGAAGGTAATGTGGAGTGGGTAGCCTCCGTATTGATTGAGAAGGGGACAGATTTACCCTCCACTGTGAGAGTTACCTGAAGATCGGCATCCGTGATAGTCTAGGGGGCTTCCGAGGCGATCGGGCAGCATCAGTCTTCAGTCGCTAAGCCAAGAAGATCTGGGAAGGAGTCAGACAGAGAGCCTTGGGCCGGAATTCCAGGGGCTCTGGGAGTGACTGCCAGGTGAGTTGAACAGTCCGATTTTCAGTGGGGTCCTGCACAGATGGGACACAGCTTAGGAGGAATCCTGGGCTGCGGTCATTCCTTGGCCCAGTGGCCAGATTTCTGGCACTTGTAGCAAGCTCCTGGGGGAGGAGGTTCTGGAGGAACCCCTGGCAGCTGCGGTTCAGGCGTTTGGAGTTCTTGTGTGCTGGAGATATGGCTGGGGTTTGTCTCACAGTAGAGGCAAGGAATTGCAACTCAGAAATACATTGCTACTTGGCTGCCTCTACTTTATTAGTTAAGGCAGGAACAGGCCATTTTCACTTCTTTTGTGGTGGAATGTCATCAGTTAAGGCAGGAACCGGCCATCTGGATGTGTACGTGCAGGTCACAGGGGATGTGATGGCTTAGCTTGGGCTCAGAGGCCTGATACTAAACTCTTTCTGCATTTCCAGCATATCTTTGGCAGCATGGGGGGACTTCAGGTGGTAATTTCTCTCAAAGAGATTAAAGTATCATTACAGGGAGAGAAAAATGTTAAAATATGCCATATGCGTATCAACCTAAGAGGAGATGTTAATGATATTAGCTATGAAAGTTCAGTGGACAACTAGATCAAGGAGAGCTGGAACAGTTGAGAAAGGCTGCTTGGAGGTGGTAATAATGTTAAGATGGAGTGAGGTATATGGAGTGAGCATTAATTCCTCTCTCTGTCCCATCCTTTACTCCCCTTTTCAGTGTTTTCACCTTTCTTCCTCCCTCTTTCTTTTACTCTTCATTCTCTATTCTCTCCTACTGCTTGTTATTCACTCCTGCAATAATTTAGACATTTATCTTAACTCACATAGGTAAAGGTGAAGATGCATAATCACAAGAATACAATTCAAAGCATTGTTTCTCGAGAACAAAAGCATTATTGTAAGTTTATTGTGAATGGTGTGTCTGTGGCTGACCTCCAAGTCTTGCAACATAAAGAAAAACAATTCTTTGCCATTGTCCCAAAGTAGGGCCAGTTTAGTATTCATTATGGAAACAGATTGCTCAAAATCGGCTTTCATCTGCTTTTGCAAATTACCAAAACGTCAACTGAGTAATTCTTACTTCTGCCTTTTTACTAAATTATATGTTCTCTTTATTCTAGCCAGGTAGGCCACAGACACTAAGGCATTGGACTTAATTCTATTCTTCCAGCTTCTGAGAATAACATTGATTTTGTGAAACACCCCAATGGGTAAAAATGATATTAAGTAACATTTTTGCTTGATATGGTCTTTAGCTACTTTTTCCACCCCTAATTTGATAGAATGTAGCTATTATATTAAACAGCTGGTTTTCCTAGTGCTAAAAATTAAAATGATAAAGCTTTGGGAAATTTTGTTATGTGAGGGAAGGAATAAAGTAGGTGGCAAACGTTCCAGGAATATTCATCCAGAATAAAATGTATACAGCCAGATTTATGGAAATTCAGAAGTCGGTAGATAAAGATTCCTGCTGTGATTAGAATTTCTTTTTTACATTGTGTCTGAATGACAATGACAGTGATATTCTTCTCCAAAGCACTTCACAATACATCCTTTATCTGTACCAAAGTTATAAAGAGTTTTATAAAGGCTTAAAAGTGTTTCTGAAGTGGAAAGTGGAAAAGTCCCTTCTTATATCCTAAAATCTGAAATAAAAACTCACAGGGGTTTTTGTCTAAGTTATACGAAACTGAATTTACATGAATAGAAAGTAAGCAATGTTTTTCCCAAACCTCACTGATTCTGATATAGTTAGAAATCTTGAGTTCGTGTATCAGATAAGTACCCAGAAAACACCCTAATGTTCTTTGAATCAAAAAATAAATAGGCTACTCAGCCTTTTTCCTAACTTTGACATTTCTAGGAAAGTATTTACTCCTGTGCAGGAAGATAAAGGCAGCAACGTGCAGCACCTGCTTTCCTTGCTCTATCTCTCAGCTTTTCTCAATGCCTTTAAAGACCCATCTGAAAATGTTTCTCAGAGTATGTCCTGAAAAATTTTAGAGGGTTTAGCTGAAATAATCATTCTGCACAACATGTGTGGGGCTTTATGGAACATTAGATGTTAAATGAATTTCATTCTTAACTGTGTGAACTTTTCTCTTGAGCCCTTTTATCTTTGGGTTCCAAGGCACTGCAGAAACTGCTTAGAGGAAAAATATACACCCATGCTACCACTAATCATATGTAACAATGTTGCTTGATCACGAATCTGCCTCTTGGAGCAATCAACTCATAATTATGTATGCATAGTTATTGTTCATCAGGAATTCTTATTGGGTGAATGAACAGTAAGATTCATACAGGGCTGTTTCTGGGGAATAATGTAATTCGACCATTCATTCAGTTGTTCATTCAGCACCTCCCATGTGCTAAGCACTGTGCTAGGCATTAGGGATACAGCAATAAACAAGACATTTACAGTGTCTGACCTCATAGAGCTTGTAATTTATTGGTAGATACAATAAACAAACACATTTCAATAATATGAGCAGAATGCTAGAGGAATGACAGGATGCTAGGGGAGCACACAGCCAGAGGGCTTAGCCCAATGCAGAGTACATTAATGTATTCTTGAGAAAGGGATGCTTAAGGTGACACCTAAAGGATAAAAAGAAGCTAGCTAGATGAAGAAGGGTCAGAGAGAGCATTTCAGGTAGTATGAAGAATGTGTGTAGAGATCTCTACTCCAGAGGGAATATGATATGTTTTAGGAATTAAAAGGTGTCAGATTTGGCTTTAGTGTAGATTGTGATGTAAAAAAATGGCAAGAGAATGTCTATTATCAAAAAGACAAACAATAACACATGTTAGCAAGGGTGGAGAAAAGGGAACTCTTGTATACTGTTAGTGGCAATGTAGCTTGGTACAGCCACTATAGAAAACAGTATAGAGGTTCTTTAGAAAATGAAATAATAAAACAATCATCAGACCCAGCAATCCCTTTTCTGGGTATATAACCAAAATAAATTAAATTAGTACCTTGTAGAGATATCTGCATTCTCATATTATATTGCAGCATTATTTGCTATAGTTAAGATATGGAAACTACATAAATGTACTTCAATGGATAAGTAGGTAAAGAAATTATGTTTTATATATATATATATATATGAATATTATTCAGCCTTAAAAAAGGAGATTCTGCCATTTGTAACACCATAGATGAACCTGGAGGATATTATGGTAAGGGAAATAAGCCAGACACAGAAAGACAAATACTGCATAATCTCACTTATATGTGGATTAAAAAAATTGTATACATTAAAACAGAGAGTAAAACAGTAGTTACCGGGAGCTAGGGGTGATGGGGAGATGTAGGACAAAAAATACAAAGTTGCAGTTATTTAGAATGAATAAGTCTAGAGATCTAATGTACAACATGAGAAATGCAGTTAATAATACTGTATTTTATACTGGAAATTTGCTTTGACAGTAGGTTTTAGGTGCTCTTACTACATAAAGAAAGGTAACTATGTGAGATAGTGGTCACATTAATTGACTTTTCTCCTTTTCACTGTGTATATATATATATCAAAATACCACATTGTACACCTTAAATATATACAATTAAAAAAGAATGGCAAGAGGAAACAATAATGAGATACCACTACACACCTATGAGAATCTCCAAATCCAGAACATTGACAACATCTAATGGTGGCAAAGATGTAGAAAAACAGGAGCTTTCATTCATTGCTGGTGGAAATGCAAAATGGTACAGCCACTTTGAAAGATAGTTTGTTAAATCCTTACCAAACGAAATATGCTCTCATCCCACCATTCATCATTCATCCTCCTTGGTATTTACTCAAAAGAGTTGAAAACTCATATCCACCCAAAAACATGCACACAGATTTTTATATGGCTTTATCCACAATTGCCCAAAGTTAGAAGCAACCGTAATATCCCTCAGTAGGTGAATACATAAATTTACTGTGGTACATCCAGACAATGGAATGTTATTCATTGCTAAAAGGAAATGAACTATCAAGCCATGAAAAGTCATGGAGGAAACATAAATGTATATTACTAAGTGAAAAAATATCCAATTTGAAAAGGCTATATACCTTTGCCTTTTCCAGAATGTCAAATAGTTGATATAATTCCATTATGCCATTATATGACATTATGGAAAAGGCAAAGCTATGGAGACAGTTAAAAAAAAAATCATTTGTTGCCAGGGTAAGAGGGGTTGGAGGAGATGAATAGGCAGGGCATGGAGGACTTTTAGGGCAGTGAAAAATACTCTGTGGTACTATAATAGAAATACATGCCATAATAAATTTCTCCAAACTCATAGAAAGTACATCAAAAGTGAACCTTAATGTAAACTACTGATTTGGGTGATAGTGTGTCAATGTAGATTCATCAATTGTAACAAATGCACTACTCTGTTGGGGGATGTTAATGGGGGATGATATGCATATGCTGGGGCAAAGGGCCTGCTGGATATCTCTGTTTTCTTCTCAATTTTGCTGTTAGTCTAAAATTGCTCTAAAAATAAAGTCTTTAAAAAAGAGTGGCAAGAGGTAACTAGGGGCTAGATTATGCAGGAAATTGCCAACCGTGTTGGGAAGTTTTGTCTTCTTCCTACTGCTAGTTGATTTTGTTGTTGTCATCTTTCAGGCAAGAGCATGTATGCTTAATAACTTTTTTAAACTTTTATTTTAGGTTTCGGTGTACATGTGAAGGTTTGTTGCATAGGTAAACTCATGTTATGGGGATTTGTTGTACAGATTATTTCATCACCCAGGAATTAAGCCCAGTATCCAATAGTTATCTTTTCTGCTCCTCTCCCTCCTCCCACTCTCCCCTCTCAAACAGGCCACAGTGTCTGTTGTTTCCTGCTTTGTGTTCATGAGTTCTCATTATTTAGCTCCCAGTTATGAATAAGAACATGTGGTTGTGGTTTTCTGTTCCTGCATTAGCTTGTTAAGGATATTAGCTTCCAGCTCCATCCATGTTCCTGCAAAAGCCATGATATTGTTCTTTTTTATGGCTGCATAGTATTCCATGGTGTATATGTACCACATTTTCTTTATCTAATCTGTCATTGATGGGCATTTAAGTTGATTGCATGTCTTTGCTATTTAGTATAGTGTTGCAATGAATATTCACGTACATGTGTCTTTAAGGCAGAACGATTTATATTCCTCTGGATATACCCAGTAATAAAATTGCTGAGTCAAATGATAGTTCTGCTTTTAGCTCTTTGAGGAATCACCATACTGCTTTCCACAATGATTGAACTAATTTACACCCTCACCAACAGTGTATAAGTGTTTCCTTTTCTCTGCAACCTCACCAGCATCTGTTATTTTTTGACTTTTTTAATAGCCATTCTAACTGGTGTGAGATGGTATCTCGTGGTTTTGAGTTGCATTTCTCTAATGATCAGTGATATTGAGCTTTTTTTTCATATGCTTATTGGTGGCATGTATGTTTTCTTTTGAAAAGTGTCCGTTGATGTCCTTTGCCCACTTATTAATAGGGTTGTTTATTTCTTGTAAATTTAAGTTCTTTATAGATGTTGGATATTAGACCTTTAAAAAGATGCACAGTTTGCCAATATTTTCTCCCATTCTGTAGATGGTTTGTTTACACTATTGATAGTTACTTTTACTTTGCAGAATCTCTTCAGTTTCATTAGATCCCACTTGTCAATTTTTGCTTTTGTCGTGATTGCTTGTGGTGTCTTTGTCATGAAATTTTTGCCTATTCCTGTGTCCAGGATGGTATTGCCTAGGTTGTCTTTAAGGGTTTTTATGGTTTTGGGTTTTACATTTTAGTCTTTAATACATATTGGGATGATTTTTGTGTATGTTGTTAGGCAGGGATTCAGCTTCAATCTTCTGTATATGGCTAGCCAGTTGTCCCAGCACTGCTTATTGAATAGGGAGTCTTTTCTCCATTACTTGTTTTTGTCAGCTTTGTCAAAGATCAGATGGTCGTATGTGTGCAGCCTTATATCTGAGGTCTCTATTCTGATCCATTGGTCTATGCACCTGTTTTTGTACCAGTACTTTTGCTTACTGTAGCCCTTTAGTATAGTTTGAAGTTGGGTAATGTGATGCTTCCAGCTTTTTTCTTTTTGCTTAGGATTGCCTTGGCTATTCAGTCTGGTTTTTGGTTTTAGATGAATTTTAAAATAGTTTTTTTTCTAGTTCTTTGGAGAATGTTATTGGTATTTTGATAACAATAGCATTAAATCTGTAAATTGCTTTGGGAAATATGGCCATTTTAATGATATTTATTCTTCCTGTCCATGAGCATGGGATGTTTTTCCATTTGTTTGTGTCTTCTTTGATTTCTTTGATAAATATTTTGTAGTTCTCATTGTAGAGACCTTTCACCCTCTTGGCTAGCTGTATTCCTAGGTATTTTATTCTGTTCATGGCAATTGTGAACAGGCTTGTCTTTCTGATTTGGTTCTCAGCTTGGCTGTTGTTAGTGTATAGGAATGCTGGTGATTTTTGTACATTGATTTTGTATCCTGAAACTTTGCAAAAGTCGTTTTTCAGCTGAAGGATCATTTGGGCTAGGACTATGGGGTTTTCTAGCTATTGAATCATGTCATATCCAAACAGATAGTTTGACTTCCTCTCTTCCTATTTGAATGCGTTTATTTCTTTCTTTTACCTGATTGCTCTGGCTAGGACTTCCAATAGGAAGTTGAATAGGAATGGTGAGATAAGGCATTCTTGTCTTTTGCTGGTTTTCAAGGGAAATGCTTTCAACTTTTTCCCATTCAGTATAATGTTGGCTGTGGGATTGTCATAAATGGCTCTTATTATTTTGAGGTATGTTCCTTCAACCTCATACTTCAACCACCAGATACTTCTTGAAGGTTTTATTCATTCCTTTTTATTTATTTTCTTTATTTTTGCCTCACTTTCTTATTTCAGAGAGCTAATCTTCAAGTTCTGAGATTCTTTCCCCTGTTTGGTTTATTCTGCTGTTACTACTTGTGGTTGCATTGTGAAATTTTTGTATTATGTTATTCAGCTCTGTCAGATCTGTTAGGTTCTTTTCTATACTGGCTATTTTATCCTTCAGCCACTCGTATCACTTTATTGTGATTCTTAATTTCCATGGATTGGGCTTTGCCTTTCTCCTGAATCCCAATGAGCTTCTTTCCTATTCGTATCCTTAATTCTATTTCTGTCATTTCAGCCAGTTTAGCCTGGAATATTTCAGCCAGCTCAGCCTAAGAATATAAATCTTAATCTCTAATGACCTCTCAGCTGAAACCCTACAAGCCAGAAGAGATTGAAAGCCTATATTCAACATTTTAAAGAAAAAAATCTTCAACCAAGAATTTCCTATCCTGCCAAACTAAGGTTCCTAAACTAAGGAGAAATAAGATCCTTTTCAGATAAGCAAATGTTGAGAGTTCACTACCACCAGACCTGCCTTACAAAAGTTCTTAAGTATGGGATTACATAAAGAGGCCAAATCTACGAATCATTGTAATCCCTGAAAGGGATGGGGAGAAAGCAAACAACTTGGAAAACACATTTTCTATAAAAACTTCCTCAACCTGGCTAGAGAGGCCAACAATCAAATTCAGGAAATACAGAGAACTGCAAGATTTTACAAGGAAGATTATCCTCAAGATAAAAAAATCATCAGATCTTCCAAGGTTGAAATGAAGAATGATAAAGGCAGCTAGAGAGAAAAGGCAGGCCACCTACAAGAAGGAGGAGAAGTGATGTGGTCATTTGGGGGACATACAACGCTCTGGCCATTTGAATTACTCAAGCTCATGCATTGGCTCTTTTCCATCTCTGCCTGTGGGTGTTCGTTTTACTGCAATGTAGACTGAGGACAGTCAATAAACTTCTATTCTCAATGATTTCACCAGGCCAAGGTTTTGTGCAGGGTCTTTATTTGAAGCTGACTTCTTGTCTCTGGTTTCAGAGAGGGGTATGTTAGCGATGTATTTTTGGTGTTGAAGCTGTGAGGTGTGATCCAGTAGGTGGCACTTAGGTGTGTTGGTCAGTTGGTAGACTCTTGCTTGTTATATGGCTCCCCTATGTTTACTCATAGTTGAATCCATGTTCCCTTTCAATGCTCTGAAAGTGGCTCCTCTACCTCTGGAGTGCTGGGTGTAGATCATGGCTTGGCACTCCTGGACTGCCCACTGAAGCACTGTGGTGATCTCAGTGTTTATGTTTCTTTCCCAGCTTGGAGGCAGCCAAGGGTCTTTTGCTTGTCTCCTGGATGCTCCACCCCACAGAGATGCAGGTCAGCAATTACTAAGTGCAGTCAGCCCAGGATGGAGGGTCTGTGCTGTGGGCCCAAGCAAGGGATTCCCTGTCTGGTGATGAGCAGTAGAGGATTTGTGGGACCTGTAGGAAGTGAACTGGCCTCCTCTCCTTTGATTGACTGCAGCTTGTTGGAAGTATAGATAAGGCACTTAGGGTCTTTGCTGTTTCATTAGTCCAAGGGTATCAAGGGCAGTTCCACTGCAGAGGCAGTGGCAGAGAGGCTTTCAGTTGCCCCCGGAGGCTCTGTCCAGGGAGTTCCCAAGTTGCTACTGGCTCGATTGGTCTGCTGAGGGGTGGTTGGAGGCCCAGGCCTGGAGCACCTGCTCAGTAAGTAGATATAGGAATGGGCACCAATATAACAGTCTGGCCAATTTTACGTAGGGCTGCTGCAGTATACTGGAGGCTCACTCCAGTCCCTAGTTGCCTCAGATTTTCCAGTACCTGGAGATATCACCAGTGAAGGTTGTGAAACAGCAAAGATGGCAGCCTGCCCCTCCCTTCAGAAGCTCCATCCCAAGAAGGTATGGACCTGTTGCTGGCCCAAATGCACCTGTAGGAGGTGCCTGGAGACTCCAACTGGGCAGCCCCACCCAGTGAGGAAGAACAGGATCAAGGACTTGTTTAAAAAATCAATCTGGCCATGTTCTCGTAGAGCAGCTGTGGTGTGCTGGGGTTCACTTAGCCCTCCAATCGCTTCAGACACTCCAAAGCCTGAATTCTGGAATGGTTAAGTCACCCAAACAGCACAGATGGCAGCCCGCCCCTTCCTCTGGGAGCTCTGTCCCAGGGATCTATGAAATCACCTCTGTCAGCAGGAGAACTCTGGCAGGAGTAGCTTGAGACCCTGGTTGAGAAGTCTCACCCAGTGTAGAGAAATGGTATTAGGGACCCGCTTAACAAAGCAGTCAGGCCACATTTTTCAAAAGCAGTTGTGCAGTGCAGGGAGACCTCTCCTGTCCCCAGTTGCCTCAGACTCTCCAAAGCCTAAAGGGCAGAACATCTAAGTTGCCCAAACAGCAAAGATGGTGGCCCACCCCTCCCTCTGGAGCCTCTGTCCCAGGGAGGTTTGAAACTGCTTTGCCAAAGAACACAGTGATGGTGGCTGAAGACCCCAGTAAGGAAATCTTGGCAAGTGAGGATGAATGGGATTGGGGACCCACTTAAATCAGCAGCCTGGCCATGTTTGTGGGGCACCTGTGCTGTGCTGGATGATCCCTTCATACCCTGGTCGGCCTGGACTCTCCAAAGCCCAAAGGCTGGAATGGCTAAGTCACCCAAATAGCAAAGATGGCGGCCTGTCCCTCCCTCTGGGAGCTTCATCTCAGGGAGGTACAATGCTGTGACAGGTGGTTGGCTGGATTTCCAAGCCAGTGGGTTTTATTTTGCAATGTACTGTGGAAGCAGGGCCTGCAGACTGTCACTGCTCAGCCCCCTGCATTCAGCCTTTTTCCTAGGGATATGTACAGGGGTCTAATCTCCCACTTTGCCAGAGTTCAGCTACTTTAACCAGGAAGCCCAGAAAATCCAGGTATACAAGGCTCCCAGTCTCCACGTGTGCTTGAGTGGCTGCTCTGCCAAGACTCCACGTAGTTCTGTGCATCAGACTGAAGGCCCTGGTGGAGTGGGTTCTTGAGGGGATCTTCTGACCCAAGGGTTGCAAAGATCCATGGAAGGAAGGAGTGTGGGTTCTTGGGGTCACACATTCACCCATTGTTTCCCTGGGCAAAGGAGGTTCCCCTGGCTCCATGTTGCTCTTGAGTGGGCCATCATCCTGTTTTGCTTTTCTCCATTCTTCATGGGTTGAGTTGTTTCCTTGATTAGTCTCCCAATGTGCATACCAGGATATTTCAGTTTGATATGGCTTGACACTGTCCCCACCCAAATCTCACTGTGAATTGTAATCCCTGTAATCCCCACATGTCAAGAGCAGGACCAGGTGGAGGTAATTGGATCAGGGGGGTGGTTTCCCCCATGCTGTTCTCATGATAATGAGTGAGTCTCACAAGAGCTGATGGTTTTATAAGCATCTGGCATCTCCCTTGCTTGCACTCCCTCCATCCTGCCACCCTGCGAAGAAGGTGTCTGCTTCTCCTTGGCCTTCCACCATGATTGTAAGTTTTCTGAGGCCTCCCCAACAATGTGGACCTGTGAGTCAATTAACCCTCTTTCCTTTATAAATTACACAGTCTCAGGTATTTCTTCATAGTAGTGTGCGAACGGACTAATACACAGTTGAAGGTGTTGTATTTACTTGCCCCTTCCATTCTTCTCCACGAGAGAAACACACACTAGCTGTTTCTTAGTTGGCTATCTTGGCCACCTCCCCTTAATAACTTTTTGGCTGCTATTTGGGAGGGCTGTACAGGGGCTGTCACACAGTAGTCTGCCATAATGATTATCTTGTGTAATATTGGTTCCTTTTAAAAGAGAATTTCATAGCCAGGTTATTAGTTGCTACATATAATGTAAATTTCAAACCATGGAGATCTTTAGTAAAGTTTACTCATCTGTCTTCTAATTTTAAAATGAATATTCATGTTTGTATTAACATACTTTGCAAGAGTGGTTATTATATGCACACATACATAAAATCTTTTACTTCTGATATTTGCCTATAATTTGGCCATCTAATTATATGTAATGATAAAAATGCAAGTATTTTGTACAAGACAATCAATCACCAGCAGGGGAGACTACAATTATATCCTTTAGCCAAACATTGTCTTTGTAAATTGAAGACCAGCAACTGGTACATCAGTAGTCTTAAAAGTAAAGGAGTAAGCAAACTGCAAAAATCAGTTGTATTTCTATATGCTAGCGGCAGAGAATTTGAAAAGAAAATTAAGGAAACAATTCCCCTTGCAACAGCATTAAAAAGAATAAAATATTTGAAATTAAATTTAACCCAAGAGGAGCAAGATATGTACACTAAAAACTACAAAACATTGCTGAAGGAAATTAAAGAAGGACAAAACAAATGGGAAGGCACTCCATGCTCATGCATTGAAGGACTTAATATTGTTAATATGACAATACTACCCAAAGGTATTTACAGATTCAACTCAATCTCTAGGAAAACCAACAGCACATTTTTCAGAAATTGAACAAAAAATTTTAAAAGTCTTATAGAATTGTAAGCAATGCTGTATAGCCAAAACAGTCTTAAAAATAGTAAAGTTGGAAGACTCAGGCTTTCTGATTTCAAAACTACTACAAAGATACTGTAATTAAAAGTGTTGGACTGGCATATGGATAGCCTTATAGATGAATGGAAGAAAATTAATAGTATAAAAACAAGCCCATATATTATGGTCAATTGATTTTTGACAAGGGTAGGAGAAGAATACTGGCTTCAACGAATGATACTGTGACAACTGTATATCCATATTAACAAGAATAAACCTCAGCACAATATATTAAAAATAAGTCAAAATAAAACAAAAATATAAATGTAAGAGCTAAAACTATAAAACTCATGAAAGAAAACATACCGGTAAATTTTCCTGACATTGGATTTAGCAGTGGATTCTTAGACAAGACATTAGAAACACAAGCAAAAAGAGGAAAAACTAGATCAATTGGGTTTCATCAAAATTATAAATGTTTGTGCCTATCAAGAACATGAAAATAAAACTTCTAGAATAGGAGAAAATATTTGTAAATCATATATATGATACAGTTTGAACATCCAGAATATATAAAACCAACCCTTAAAACTCAACAATAAAAAGACAAAAAAACACTGTTAGAAAACGGGCAAAGAACTTGAATAGGCATTTGTTTGAAGAACATATACAAATGACCCACAGGCACGTGAAAAGTATATTAGTCATTATGAAAATGCAAATCAAAGCCACAATTACTTTATGCCCACTATGATGGCAATAATAATAATAATATGGAAAGAAACAAGCATTGGCAAGGATGTGGAAAAATGGAACTTTTGTACATTGCTTGTGAGAATGTGAAATGGTGCAGTCACTGTGGAAAACAATTTGACAGTTCCTCAAAAAGTTAAACAGAATTTCCATGTGACCCAGCCATGGCACTCCTAGTTATATACACTAAAAACTGAAAACAGGTAATTCAAACAGATATTTATACATTAATGTCCCTAGTCAGTTTTCACAATAGCCAAAAGGTGGAAATAGCACAAATGTCCATTACTTTATGAATGGGTAAATAAAATGTGGTATATCCATGCAATGGAATATTACTCAGCTATAAAAAGGATTGAGGTACTACTTCATGTGAAAACATGAATGAACCTTGGAAAAATGCTGAGTGAAAGAAGTCAGACACAAAATTTCACATATTGGTTTACTCTATTTCCATGAAATATGCAAAATAGGTAAACCCATAGAGAAAAAAACAAATTATTCATTGCCAAGGGTTGGGGGAGGGAGAAATGGGGAGTATCTGCTTGACAGGTCTCTTGCAGATCATGAAAAAGTGATGGAACTAGATGGAGGTAATGGTTGCATAACATTGTGAATGTACCAAATGCCACTGAATTCTACACCTTAAAATGGTGGATTTTTTGTTATGTATATTCCACCTTGATAAAAAAGTTTTTAAAATTTAAAAATTAAAAAAATAAAAACAAATGAAAGGCATAATGCCCTAGACTTTGCTAAGCCTAATGGAAACCCTGGTTTACCTTGGACTACAGCAATGTAAGGAATCTAAATTAATTTCCATCCACTCCCACATCCCAGTTATTTATTATTGGCATTTTGACTTATTTAAGAATTGTTCTTTATACTTTCAAAAAGTTTTATTCAGTGCTATTTAATTTTACAATAAATAATTAAATATCATTTATAGGAGATGTTTTTGTGTTAATATGCTTCTGGCCATTGTGTTTTGAAGAGTATGAAGGAAACCAGATATGGCATGAACTTAGTGAGTCCTTTCCTTTCAAACTCTAGGGGCCACATTGTTAGTTTGGTCATATGCATACATTTTTGTTGTTGTTGTTTAATATACTCATTAGTAGGTAGTTACCAAGACTGATTCTGGGCAAATGATGAAAAGGAACACTATTTTCAATGCCTGATGTTGGATACAGAGTGCGAGTAAAGGGGTTTCCACATCCCAGTCAACTAGAATTCTAAAATTCTTTTTCACCTTCTCACATACCCTAAATGACTTTTCTCAGACTTTCATTGGCACTAAAATACACATTTTAAAAAATCCCAGCACTTTGGGAGGCTGAGGCAGGCGGATCACGAGGTCAGGAGATTGAGACCATCCTGGCTGACAAGGTGAAATCCTGTCTCTACAAAAAATACAAAAATTAGCCGGGCATGGTGGCGGATGCCTTTAGTCCCAGCTACTGGGAAGGCTGAAGCAGGAGAATGGCATGAACCCAGGAGGCGAAGCTTGCAGTGAGCTGAGATCACGCCACTGCACTCCAGCCTGGGCAACAGAGCGAGACTCCGCCTCAAAAAAAAATGACTCTTAGACATGATGCCTTTCCTATAAATAATAATTTTTAATTCCTAAAAAAATCTGTTGAGCACCTACATGTGTCAGAAATTGCTCTAAATTTCAGGGAAACAAAGGGAAATAGTTCATGAAACTTTGACCTTAAGGTGCTTGTATTCTAGAAGGGGAAAACATTCAAAGAAAAAAATAGTGCAAAAGGGTTTTATGTTCTATAATAAGTGTAAGAGCAGAAAAATTGGGATAAAAATGAGTCAAGTTCTACCTGGACAATAGAGTTGAAAGGTAATAAAGCTATAAATGTGGTCAGGAAAGGCTTCAAAGAGGAGATGACCTTGTACATTACTCCTGAGATAAGTGAAGCCAAGTATAAGGTATAAAGGGGCATTCCAGAAAAAAAAAGTACAGAAATAAAATGCAAAGAGGTATAAAATAACATGATATATTTGCAAAACTAAAAGCATGCCACAAGTTTAAAAATGTCAGATGCTGAAGTGGCTATGGTAGGGTACTAAGCAAGAGAGAAGACCAGAAGAGCTGATAGGAGAAAGCCAAAAGCAGCAACAATTTGCTCTGATGTTAATGGCAGACTGTATGGGTTGAACTGTGCCTGCGCCCCCCCCAGCCCCAATTTATATGTTAAAATCCTAACCCCCATACCTCTGATTGTGACCTTATTTGGAAATAGGGTCATTGCAGACATAATTAATTAAGATAAAGTCATACAGAAGAAAGATGGGCACCTAATCCAATATGACTGGTGTTCTTATGTATTAAAATTAAAAAAAAAAAAAAACAAGTGAAAAAGACAGATACGCACAGAAGGAAGGCAGTGTGAAGAAACAGGGAGTACACCATCTACAAGCCAAAAGATTCCTAAAGCTACCAGAAGTAGAAGAAGGGCCTGAAACTGATGCTTTCTCACAGCCATCAGAAGAAACCAACCTTACTGACACCTTGATTTTAGACTGAGCCTCCAAAACTGTGAGACAATAAACTTCTCCTGTTTAAACCACAAAATTTGTGCACATTGTTATGCAGCCCTAGAAAATTAATACTGATGATATTTGGCCACAAGTCTTAGGAATATTTGATTCATGCCCTGCCAGTTGCATCCTCTCCAACCTTCACCTACCCACGTGAGGTTCCCAAAGAAGACATATGTATGAACAGCAGTATCACCTTAAGATTAAAGCTATGCCCAGGCCAGTTACCCCAGTTCTGAGATTTCTGTTAAATACGTGCTGAATTGTGTAACTTAGCAAAAGGTTAAGCAAAATAGCCACATATCTCCAATGCAGAATCCAAGCTGTTGCATCTTGCCATCTGTTGGCCAGGTGCATAGATAAAGAAGTTTTTTAAAAAGCTGAGAGAACCCAATAAGGGTAGATTTGAATTTCCTGGCCTCCAAAACTGTGAGAAAATTAATTTTTATTGTTTATAAATTACTCAGTCTCAGGTATTCTGTTATAGCAGCACAGAAAAATACAGAAAATGATACCAGGAGAGGGGCCTCAGGAGAAATCAATTCTGCTGGCACCTTCTTCCTGGCCTCCTAGCTTCCATAACAGTGAGAAGATAAATTTATATTGTTTAGGCCGCCCAACCTGTGGTATTTTGTTATGTCAGCCATAATAAACGAATATAAGCCCCTCTAATACATTTTTCATTGCTCTTATTATACTTTTAGATTCCAGAATTGCTGTCTTTTTAAAAAATAACATACATCTTAGTTGGCATTCTGTATTTAGTGAGCCATAATTTTCATACTTTGCCTTAGTTATTTATACACAATTTCCTTTAGCTCTTCGAGCATATAAACCTCATTTAAAGTTTTTGCCTAGTAAGTCCAACTTCTAGGCTTCCTCAGAAACAGTTTCTATTCGCTGTTTCCTCTCTTTCCCCATGTATAGAACATACTTCCTTGATGCTTCCATATCTCATAGTTACTTTTTACTGAAAACTGTGCATTTTAAATAAGGTAATGTGGCAATTCTGAATATATATGCCTACTGGCTTTGTTGTTATTGCAGTTTGTTGTTGTCATTATTATTGCTTTTCTGTTGTTTACAAACTTTTCTAGACTAATTTGGTAAAGTTAATATGTGTTCATCTTCGAGTGTGGCCACTGAAATTTCTCCTTGGTGCTTGGATAGTTTAATGGACTGTAATAACTGGACAGAGATTTCCTTAAGTCTTGGGAGCCAATAAGTCTACCAGTCTTTGCCTAGAGTCTATGTGTGTGTTGAAGGACACCTTCAACGCTCAGGCAGGCAGTTTACAGCTCCACCCTTTTCCTTTACTTCCTGATTGTTCATAGCTTCAAGGTCAGGTGTGAGAGTTTGGGGCCTTCTTAGGTTTTTCCTGAGCATACACACGGCCTTGCATACACACCTGGCCTTCTAGATTCCCAGGAATTTGTTTCAGCTTTTCAGTGTCTTTTCTTTTTTCTGGCCTAGCAAAAATCTTACCAGTGTCTTTATGAAGATTTCATTCTCCGTCTTTTCTTTTTAAGATTTTTTTATTAGCTCGTTGCCCGAACTGTTATCACCACCTTAGGCAGCTGCAAAACTAAACAATCACTAGGGAAATTTTGATTGCTTTTTATAAACACCCCCAGGGAAAAGCTATTCCCACAGAGTGACCTCTGGGGAAAATTAAATGAAGAAAAGCCTTGTGAGTGGGATTTTCATTTTCCAGGGAGCAGCCAGATAGGTCCATGTCATATGACTGGAAATTGAGCTTTGGTGGAAGTCCTATTACAATCCCTCCAGGGGCTTCTAGACTGCCGATTTTCACCATTATTTTAGGCTATTGGTTTTCAAGACTACCACAGGGCCGAGGAGAAGGGGATAGAATTTGGGCAAGTTAAAACAGCACAAGGATTACTTTACTTACTGAGTTTCAGCTGTTTCTCTTGAATAAACACTTCCAGAATTTTTGTAAGTTGTTAATTTCCAAAATTTTGAAAATGTTGATTTTGACAATTTTTGCCTGTGATCTTGTTGTTTTTATAAGGAGAGGTTTTCAGGGGTTCTTACTCTGCCATGTCTTCTGACGTCACTCCTATCTATTCATTTTTAATTTAATATGTTTGTGGTCATAGAAATTACTTTTTATGCTTTCAATCTTTCTAAAATTGTGGAGAATTAATTTATAGCTTATCATATGATCTATTTTGGTGAACATACTATAGATATTTAAAAAATTGAGCATTTTGCACTTGGATCTAATGCTCTATTGATGCCAATTAGATCATGTTTGTTAATATTGTTTTGTTTATTTTTATTTTATTTTATGTTGCAGGGTACATGTACAGGATGTGCAGGTTTGTTACCTAGGTAAATGTGTACCGTGGTGGTTTGCTGTACCTATCAACCCATCACCTAGGTATTAACCCTCACATGCATTAGTTATATATCCTGATGCTCTCCCCCCCTCTGCCCCCACGACAGGCTCCAGTCTGTGTTGGTCCCCTCCCTGTGTCCATGTGTTCTCATTGTTCAGCTCCTACTTAAAAGTGAGAACTTGCTGTGTTTGGTTTTCTGTTCCCGTGTTAGTTTGCTAAAGATAATGGCTTCCAGCTCCATCCATGTCTCTGCAAAGGATAGGATCTTGTTTCTTTTTATGCTGCATAGTATTCCATGGTGTATATGTATCACATTTTCTTTATCCAGTCTATCATTGTTGGACATTTGGGTTAATTCCATGTCTTTGCTATTGTGAACAGTGTTGCAATGAACATATGCGTGCACGTATCTTTATAATAGAATGATTTATATTCTTTTGGGTATATACCCAGTAATGTAGTTGCTGGGTCAAATGGTATCTCTGTCTCTAGGTCTTTGAGGAATCGCCACACTGTCTTCTACAATGGTTGAACTAATTTACATTTCCATCAGCCGTGTAAAAGTGTTTCTATTTCTCCACAGCCTTGCCAGCATCTGTTGTTTCTTGACTTTTTAATCACCATTCTGTCTGGCCTGAGATGGCATCTCATTGTAGTTTTGATTTTCATTTCTCTAATGATGAGTGATGTTGAGCTTTTTTTCATATGTTTGCTGGCCACATAAATGTCTTCTTTTGCAAAGTGTCTGTTCATGTTTTTTGCCTACTTTTTAATGGGGTCATTTTAATTTTTTCCTGTAAATTTGTTTAAGTTCCTTGTAATTTCTGGATAGTAGACCTTCATTAGATGAGTAGATTGCAAAATTTTTCTCCCATTTTGTAGATTGTCTGTTAACTCTGATGATAGTTTATTTTGCTGTGCAGAAGCTCTTTAATTTAATTAGATCCCATTTCTCAATTTTTGCTTTTGTTGCAATTGCTTTTGATGTTTTTGTCATGAAATCTTGCCCGTGCCTATGTCCTGAATGGTATTGCCTAGATTTTCTTCTAGAGTGTTTACAGTTTGGGGTTTTATATTTAAGTCTTTAATCCATCTTGAGTTAATTTTTGTATAAGGTGTAATGAAGGGATCCAGTTTCAATTTTCTGCATATGGCTAGCCAGTTTTCCCAGCACCATTTATTAAATGGGGAATCTTTTGCCTATTACTTGTTTTTGTCAGGTTTGTCAAAAATCAGATGGTTATAGATGTGCAGTCTTATTTCTGAGATCTCTGTTCTGTTCCATTGGTCTATATGTCTGTTTTTGTACCAGCACCATGCTGTTTTGGTTACTGTAACCTTGTAGTATAGTTTGAATTCTCCCTCTCTCTGAAGGTGTGATGCCTCCAGCTTTGTTCTTTTTGCTTAGGATTGTCTTGACTATATGGACTCTTTTTTGGTTTCATATGAATTTTAAAGTGGTTTTTTCTAATTCTGTGAAGAATGCCAATGACAGTATAATGAGAATAGCATTGAATCTATAAATTGCTTTGAGGAGTATGGCCATTTTCACGATATTGATTCTTCCTATCTATAAGCATGGAATGTTTTTCCATTTGTTTATGTCCTCTCTGATTTCCTTGAGCAGTGGTTTGTAGTTCTCCTTAAAGAGCTCCTTCACTTCCCTTGTTAGCTACACCTAGATATTTTATTCTCCTTGTAACAATTGTGAATGGGAGTTCCTACATGATTTTGCTCTCTGCTTGTCTATTGTTGGTGTAGAGGAATGCTTGTGATTTTTGCACATTGATTTTGTATCCTGAGAGTTTGCTCAACTTGATTATCAAATTAAGAAGATTTTGGGCTGAAACAATGGGGTTTTCTGGATAGAGGATCGAGTCATCTGCAAACAGACAGTTTGACTTCTTCTCTTCCTATATGGATACCCTTTATTTCTTTCTCTTGCCGGATTGCCCTGGCCAGAAGTTCCAATATTATGTTGAATAGGAGTGGTGAGAGAGGGCATCCTTTTCTTATGCTGGTTTTCAAGGGGAATGCTTCCAGCTTTTACCCATTCAGTATAATATTGGTTGTGGGTTTGTCATAAATGGCTCTTAATATTTTGAGTTATTTTCCATCGATACCTAGTTTATTGAGAGTTTTTAACATGAAGGGGTGTTGACTTTTATTGAAGGCCTTTTCTGTGTCTATTGAGATAATCATGTGGTTTTTGTCTTTGGACCTGTTTATGTGATGAATTACATTTACTGATTTGTGTATGTTGAGCCAGTCTTTCATCCTGGGGATGAAGCCAACTTGACTGTGGTGGATAAGCTTTTTGATGTGCTGCTGGATTCGGTTTGCCAGTATTTTATTGAGGATTTTTGCATTGATGTTTATTAAGGATATTTGCCTGAAGTTTTCTTTTTTGTTGTTGTACCTCTGCCAGGTTTTAGTATCAGGATGATGCTGTTCTCATAAAGTGATTTAGGGAGAAGTCCTTCTTTTTCAGTTGTTTGGAATAGTTTCAGAAAGAATGGTACCAGCTCCTCTTTGTACATCTGGTAGAATTCAGCTGTAAATCCATCTGGTCCTGGGCTTTTTTTGGTTGCTAGACCATTTATTACTGCCTCAGTTTCAAAACTTGTTATTGGTCTATTCAGGGATTCCACTTATTCTGGTTCAGTCGTGGGAGTGTAGATGTGTTCAGAAATTTATCTGTTTCTTCTAGATTTTCTAGTTTACTTGCATAGAGGTATTTATAATATTCTCTGATGGTTGTTTGTATTTCTGTGGGTTCAGTGATGAAATCCCCTTTATCATTTTTTATTGTGTCTATTTGATTCTTCTCTCTTTTCTTTTTTATTAGTCTAGCTATTGGCCTATTTTATTAATTTTTTCAAAAAAAAAAACCAGATCCTGGCTTCGTTGATTTTTTTTCAAAGGTTTTTTTGTGTTTCTGTCTCATTCAGTTCCACTCTGATCTTAGTTATTGCTTGTCTTCTGCTAGCTTTGGGCTTTGTTTGCTAGTTCTTTTAGTTGTAATGTTAGGGTGTTGAGTTGAGATCTTCTTAGCTTTTTGATGTGGGCATTTAGTTCTATAAATTTCTCTCTTAACACTTCTTTAGCTGCGTCCCAGAGATTCTGGTACATTGTCTCTTTGTTCTTATTGATTTCAAAGACTTCTTGATTTCAGTCTTAATTTCATTATTTACCCAGGAGTCATTCAGCAGCAGGTTGTCAAATTCCAGATAGTTGTGTAGTTTTGAGTGAGTTTCTTAATCTTGAGTTCTAATTTTATTGCACCGTGGTCTGAAAGACTGTTATGATTTCAGTTATTTTGCATTTGCTGAGGAGTGTTTTACTTCCAATTATGTTATTGATTTTACAGTAAGTGCCATGTGGCACTGAGAAGAATGTATATTCTGTTGTTTTTGCATGTAACATTCTGTAGATTTCTATCAGGTCCACTTGATCCAGAGGTGAGTTCAAGTCCTGTGTATCTTTGTTAATTTTCTATCTCAGTGATCTACCCAATGTTGATAATGGGGTGTTAAAATCTCCCACTATTATTGTGTGGGAGTCTATGTCTCTTCATAGGTCTCTAAGAACTTGTTTTATGAGCCTGGGCGCTCCTGTATTGGGTGCATATATATTTAGGATAGTTAGCTCTTCTTGTTGAGTTGACTCCTTACCATTATGTAATGCTTTTCTTTGTCTTTTTTTTATCTTTGTTTAAAGTTTGTTTTGTCAGAAAGTAAGATTGCAATCCATGCTTTTTACTGCTTTCCATTTGCTTGGTAAATATTCTTCCATCCCTTTATTTTGAGCCAATGTGTGCCTTTGCATGTGAGATGGGTCTCTTGAATACAGCACACTGATGGGTCTTGACTCTATCCAGCTTGCTATTCTGTGTCTTTTAATTGGAGCATTTCAACCATTTACATTTAAAGTTAATATTGTTCTGTGTCAGTTTAGTTCTGTCATCATGATGCTAGTTGGTTATTTTGCAGACCTGTTGTTGTAGTTGCTTCATAGTGTCATTGGTCTTTGTACTTCAATTTGTTTTGCAGTAGCTGGTAACAGTTTTTTTCTTTCCATATTTATTGCTTCTTTCAGGAGCTCTTGCAAGGCAGTCCTGGTAGTGACGAACTTCCTCAGCATTTGCTTTTCTGAAAATGATTTTATTTCTCCTTTGCTTATGAATCTTAGTTTGGCCAAATATGAAATTCTCAGTTGGACATTCTTTTCTTCAAGGATGTTGAATATTGGCCCTCAAAATCTTCTGGCTTGTTTGGTTTCTGCTGAGAGTCCAGTGTTAGTCTGATGGGCTTCCCTTTGTAGGTGACCTGGTCTTTCTCTCTGGCTGCCCTTAACATTTTTTTTTTTCAATTTCAACCTTGGAGAATCTGATGATTATGCGTCTTGAGGTTGATCTTTTCATCTTACTGAGATTTTCTGCATTTCCTGCATTTGAATGTTGCCTTGTCTTGTTAGGTTAGGGAAGTTCTCCTGGATGATATTCTAAAGTATGTTTAACAACTTGGTTCCATTCTCTTCATCTCTTTCAGATACCCCAATCAGTCATATGTTCTGTCTTGTTAGATAATCCCATAGTTCTCAGAGGTTTTGCTTGTTCCTTTTCCTTTTTTTTTTTTCTCTAATTATGTCTGCCTGTCTTATTTCAGCAAGATAGTCTTCAATCTCTGAAATTCTCTCTTCTGCTTGATCTAATTGTTTATTGATACTTGTGGTTGCATTGTGAAATTCCCGTGTTGTGTTTTTCAACTCCATCAGGTCATTTCTGTTCCTCTCTACACTCTTTATTCTGATTAACAGCTCCTGTGATGTTCTATCATGGCTTTTAGCTTCCTTGCATTGGGTTAGAACATGCTTCTTTAGCTCAGCGAAGTTTGTTATTACCCACCTTGTGAAACCTACTTCTGTCAATTCATCCATCTCAGCCTCCACCCAGTTCTGTGCTCTTGCTGGAGAGGTGTTGCAATCATTTGGAGAAAATAGGCATTCTGGCTTTTTGAGTTTTCAACATTTTTTCACTGATTCTCATCTCTGTGAGTTTATCTAGCTTTGATCTTTGAGGCTGCTGACCTTTGGATGGGGTTTATGTGGGGACATTTTTCTTGATGATGTTGTTGTTGTTGTTTTCCATTAGTTTTTCCTTTAATAGTCAGGCCCCTCTTCCATAGGGCTGCTTTGGTTTCACCTAGGTACCACCCTGCCCCTGCACCTGAAGGTGTCACCAATGGAGGCTGCAAAACAGCAAAGATAGCTGCCTGCTCCTTCCTCTGAGATCTCCGTTGCAGAGGGGCACTGCCCTGATAACGACAAAAATGCTCCTGTATAAAGTATCTAGCAACCCCTGTTGCGGGGGTTCTCGCCCAGTCAGGAGGCATGGGATCTGGGTCCCGCTTACTGAAACACTCTGGCTGCCCCTTGTTAGAGGGGTTGTGCTGCTCTGGGGGGAATCTCACTCATCTGGACTGCCCAGATTCCTCAGAGCCAGCAGGAGGAAAGACTAAGTCTGCTGATCTATGGAGATCGTGGCCACCCCTAACCCCCTGGCTGGAGTTGTTGAAATTCCTGCAGGGAAGCCTTGCTCAGTGAAGAGGGATGGGTCAGGGTTTGGCCTTAAGGGGCAGTCTGGCCACTGTCAGCCACAGCCACTGTGCTGCCCTTTGGGGAATTCCTCCTGGGTCCAAACCGTCCAGTCTCCCTGCCACCAGCAGGCAGCCACATTGATGACAGCTGCCCGCCACCCCTTCCCACCCTCCGAACTCAGTAGTGTTAGGCAGTTTCCAGCCGAGTGGTCACTGAGACTCTTCACAGCTTTGTTCTTGGGACCCAAGGCCCTGGTGGCATGGGCTCATGAGGGGGATCTTCTTATCTGTGGGTTGCACAGATCTGTGGTAAAAGTGTGGTTTATTGGGCAGGGTAGCATGATCACTCACTGCCTTCCTTGGCTGGGGGTAAGAGTTTCCCTTGTCCCATGTAGCTCCCAGGTGGGCCATTGCACCACCCTACTTTTCCTCACTCTACATGGGTTGTGTCAACCACCTAGTCAGTCCCAATGAGAGAACCTGGATTCCTCAGTTGCTGGTGCAGGATTCACTCGTCATTTTTATTCTTCTTGGTGGGCACCTCTGACCACAGCTGTTTCTAGTTGGCCATTTTCAATATTGTTATTTAAATCTTCTATATCATTACTATTATCTAATTAGTGTATCAGTTTACAAAAAAAGCCAAAATACTTATGATTGTGGATTTATCTAGTTTTTTCTTTAGTTTTGTACCTTTTTTGATATATATATATATACACACACACACACACACCCACACACACATTCTAAATTCTTATAGAGAGAGCTAATATATATGTTAATGTATGTTAGCTATATAATATATATACATTAGCCAATAAATCTATATCCATATCTATATTTATTTATCTATCTATAGAGAAAGAGAGATAGGGTCTCATTCTGCTGCCCAGGTTGGAGAGTGCAGTGATGTGATCATAGCTCACTGTACCCTCAAACTCTTAGGCTTAAGCAGTCCTTCCACTTCTGCCTCTCAAGTAACTAGGACTACAAGCATGTGCCACCATGCCTGGCTAACTTTTGAAACTTTTTTGTAGAATCAGGATATTGCTATGTTGTCCAGGCTGGTCTTGAACTCCTGACCTCAAGCAATCCTCTTGCCTTGGCCTCCCAAAACTCTGTAATTATAAGCATGAGCCACCACACCTAGCCTGCTTTTTATATTTTGAAGCCCTATTATTAGTTGTGCTCACAATTATAATTTTATATGTTCTTGATAATTTGACTTTTGTATCATTATAAAATCTTCCCTTTTATCAATGGCAAAGCTTTTCCTCTTGAAGTATACTTTGGTATTTACTTAAACACTAGCTTTCTTATGCTTAGTGATTTTATGCTGTGATGTTTTCCACTTTTTTGTTTTCATCCTGTCTTCATATTTTAAGGGTCTGTTTGTAAACTCTATGTAATTGGGATCTACTTTTTTTTTTTTTTTAATGGAATTTCACTTTTGTTGCCCAGGCCCAAGTGCAATGGCATGATCTCAGCTCACTGCAACCTCTGCCTCCTGGGTTCAGGTGATTCTCCTGCCTCAGCCTCCCAAGTAGCTGGGATTACAGGCATGCACCACCACACCGGCTAATTTTTGTATTTTTAGTAGAGAGGGGGTTTTGCCATGTTGGTCAGGTTGGTCTCGAACTCCTGACCTCAGGTAATCCATCTGCCTCAGCCTCTCAAAGTGCTGGGATTACAGGTATGAGCCACCTCACTCGACCAAGATCTACTTCTTTACTCAATCTGACAATCTCTGATTTTAATGACAGTGTTAATTCATTTATTCATAATCATGTGTTTATGTTTCACTTTACCACCTTGGTATTTATTTTTTATTTGACTCATCTGTTCTTTGTTCCTTTGTACTTTTTTTTAATTCCTTCTTTGGCATTTCTCAAGTGTTTAAATAATATTTCATTTTACCTCCTCTATTGGTTTAATTTTATTATCTTTATATTTTTAGTGGTTGCTAGAGAGATTCCAGTATGCATCTTTAACTTATTACAAGATATCTTCAAATAATTTTATACTATTCATATTGTAAGTACCTTACAATAGGATAATTCTACTTAGCTCCTCCTTCTGTTTTTGTCCTCAAAGTCTTGTATTTTACTAATTTATTTTATTCATAGATCTATTTTTATAAGCCCCAATACACAGTTACTTTTTTCCTTCTAATAAGTTAATAGTCTTTTAAAGAAATGTAATATACACATAAGTAATACAGAAAAAATTTTAAAATATCTTGTGTAATTACCCACATATTTACCCTTTCTATTTCTTTTCATTCCTTCCTACAGATGTGAATTTCCATCAGATTTAATTTCCATTTAGCCTGAAGTACATCTTTTAGCATTTCTTGTGTTGTATGTCTGGTAAAGATAAATTATCTCAGTTTTTGTCTGTCTAAAAATGTATTCATTTTGCTGGCCTTTTTTGGAGGACATTTTTTGCTGTTTATAAAATTCTTGGTTGGCAGCTTTTTTTTCTCCTGGGCATTTTACAAATATGTTGCTCCATTTTGTTTTTTGCTTCATCATTTCAATCAGGAAGTAAGCCAACATTCTTGTCATTGTATCCTTTTATGCAATGTGTCTTTTTCTCTACTCTGAAAATTATAAAGAATTTCTCCTTATGTTTGGTTTTAAGCAGTTTGACTATGTGTGCTTAAGTGTGGACCCTTTTCTTGTATTTATCCTTCATGGGCTTAATTTAGTTTTTAGTTCTGTGGCTTGATATCGTTCATCATTTAAAAAACCTTTGCAGCTGATTTCTCCAAATATTTCTTCTGCCACACTCTCTCTGTGCTTCCCTCAGGGACCCTTACACATATACTATATTATAATATTATCCCACAGATCTAATTTGCTTGGTTCCTTTTTGTTTGACTTTTATTGAAATTCATGATATTTTCCTCTGCTGTATCCAGCCTGCTGTTAAGCTCACCAAATTTCCTCTTCCTTTCTGATATTGTAGTTTTCACTATAGCATTTTCATTTGTATATATCTTCTTGTTTTATGTTGTTTCTATAATTTCCATTTACCTAATGAGATATCTCCTTTGTTAATGCATGTGTCTACCTTTTCCAGTAGACCCTTTAACATAATACTTATTTTAGAAGCATTTTGTGTTAGTTTCAACACCTTGGACACCTTTTAATATATTGCTCTGAGCTATTTACCCTCTTGTCCAAGAATCATTTTTTCTTGTTTCTTTGAGTGTCTTTTAATTTTTTATTAGTTAAACATTGTATGTTCAAGAAAAATAATAATTGAAGTAAATAATGTTTACATGCAGGAAAAAGGTATATTCATTTTCTGTTAGACTATGAGTTTGGGAGGCTGGTTTTGGCTTTGTTGCTGTTTTATTTAGATTCAGTTTGCCACTGGATTTAATTGTTTTCAGGGTGAGGTTATGTCTTTCTCCTCGAAATTGCTGGTAACAAGAGCACTGGTGTGACTCTGGAATTCTCTTTATGCTTTATAGCTTTGCTGGCAGTCTTTTGGGCTTATGGTAACTTCTCTTTGTTTCACAATCCTCTTCCTCACGTTCAGCTTTACGAGGGATCTTTATCTGACTGATGTGCTGCTAGCCTTCTGAGAGCCATTGTAACACTCAGTGAAGGTCAGAGTGCACTGGAGGGGTTTTCACCTCCCTGGGCTTGCCCTTGCCTGTGGCATACGTCCTTTGAATTATCAATGAAAGCCCATGGAAAAGAGTTGGTGGGTAGGTAGGGCATGATTGCAAGTTTTTCCCTGTGTTGTTTCTGCTTGCAAGAGATAATGATCTATCATATATGCTTGTATTTGGTCTTCAGAAGTTTTTTAAGTTCTAGGGTACATGTGCACAATGTGCAGGTTTGTTAAATAGGTATATATGTGTCATGTTGGTTTGCTGCACCCATTAACTCGTCATTTACATTAGGTATTTCTCCTGATGCTATCCTTCCCCCAGCCCCCCACCCCACAACAGGCCCCGGTGTGTGATGTTCCCCTTCCTGTGTCCAAGTGTTCTTATTGTTCAATTCCCATCTATGATTGAGAACATGCGGTGTTTGGTTTTCTGTCCTTTTGATACTTTGCTGAGAATGATGGTTTCTAGCTTCATCTATGTCCCTGCAAAGGACATGAACTCATCCTTTTATATGGCTGCATAGTATTCCATGGTGTATATGTGCCACAGTTTCTTAATATAGTCTATCATTGATGGACATTTGGGTTGGTTCCAAATCTTTGCTATTGTGAATAGTGCCACAATAAACATACGTATGCATGTGTCTTTATAGCAGCATGATTTATAGTCCTTTGGGTATATACCCAGTAATGGGATGGCTGGGTCAAATGGTATTTCTAGTTCTAGATCCTTGAGGAATTGCCACACTGTCTTCCACAATGGTTGAACTAGTTTACAGTCCCACTGACAGTGTAAAAGCATTCCTATTTCTCCACATCCTCTCCAGCATTTGTTGTTTCCTGACTTTTTAATGATCGCCATTCTAACTGGTGTGAGATGGTATCTCATTGTGGTTTTGATTTGCATTTCTCTGATGACCAGTGATGATGAGCATTTTTTCATGTGTCTGTTGGCTGCATAAATGTCTTCTTTTGAGAAATGTCTGTTCATATCCTTTGCCCACTTGTTGATGGGGTTGTTTGTTTTTTTCTTGTAAATCTGCTTAAGTTCTTTGTAGATTCTGGATATTAGCCCTTTGTCAAATGTGTAGATTGCAAAAATGTTCTCCCATTCTGTAGGTTGCCTGTTCACTCTGATGGTAGTTTCCTCGGCTGTGCATAAGTTCATTAGTTTAATTAGATCCCGTTTATCAATTTTGGCTTTTGTTGTCATTGCTTTTGGTGTTCTAGTCATGAAATCCTTGCCCATGCCTATGTGCTGAATGGTATTGCCTAGGTTTTCTTCTAGGGTTTTTATGGTTTTTGGTTTAACATTTAAGTCTTTAATCCATCTTGAATTAATTTTTGTATAAGGTGTAAGGAAGGGATCCAGTTTCAGCTTTCTACATATGGCTAGCCAGTTTTCCCAGCATCATTTATTAAATAGGGAATCCTTTCCCCATTTCTTGTTTTTGTCAGGTTTGTCAAAGATCATATGGTTGTAGATGTGTGGTGTTATTTCTGAGGCCTCTGTTCTGTTCCATTGGTCTATATATCTGTTTTGGTACAAGTACCATGCTGTTTTGGCTACTGTAGCCTTGTAGTATAGTTTGAAGTCAGGTAGCATGACACCTGCAGCTTTGTTCTTTTTGCTTAGGATTGACTTGGCAATGCAATCTATAAATTACCTTGGGCAGTATGGCCATTTCCACGATATTGATTTTTCCAATCCGTGAGCATGGAGTGTTCTTCCATTTGTTTGTTTCCTCCTTTATTTCATTGAGAAGTGGTTTGTAGTTCTCCTTGAAGAGGTCCTTCACATCCCTTGTAAGTTGGATTCCTAGGTATTTTATTATCTTTGTAGCAATTGTGAATGGGAGTTCACTCATGATTTGGCTCTCTGTTTGTCTGTTATTGGTGTATAGGAATGCTTGTGATTTTTGCACATTGATTTTGTATCCTGAGACTTTGCTGAAGTTGCTTATCAGCTTAAGGAGATTTTGGGCTGAGATGATGGGGTTTTCTGGATATTTAATCATGTCATCTGCAAACATGGACATTTTGACTTCCTCTTTTCCTAATTGTATACCCTTTATTTCTTTCTCCTGCCTGACTGCATTGGCCAGAACTTCCAACACTATGTTGAATAGGAGTGGTGAGAGAGGGCATCTCTGTCTTGTGCCCGTTTTCAAAGGGAATGCTTCCAGTTTTTGCCCATTCAGTATGATATTGGCTGTGGGTTTGTCATAAATAGCTCTTATTATTTTGAGATACGTTCCATCAATACCTAATTTATTGAGAGTTTTTAGCATGAAGGGCTGTTGAATTTTGTCAAAGGCCTTTTCTGCATCTATTGAGATAATCATGTGGTTTTTGTCTTTGGTTCTGTTTATGTGATGGATTACATTTATTGATTTGCATATGTTGAACCAGCCTTGCATCCCAGGGATGAAGCCAACTCAGTCGTGGTGGATAAGGTTTTTGATGTGCTGCTGAATTCGGTTTCCCAGTATTTTACTGAGGATTTTCGCATCGATGTTCATCAGGGATATTGGTCTAAATTTTTTTGTGTGTGTGTCTCTTCCAGGCTTTGATATTAGGATGATGCTGGCCTCATAAAATGAGTTAGGGAGGATTCCCTCTTTTTCTATTGATTGGAATAGTTTCAGAAGGAATGGTACCAACTCCTCTTTGTACCTCTGGTAGAATTCTGCTGTGAATCCGTCTGGTCCTGGACTTTTTTGGTTGGTAGGCTACTGATTATTGCCTCAATTTCAGAGCCTGTTATTGGTCTATTCAGAGATTCCACTTCTTCCTGGTTTAGTCTTGGGAGGGTGTATGTGTCCAGGAATTCATCTATTTCTTCTAGATTTTCCAGTTTTTTTGCATAGAGTTGTTTATAGTATTCTCTGATGGTAGTTTGTATTTCTGTGGGATCGGTGGTGATATCCCCTTTATCTTTTTTTATTGTGTCTATCTGATTCTTCTCTCTTTTCTTCTTTATTAGTCTTGCTAGCAGTCTATCAATTTTGTTGATCTTTTCAAAAAGCCCGCTCCTGGATTCACTGATTTTTTTGAAGGTTTTTTTGTGTTTCTATCTCCTTCAGTTATCCTCTGATTTTAGTTATTTCTTGCCTTCTGTTAGATTTTGAATGTGTTTACTCTTGCTTCTCTAGTTCTTTTAATTGTGATGTTAGGGTGTCAATTTTAGATCTTTCCTGCTTTCTCTTGTGGGCACTTAGTGCTGTAAATTTCCCTCTACACACTGCTTTAAATATGTCCCAGAGATTCTGGTACGTTGTGTCTTTGTTCTCATTGGTTTCAAAGAAAATCTTTATTTCTGCCTTCATTTCGTTATTTAACCAGTAGTCATTCAGGAGCAGGTTGTGCAATTTCCATGTAGTTGTGTGGTTTTGAGTGAGTTTCTTAATCCTGAGTTCTAATTTGATTGCACTGTGGTCTGAGAGACAGTTTGTTGTGATTTCTGTTCTTTTAGATTTGCTGAGGAGTGCTTTACTTCCAACTATGTGGTCAATTTTGGAATAAGTGCAATGTGGTGCTGAGAAGAGTGTATATTCTGTTGATTTGGGGTGGAGAGTTCTGTAGGTGTCCATTAGGTCTGCTTGGTGTAGAGCTGAGTTCAAGTCCTGGATATCCTTGTTAACCTTCTGTCTCGTTGGTCTGTCTAATATTGACAGTGGGGTGTTAAAATCTCCCATTATTATTGTGTGGGAGTCTACGTCTCTTTGTAGGTCTCTAAAGACTTGCTTTTTCAATCTCGGTGTTCCTGTATTTGGTGCATATATATTTAGGATAGTTAGCTCTTCTTGTTGAATTGATCCCTTTACCATTATGTAATGGCCTTCTTTGTCTCTTTTGATCTTTGTTGGTTTAAAGTCTGCCTTATCAGAGACTAGGATTACAACCCCTGCTTTTTTTTTTGCTTTCTCTTTGCTTGGTAGATCTTCCTCCCTCCCTTTATTTTGAGCCTATGTGTGTCTCTGCATATGAGATGGGTCTCCTGAACACAACACACTGGATGGGTCTTGACTCTTTATCCAATTTGCCAGTCTGTGTCTTCTAATTGGGGCATTTAGCCCATTTACTTTTAAGGTTAATATTGTTATGTGTGAATTTGATCCTGTCATTATGATGTTTACTGGTTATTTTGCCCGTTAGTTGATGCAGTTTATTCCTAGCATTGATGTTCTTTACAATTTGGCATGTTTTTGCAGCGGCTGGTATCAGTTGTTCCTTTCCATGTTTAGTGCTTCCTTCAGGAGCCCTTGTAAGGCAGGCCTGGTGGTGACAAAATCTCTCAGCATTTGCTTTTCTCCTTCACTTATGAAGCTTAGTTTGGCTGGATAGGAAATTCTGGGTTGAAAATTCTTTTCTTTAAGAATGTTGAATATTGGCCCCCACTCTCATCCGGCTTGTAGAGTTTCTGCTGAGAGATCCACTGTTAGTCTGATGGGCTTCCCTTTGTGGGTAACCCGGCCTTTCTCTCTGGCTGCCCTTAATATTTTTTCCTTCATTTCAACCTTGGTGAATCTGACAATTATGTGTCTTGGGTTGCTCTTTTTGAGGAGTATCTTTGTGATGTTCTCTGTATTTCCTGAATTTGAATGTTGGCCTGCCTTGCTAGCTTGGGGAAGTTCTCCTGGATAATATTCTGCAGAGTGTTTTCCAGCTTGGTTCCATTCTCCGCATCACTTTCAGGTACACCAATCAAATGTAGATTTGGTCTTTTCACATAGTCTCATATTTCTTGGAGGCTTTATTCATTTCTTTTTACTCTTTTTTCTCTAATCTTGTCTTCTCACTTTATTTCATTAATTTGATCTTCAATCACTGACACCCTTTCTTCCACTTGATTGATTTGGCTACTGAAGCTTGTGCATGCATCACGTAGTTCTTGTGCCATGGTTTTCAGCTTCAACAGGTCATTTAATGTCTTCTCTACACCGTTTATTCTAGTTAACCATTTGTCTAATCTTTTTTCAAGGTTTTCAGCTTCCTTGCGAAGGGTTTGAACATCCTCCTTTAGCTCGGAGAAGTTTGTCATTATCGACCTTCTGAAGCCTACTTCTGTCAACTCGTCAAAGTCATTGTCCGTCCAACTTTGTTTCGTTGCTGGTGAGGAGCTGCGATCCTTTGGAGGAGAAGAGGTGCTCTTGTTGTTAGAATTTTCAGCTTTTCTGCTCTGGTTTCTCCCCATCTTTGTGGTTTTATCTACCTTTGGTCTTTGATGTTGGTGACCTACAGATGGGGTTTTGGTATGGATGTCCTTTTTGTTGATATTGATGCTATCCCTTTCTGTTTGTTAGTTTTCCTTCTAACAGTCAGGTCCCTCAGCTGCAGGTCTGTTGGAGTTTGCTGGAAGTCCACTCCAGATCCTGTTTGCCTGGGTATCACCAGCAGAGGCTGCAGAACAGCAAATATTGCATAACAGCAAATATTGTTGCCTGATCCTTCCTCTGGAAGCTTCATCCCAGAGGGGCACCTGTCTGTATGAGGGGTCAGTCGGCCCATACTGGGAGGTGTCTCCCAGTCAGGCTACATGGGGGTCAGGGACCCACTTGAGGAGGCAGTCTGTCTGTTCTCAGAGCTCAAATGCCACACTGGGAGAACCACTGCTCTCTTCAGAGCTGTCAGACAGGGACATTTAAGACTGCAGAAGTTTTTGTTGCCTTTTGTTCAGCTATGCTCTGCCCCCAAAGGTGGAGTCAGCAGAGGCAACAGGCCTTGCTGAGCTGTGGTGGGCGCCACCCAGTTTGAGCTTCTCCGGCTGCTTTGTTTACCTACTCAAGGCTCAGCAATGGCAGATGCCCCTTCCCCTGCCAGGCTGCTGCCTTGCAGGTTGATCTCAGACTGCTACGCTAGCAGTGAGCAAGGCTCCATGGGCGTGGGATCCTCCGAGCCAGGTGCGGGATATAATCTCCTGGAGTGCCATTTGCTAAGACCATTGGAACAGCACAGTATTTAGGCGGGACTGTCCCATTTTTCCACGTATAGTCTGTCACGGCTTCCTTTGGCTAGGAAAAGGAAATACCCCAACCCCTCGTGCTACCCAGGTGAGGCGACACCCCACCCTGCTTTGGCTCACCCTCTGTGGGCTGTACCCACTCTCCAACCAGTCCCAATGAGATGAACCAGGTACCTCAGTTGGAAATGCAGAAATCACCTGTCTTCTGCGTCAATCACGCTGGGAGCTGCAGACCGGAGCTGTTCCTATTCGGCCATCTTGGCTATTTTCCGATCTTCAGAAGTTTTTTAAAAATCCTTTTTGGTTTCTTCTTTCCATAGTTTATGTCTCATTCTGCCTCCTCCTGACTGTTAAGGATAAAAATAGTTATATGTTAGTTAACAAAGTTAACATCTGTTTTTCTTCTTTCCTTAAAAGTACTTGTCACGTTCCAGAAATTATTCACTTTAGTTCCACTTGTGCCCTCAGCTTACTGATGAATTTTTAAATTTATGATTTCACAGTGTACTTGGATTATTCTCATTGTTAGTATAAGAGTAATGGCTTTTGCAACTTTCTACATTGTAAGTATAAATCTAATATATTTTAATAAAAGAATTAGACTTGCTTCTCTAAATTGTGACATCTATGGCATCTATTAAAACCATGTATGGAGTAAATCCAGAGATTACACTAAGGTAGACCTACTTTTGAGACCAGCTCTGTACATTGTAACTTATTTCTTAAATCCTGGATAAAGAAAGTGCAGTGTGCTAAGTGAATTATTCATAATCTTAGCATAGCTCCCAAATTATGATTAAATGTAATGAAAAGTTTTTGCTAAATTTCCAATTTTTTAATTTGGTGTCAGGACTTTGCCATTAAAATTAATTTTAAGATTCAGCTCATAATTACTCTCAAGAATTAAGTCACAGATACCAGCTGTGTCCTCTAAGGCCAGCATTTTGTGATGTGAGTTGAAGCACTTTTCTCACTAGGTGAAGCATCAAAATGTCAGGGCTTGAATTAGACAACCTTAAAAAGAGAAAAACAATGAAAAATATTGCTTTTGTTGGTGGTGGTGCCTCAAAGGACCCTTACCGCTATGAGAAGTGTCTGTGAAACAAATCTGTTCATCTTTTCAATTTAACATTTTAAAATGAGTACACACCTGTCTTTTGGTTTTAGTTCCATTTGATTCTTTGCAAGTTAGGAAATCACTAGTCCAGAGATGATATTGTCCACCGAACATACAGTGCTTATGTCTGCCTCTCTTCTTATGCAGGTCTTACCTGTCCCTCAGGATTCAGTTGACCCTAGTACACATGGATTTCTAAATCACTAGTGTGGTACTCAGATATGTATCACTGACTCTTTCATGTGGGCACATTTTCACTCAAAAAATATTTCTTTTTTGAAAGTGGAGACCTTGTCTTCTTTTGATCTGGCCCAGCCACACATCTTTCTACACATGTACACATGTGCATATGCATGTACATACACAAAAACACATAACTAAAATACTTACTCATTATACCTGTCAGAGTCACATATTTAGTGTATAAGAATTTATGGGAGTTCATGAATTTACGATGTATTCATTACAGTTATTAAAATATAAGATTCTTTAAATCTATCATTTGCATTAACTAGGCATAAACTTAATAGTAAAATATCAAGCCTAGGCTAAACATTTTATCTGTTTTCTCTATAAACTTTTCAAAGTTACAATTTTTATTGTTTAAATACCATCATATAGATTATCAGTAAAAATATTTAAAATTGGTTTGTCTTTTATTAACTTGAACATAAAAATAAGTTTCTGGGTTGCATTTTTAAGATTTTAAAGCAACAAAGACAAACAAAATATGTGGCTATAGTTTTCTTTTAGTCATTTTTAGAATTAATATTTGCTTTCTCAAGTCCTTTATATGTTTTTCTTATCTTGACATTATGATTTTATATGGCTTGTGTTTTTCTAGGTTGCTATGGAAACAGAATTTACTCAAATTCATGTTCATTTTTGCATTTGGTTTGATAGAAAAGGGCAGAAAGCAGATCTTTTGGGTATGTTAGGACAAAACACTGGTTTACACATTACTTTAATACAGTCACTCCCAGACAATGGTTGTGTGTCCATATATGCTGAATTAAGTAAATGGAAAGTATTCATGGTTACTGCTGCTAATAAAGGGGCTTTTGTTGCTGTAAGCAGAGAACAATGGGCAAGTAGTCACATAACAACTCAGATTCTGAAAATCAGACGATCAGTATTTTGCCCAAAGAGCTATAAGCTATTTTCCGAAACTGGTTTGAAGTATAAAGGAAAGGTACTTTGCATCAAACTGGCCAATATGGTAGTAGTTGTTTGGATTGCTTCCAGTACTCAGTTAGTAGTGGGTGGTTTTCAGTGGCCAATTGTTGGATGGAATTTATCTAGTTATATATAAGCTCAGTCTCAAGATGTATTTGGTTCCTGGTATCTATCTACAAGGCTTCTCCAGGGATGCTTTAGCTGAATACAGGCAGAATGACAGTTGACTGTTTCTTGATTTCTGGGACTTCTGTGGGTTAGTGGTTGAGGATAGGAATTAACTTTATCACTTGTAGAGAGAAACAATAACAATGCTGACTGCCACTACCGCAAAGAAAATTAGAATTAATTAGAAAAGACACCAACCCTAGCTAACTTCTTGTTTCCTTTTATTATAGAAGAAGCAATTTAAGAATATCAAAATGCTGGGAGAATGCTGGGAGAAGCCTTTTGAAGCCTTCTTTTAATGTAAAGTAGACCAATTGAATTAGATTTCAGATTCTCTCCCTTTTTTTTTTTTTTTTTTTTTTTTGAGATGGAGTCTCACTCTGTTTCCCAGGCTGGAGTGCAATGGCGCAATCTCAGCTTGGCGCAATCTCGGCTCTCCGCAACCGCTGCCTCCTAGGTTCAAGAGATTCTCCTGCCTCAGCCTCCTGAATAGCTGGGGTTACAGGCGCCCACCACCACCCCCGGCTAATTTTTTGTATTTTTAGTAGAGACGGGGTTTCACTATGTTGGCCAGGCTGGTCTCGAACTCCTGACCTCGTGATCCACCCACCTCAGCCTCCCCAGATTCTTTATTTTGGTATCCCATTGAGCCCCCTTTCATAAAGTCTTATAAACAAAGGTGTAGATACAATCTAGAAAATCTAGTGATTTTCTAGAATTAAACACATGGAAGAATTACATTATGAGACTATTTCTGGTTATGATTTCTGTACTACTTTTATTGGCTTATAATTTAGATGAGTGATAATTTGGCTGAATTTTAAAAGTTATCAATATTGGAAACTGGTTTTAGTGTACATATTTTCTCGTATGGTTTTAGAAAGATTCTAAAATTAAATAACTTTCCTGATCTTATTGATTTCTGTAGCTAAAGCTTTAATTCGCAAATTCCCAAAGTGGCCAGAAGCAGTGACTTTAGGTGTAGAGGTTCTGAGCCCTCCTAAAATGGTATCCTAAGGAAAGGGAACCATCTGAAATGGTTGCAAAGAACTCTGCTGAACAAGAAACAATTGCCCGTGGCTGTGAAAATGACCAAGATAGATCAACAAAGTTAGCAATATGAAACATATTTACCTGGAGGATGCAAAGGGATACTGCATTTTATGAAGATAACAGTGGGCAGAGACTCCAGCAGAATCAATATGTAGACCACTTAATTCTTGCAGCTGACTTGGTTGGCTTTGGCCTTGACAAACCTGCACCAATTCTGTGAAGATAAAGTAGCACTGGTGTCATCACGGTATAAGAACAGGTAACATAAAGGGTGGGGAGGATGGGACTTCCCTGAGGAAGTGTCCAGTGGTAAAATCTGAGTGAGAGTGGTAGACACATGGATGAGCATGCATAGTTTAAACAACTCAATTGTCTATGGTGGTTGAGGGGTCTCCTCCTGCTGAGATTCCAGAGGCCTTTTGTGAGAGTGGATTGCTCCTCACCAGTTCAACTCACCCATTCCTCCAGACTCGTCGGGGGTCAGGAACAAGTCCCAATGCATGGTAGCCCCATACAGCATTCCCAGCTTCCTCCTCCTTCAGCCAAGCTTCTGTGTTCTTCCCTCTTTCCACACTCAGTGCCTTCTTTCTGAAGATCTGTTAGGAGTGCACCAATCATCCTTGTCACTCAGTGGCAGCTGTTCTACCTGGCTGCATCTAGTCAGCCATCCTGCGTGGCTCCCTAGCAACCTTTTTCTGTAAAAGTCCAAATAGCTAATATTAAAATATTAATATTCTCAAGACATACAGCCCATGTCCCCACTACTCAAGTCTCCTGCTGTGGCATGGAAGCAGCCATAGACAATACATAAACAAATGGATGTGGTTGTGTTCCAGTTAAACTTTATTTACAAAAATGCTGCAGTGAGATTTGGCCCAGGCTGCAGCTAGCTGACTTCTACCATAAAATCAAAGGCCTGGGAATAACATGCTCTAAACAGGCAAGGGCAAATTTAGTATATAACCCAGTTTTGCCTTTTTACATGAGCAAATAAACCCTTCTTTAGTTAGCTCTCTCTTCTTCCTTCACTCCAGTTCTTGCTTCATAGTTTAAAGGCAGTTTTAGAAAGTTCCTTGTAGAGTGTTGAACTCTAGTGGGAATTCTACAGCTCTAAAAATATGGCATATTAGTCAGGGTTCTCTAAAGGGACAGGACTAATAGGAAAGATGTATATATGAAAGGAAGTTTATTAAGGAGTATTGACTCACACGATCACAAGGTGAAGTCCCACAGTACGCTGTCTGCAAGCTGAGGAACAAGGAAGCCAGTCCGCGTCTCAAAACCTCAAAAATAGGGGTCAGGCATGGTGTCTCATGCCTGTAATCCCAGCACTTTGGGAGGCCAAGGCGGGCAGATCACTTGAAGTCAGGAGTTCGAGACCAGCCCAGTTAACACGTTGAAACCCCGTCTCTGCTAAAAATATAAAAATTAGATGGGCATGGTGGTGCACGCCTGTAATCCCAACTAGTTGGGAGGTTGAGGCAGGAGAAATGCTTGAACTCGGGAGGCAGAGGTTGCAGTGAGCTGAGATACCATTGCATGCCAGCCAGCCTGGGTGACAAAGTGAGACTCCTTCTCAAAAAAGAAAAAAAAAAAAAAAAAAGGAAATCCGACAATGCAGCCTTCAGTCTGTGGCGGAAGGCCCTAGAGTCCCCGGCAAATCACTGGTGTAGGTTCAAGAGTCCAAAAGCTGAAGAATATGGAGTCCGATGTTCGAAGGCAGGAGGCATCAAGCACAGGAGAAAGATTGTATTAGCCTGTTTTCACGCTGCTGACAAAGACATACCTGAGACTGGGCAATTTACTAAAGAAAGAGGTTTAATGGATTTACAGTTCCACATGGCTGGGGAGGCCTCACAATTATGGCAGAAGGCAAGGAGGAGCAAGTCACATCTTACATGGATGGCAGCAGGCAAAGAGAGAGCTTGTGCAGGGAAACTCCTGTTTTTAAAACCATCAGATTTCATGAGACTCATACACTATTATGAGAACAATGCAGGAAATACCTGCCCCTGTAATTCAGTCACCTCCCACCGGGCTCCTTCTATGACACGTGGGAATTGTGGGAGTTACAATTCAAGATAATATTTGGGTGGTCACACAGCCAAACCATATCAAAGATGAAGGCTGGAAGACAGCCAGTCTAGTCCTTCCATGTTCCTCTGCCTGCTTTTATCCTAGCCACACTGGCAGCTGATTAGATAGTGCCCACCCAGATTGAGAGTGGGTCTGCCTCTCCTATTCCACTGACTCAAATGTTAATCTCCTTTGGCAACACCCTCATAGACACACCCAGGAACAATACTTTGCATCCTTCAATTCAATCAAGTTGACAATATTAGCCATCACAAATTGTGTCACCTTAAAGTCTTTTCTAGGGTAACCCAATTAAATAAACGATTAAGGATACACTAAGTGCCTGCTGGAAAAGCAAACTTAAGCCTACATAGGTGACTCAGAGTGGCATTCTACCCAACACCAACTGAGCTTCAGGGGGCCCTCATGAGGCTCTACAAGGATGTTGGTTGCAAAGAGACTTCTGAATGCTATTATTTCAACTTGACCTGTCCTGATTTTCCTACTCCAGGCTCAGCTGGCCTTGAAATGTGGTATAGCAAGAAAAACATGAGTATGCATTTCAGCTCTAAAATGTAGTAGATGTATGACTTGGTTACTTATCCTATCTGTGCCCCCAGTTCTGTCATCTGTAAAGTAGTAATGATCAAAGCCATTTCACGAGATTGTTGTGAGGATTAAATAATATAAAACATATGAAGTACATAGAGCTCAGTGTTTGGAAATTACACATATATAATTTATAATACCACATACATTTTATTATATTTTAGCTAGATATAGTATAGCTATGTATACTATATCTATGTATTATATATTTATTAAATTATATATTATATATTATTTCCAAGCATATATATGTATAACTCTAATATACAAATTAACTCAAAAGTCTGTTTTATTCAATTCTTACTTATCTCTGATTTCTGTAACCATGGCAATGACTTAACTAAACTGAAATACAGTTGACCCTTGAACAACATGGGTTTCAACTGGGCAGGACCACTTATATGCAAATTTTTAAAATAAAAGTTGCACCAAGTGTGCCTGTCTTTCTTGCCTCTCCTTCCACCTCCTCCATCTCTTCCATCTCTGCCACTCCTGAGACAGCAAGATTAGCCCCTTCTCTCCTCCTCCACCTCAGCTTATTCAACATGAAGATGATGAAGAGGCTGAAGTCCTTTATGATAATCCACTTCCACTTGATGAATAGTCAATATATTTTCTCTTCCTTATGATTTTATAAATAATATTTTCTTTTATGTAGCTTACTTTATTGTAAGAATATACAGTATATAATAAATATAACATATAAAATATATGTTAATCAACTGCTTTTATTATTGGGAAGGCTTCTGGTCAACAGTGGGCTATTAGTAGTTCAGTTTTTAGGGAGCCAAAAGTTATACACAGGTTTTTGACTGTATTGGGGTTGGTACCCAAATCCCTGTATTGTTTAAGGGTCAACTGTATTCACCAAGTTACTAGGTAATGATGTTATTCTATACTCCTGAATCAGTAGATCAAGATGAACTAGGTTGTCAGTATGTTTAAAATAAACATGAAGATTTAGAAAGTGCACTTGGTGCCTGTTTGGGATTCAGTTTATGCCTGGCCACATGGAAGGTATGTGCCTACATGAATAGCTTCCTTTAAGAACTTTGAATTATAAGACTCAAGTGACCTTTCCTGGTCAAGGATACCTCCCAATTATCCCTGAAGTTCACAGCTGGAGAGAAAAAAAGCATCCATGCAATCCTAACAGAGGGAAGATAAGAAAGTTTGTTTTTAACTTCTCTACCTTTTGCCTATGGATATCTTTTTCTTGATGTTCTTACACTGTATCCTTTGCTGTAGTAAATCTTAGCCATGAGTATAGCTTTATATGGAGCTGTGCGAAGTCCTTCTAGTAAATCACGACCTCATGGGTGGTCATGGAACCCTTTAGATGTGAGCGCTATCTATCTACCTAGTCTATCTAGTTATATTACATCTATCTATCAATCAACCAATTAATATATCCACCCATCTATACATTTATTTATCTGGTAATACATACTATGGAATGCCTTGTAGCCATCAAAAACAATGAAGTCTATCTATTTATTCATATATATATATATGTATATTTTTCCTTTTTTCAGCCAAGAAAGCCTATAATGTGGCAATGTAGTCACCAGTTTGCTTCCAGGACCTACATTGATTGAAAGTCCAGAGGGTGCTCAAACAACTATTACTCTGCTTTGCCTCGTGCATTAGAGTGATGATAATAATGGACTAGGAGCTTGGACACCTGGACTCTAATATTATGTAAATCATATATAGAAACCGGGTAAAAGGACCAAATTAACAAGTAAAAGAGATGTAGGTAATGTTCAGATACTGCCCTACACTCCATGAAAGTGCTTTTCAGAAAGGTTAGAGAAGATACAGGTATGATCTCATGTTCAGAAACTTTGAAAATATGATGGCTCAAAAGGAATAACAAATTCTGAAAATTGTAAATTATGCAAATACAAGAGGAAGAAGGAGAGAAAATAATGGTTGAGCTTAGATTAACAGAACATGAGAGAAACAGATGGCGTGAGGTTGTTGGTGATAACACATAATCAAGGATGGGTTCAATGAATGCATGGATTTTCCATGAGGATTAAAGTCTAGAATAAGCTCAAGCTTAAAGTGGCAAACACAAGAAAAGCAGCTGTTTCACCTATGTTCATAGATGTAAGATAAAAAGGGCAAGGCACTTCACAGGGCAGATGATATGATATTAGCAGTTAACAGAGAAGGGATCTCTGTTATGCCAGCTTTTGTTTTCACCTTCATTAAGGCAAATGTTCTTCAAACTTAAAGCACATAGCAGATATCAGAGACAGAGAGTGATTAATTGGTGAGGAAAAACTGATATAAGAGAATCTGGAGCTGGAATTGCTGGCAATATTAGCTATGCCAGGGAATACACATTAGGGAAATGTTGTCAACAGATTATATGTTGCTGTACAGAAAGCAATGACAAGGTGCCCCACTTGTCCTCAGCTGATGACTGGCTTGTCTTCAAGTAATACCTGCATCGCCCTCCTAACTCCAAACCTATATGTGGCCATCCTAACTTCCATTTCTTCTGTGTCAGATGACAAGATATTTTTCTTCTTAGTCTATTGATGATATATTCTTGATTTTCCCAAATACCTTGTTTTATTTACTTATTCATTCACTGATTCATTTAATAGATGTATTCTTCAGACATTGTTCTAGTTGCTGAGAACACAGTGGCAAACAAGACAAAGATATGTTTCTCATGGAACTTGTCTTCTAACGAAGGAAAAAGACAATGAATTAGAAAACAAATAAATATACAATATAATTTCAGATCTGGGAGGTATCATGAAGGACATAAAATAAGGAGATATACAAGAACATGATATGGTGCTGATAACCTATTTTAGATATGCTGGTCTCAAAAGGTCTGTCTGAGGAGATAACATTTGAGCTGAGACCCAAGGAGGCAAGTATATAAAGGGCTGAGAGAATTACAAATGCACCGATCGGGGTAGAAATGAGGTTGACATTAGAGGAACAGAAAGAAGACCAGTGCATTCAAGTCTAGTGAGCACTTGGAAGAGTGATGTAAGGTGAAGTTGAGAGGTCAATAGAGACCATATCAGATAGGGCCCTGTAGAATATAGAATATGGATTTTATTGTAATACTTTAGAAAGGCATTTGAGTTATAATATATTTTAAAGACACTTTTAGTTCCTACATGGAAAATGAATTATGGGAGAGTGCAAAAGTAAAAACAGGTAGAAAAATTAGAAGGTTTTTCCCGTCTAGGTCTGAGATGTAGGTAGCCTGGATGAGAGTGAATTACTACATAAAGTGATTGGTTTTGGATTTTACTTGGAGATGGAGTGACAGGACTTTTTAATGAATTGCATGTCTTCTAGATTTTTTGACTTGAGCAACTGGAGGGGTGATATTTTATGAGATGGGAAAGACAATAGCTTGAGAGTGATGTGAGGAAAGGAGGAAAGAAGAACAGGTTTGGAAGGATAAAATAAGTGTAAAGTCAGATGTCATTCATTTTTTTCTCTCTTTTGTACTTATAGCTTCTCTTCCTCTGATATCTCTTTTTACTAGTAGCCTGCAAACATGCTTATGTCTTTCCCACCCCAATTCTCCTGATATTACTTTAACTCTACTTATCTCTTGAGGTATTGCCCACTTATTTTCTTTCCTTTCAGCAATAAGTTTCTTGAAAGAGTAATTAATAGTCACTCTTACTAATTTTTCTCTCAACATTTTCTCATCTACCATTTGCAGTCTGAAGAGTAATACAAAAGGATAAATAATTGCTTTCTCTTTTTTTTTCTTTTTTACTAACATAATGATTACTATAGAACGCTATATGTAAGCACAAGATGCTGATAAGGCCAAGCTTACAGACTTGTGCTCCACTTAGTCAGCTTTTTCTTGTGCTACTGCTGTAGATAACACTGTAGATTCCAGCCACAGCTGCCTTGGAGACATCTGTGACTTTCTCACGGGAGGCTGAACATAATTGTATGGCTGGAACACCACAGACAAACTTTTTAAAAGACATCTACATGCTCAAAGAATTAAAAGTGACTATCAGCAGGGTTCATTGACCATTTGCGTCCCCCTCAACTCTCAGTAGTTCAGTCCTGTTAAACATTTTGGATGGATTAGCATTGCTTTTGCTCAAGGTCACTCTCTTCTGTTTTTTAAAAAATATTACATCTCACCCTACTTTCTAGGTACCAAGATCATTCTTAAGGATGACATTACAGTCACTTGCTGTTGGCTTTGCTCACAGTCAAGATGTGTGTCTATTCAAATGTAAAAATAAAGTTGATTAGAGATGTTTATCGTGGTGCAAGAAGTTTCATCAGGTAGAACTAAGAAAGCTAGGTTTTTAAAAAGTTAGAAGCTACACAGTTAAGTCAGTTCATCAAAAGTTGTACAAAAGTAGTAGAAGTAATAAATTGCTGCATTAAAATTGCCCATCTACAATTTTTAAGTGGTTTTTATACCTTTTTTATATAAACTATTAATGCTTCTTTGTTCAGTGGCAATATCACACTTCATGAAGTTTTTCTGAGTCACAATTATTGCTGATTGAAATTTTTAGAGTAATGATTTTTCCTGCATAATTTTAATTATTTATATAATTATGCATTTTGATTTAAGGATTTTAATGAATATTTGAAAAAGAGATGTGGCTGGGAGTTCATTTGCTGTCTAGTTTCAAGGTCCTGTTCAAGGGAGGCAGAGTCAGAACATATAGTTGAAAAAATATTGGTCTGGGGACAGGACATGTGGGCTTTATAACCTAGGATTTATTTTTCCTAGGCTTCCTCCATTCAATCTTTCTAGGCATCCATTTTTTCATCCAACAAATGGAGAAAATAATACCTGTTCTATATTCCTCATGGAATTGAATTTTCAGAGACAGTTACAATTTCAAATATTCGAACTCCTTGACAGGACATTTGTCTCAATTTCTGGCTCACAAAGCCCAGTTACATCAAGTGTATGTTTCATAACTAAGGTCGTAGAGAACTAGGAGCTACAATTCAGCCTGGCTTTTATGTCTCTCATTTTATGTGCAATTATCGTTCTCTTTGTCTTTATGGTTTTTATGCTCAGGATAAGAAGCTATACAGCAGGAGAATGGAAAGAGCAGCCATTCACATCCCCTAGTAACCTTCATTTTGTCATTCCTTTTGCAGTTTTTTTTTTCTTTTTGAGAACTATGACAGTTTTCAATTCTTACAGAGACTGAAGGGATGGTAGGAAAATCACAGACTTATGGATCGATTTTAGAGTTGGAAAGACCAATCCCTTGCTTTCAATCGAGTGAAACAACGTTCAGACACAATTCATTCACAGCCATCTATCCTGTATCTTTTGTGGAGGAGGAAGAGTAAGTAGAAGAAAATAGAGTACGGAATTATTGGAAGAGAGTTCCAAAGGATAGGACAAGTGGGCAGCTGGTCAGTGTTAGAGTCACAGGTGCAGTGAGAAAAACATAAAATTTGTGTCTCTCACAGATACATGAAGTCTGGAAGCAGAAACCAAGCAAAGAAACGGGTTCACATGAAAAAGTAGGGGGAACGTTGTCAAGGCCTGTTTGGAGAAGCAATAATGCCACTAAGACCTACTAATTTAAGAAGAAAGTTCCTATGAAATATCGTACAACAGGCTTGATTTCTAGGAATGCATTTCTGAAACAAAGCCTGACATCATGATAGTGCTTATCCCAATGAAATTTCCCATTTCAGTGACTGTAAAACTTCGTAGGCTTCTATAGCTGCAGGATAACAAATTGTTAGGTGAGAATAAAGTGAAGGAGGACAATAAAAAGTAGGAAATGTGTGACTTGAGTGAGGGCTGAGAGAACCATGTGAAGGGTCATTGAGAACCAGATTTAGCTGGTGCTATACGGAGGTTAAGTAGAAGTTTCTCATTTGAACAAAGATCCTCCTGAATAGGAAAAGTTCTTGGTGGTGATAAAAACACCATATATTGTTTTAATATTCTTCAGGATGCCTAGGGCAGATTTGGACATGGCAGAAGTCCACTAATGATTAGAGTTTTGTTTTTTAACAGCAGCACGATCATTTATTTATTCAACAAGCATATTGCATTTATTGAATTGTATGTTTGATATCACAGAAAAATAAAGATGAAAGTGACACAATTACTTGCCCTTGATCTTTTCAGATATAAGCATGCATAAAATTGTAATTCACTTCCAAAAACTTATCTTTTGAAACAGACAACACCAAAACGAGCAAACAAAAAAGATAACTAAGTTTAAAATAATCAGAAAGTTGTCTTTGACACCTTTTTCAGATAATTATCTCAGAAATTGTATATAGTGTACTTTCAAAACCATATTATTTTTCTCATATCTGTAGAAGATACAGTGCTTTATATGTTTTTCATACAAATTTAAAGCTTACTCTTGCCGTTTTGCTGCACGAATCTCTGAGGTACAAACACTTTGCTCTTTGTAATAATGCTTGTTTACCTTGCTGTAAGCAGGAGATCTGCTTGAATGTTTTTTCATTGATTTTTGTCTTTCCGCATACCTTCCATTTGTGATGAGAAATGAATTACAATGCTTATGTTGCACCGAAGTGGACAGCGTTGGCAATCTGATTTATATACACAAGACTGTTTCCATTGACAAAACAAATAGGGTAATATAACCAGAAGGCTAGAAGGAAATTCAGAATGTTATCAATTCACTCTAGCTACAGTCTATAACCATTCAAAAGATAGATGAATCTCTAACCATTTTAAGGTTATTCAATGAAGAATTTCCAATTCCCTTTTGTTATCTGTGCCTAATATTTGCTTCTGACTTCATCAATTATATAGCTAAGTAAAACAGTCAAACTCAAATATTATTTTCTCGTATTGCAACAATATGTGTTTATGTAAATGCAATAAAATAGACTACTAATAGACAGCAATTTCCCCTTGTTAAAGATGGTTTTAGAATTTGCAGCCCTAAAGAGAGCCAACTCTCCCCCTAACCAAGCTTGGGTGAATGTACTTTTTACTTTAATAATCATCAGTTAGCTTCAATTGATCATGATGAAATAACAGCTGCTTAAAATAAGATTATTCTATTGAGCCATGTATTAGGTTGTTGTTGTGTTGCTATAAAGAAATATCTGAGACTGGATAATTTATAAAGAAAAGCAGTGTAATTGGCGCATGGTTCTGTAGACTGTACAGGGAACATGGCACCAGCATCTGCTCAGCTTCTGGGGAGGCCTCAGGGAGATTTTACTCATGGTGGAAGGCGAAGCAAGAGCAGGTATGATGAAAGTGGGAGCAAGAGAGAGCAAGGGGAGAGGTGTTGCACACTTTTAAAAAACTTTTAAGTTCAAGGGTGCAAGTGCAGGTTTATTACATAGGTAAACTTGTGTCATGAGGGTTTGTTGTACAGATTATTTTATTACACAGCTATTAAGCTTAACACCCATTAGTAATTTTTCCTGATTTTCTCCCTCCTCCCATCCTCCATCCTCTGAAAGGCCCCAGTGTGTGTTGTTTCCCTCTGTGTGTCCATGTGTTATCAGTTAGCTCTCCGTTATAAGTGAGAACATGTTGTATTTGGTTTTCTGTTCCTGCGTTAGTTTGCTAAGGATAATGCCTTTAGCTCCATCAATGTCTCTGCAAAGAACATGATCTCAATCATTTTTATGATGTGTATATGCACCACATTTTCTTTATCCAGTCTATCATTGATGGGCATTTAGGTTGATTTCATGTCTTTGCTATTGTGAATAGTGCTGCGATGAACACATGTGTGCATGTATCTTTATAATGGAATGATTTATATTCCTTTGGGTATATACCCAATAATGGGATTTCTGTGTGGAATGGTATTTCTGCCTCTAGGTCTTTGAGGAATCACCACGCTGTCTTCCACATGGCTGAAGTAATTTATACTCCTCCCAACAGTGTAAAAGCCTCCCTTTTTCTTCACAACCTCACCAGCATCTGCTATTTTTTGACTTTTTAATAATAGCCATTCTGCCTGGTGTGAGATGGTATCTCATTGTGGTTTTGATTTGCATTTCTCTAATGATGAGTGATGTTGAGCATTTTTTTCTATGTTTGTTGGCCACATGCATGTCTTCTTTTGAAAAGTGTCTGTTTATGTCCTTTGCCCACTTTTTAAAGGGTTTTTTTTTTTGTAAATTTGTTTAAGTTCCTTATAGATGCTGGATATTAGACCTTTGTAGGATGCATAGTTTGCAAAGATTTTCTGCTGTTATACAGATTGTTTGTTTAGTCTTTTCATAGTTTCTTTTGCTTTGCAGAGCTATTTTGTTTAATTAGATCCCATTTGGCAATTTTTGCTTTTGTTGCAAATTATTTTGGTGTCTTTGTCATGAAATCTTTGCCCATGCCTATGTCCTGAATGGTATTGCCTAGGTTGTCTTCCAGTGTTTTTATAGTTTTGGGTTTTACATTTAAGTCTTTAATCTATCTCGAGTTAATTTTTGTATATGGTGCAAGGAAGGGGTCCAGTTTCAATCTGCATATGGCTAGCCAGTTATCCCAGCACCATTTATTGAATAAGAAATCCTTTCCCCATTGCTTGTTTTTGTCAGGTTTGTGGAAGATCAGATAGTTGTAGGTGTGCTGTCTTATTTCTGGGTTCGCACACATTTAAACAACCAGATCTCATGAGAATTCACTTACTATTGTGGGGACAGCACTAAACCATGAAGGATACACCCCCATGACCCAAACATCTGCCACCAGGCCCCACCTCCAACATTAGGGATTACATTTCAACATGAGATTTAGGTGGAACAAATATCCAAACCATATCAAGCCACTATGACGGAGACATTATTATCACACCATATGGTTCAGAATTAAGAACACGGAAATCATATCATAATGCAAAATTATGATCAGGAATTGGGTCAAAATACCAGGTTATTGGGAAGAGAAGTTAGAAATCAAGGAATAGTAAGCAGGATGTAGAGTATTGGAGGCACACCCCTAAATTGAAGTTAAGACAGGTAGGAATCCTAAACTGGAAAAAGAGAAAACTAGAGAAGCAAATCACCAACATAGAAAATAAGGTTTATGAAGGTGCTGATATTTATAGTGGTGGTTTTGATGGATGTGGCAGTAAGTTATTTCCTCTATCTTGACCTTGTATGTTAGATTAACCTCAGGATACTCAAGCATCTTTAACTAGCTTTTCTCCCTACAGAGTTCAGGCAGAGTCAGAGATGGCACAATCTCTGATTTTTGACTTATCAAAGAATGAGGAAGCTTATTCATGGGGCACATATGCATTTATTACCAACTCATTGTGGTGAAATATGAGGTCTAGTGCAACTGGGCACTGGTCTCTAAACCTAATCAATGCTAATTCTAAACTATGTCAAACAAAAAGAGAATAAGTATTTAAATGAATTAGTCTCTGGGAGTTCCTCTATCCAGATTTTTGGTATTCTGTATTCCAAACATATGAACTGTATCCTGAAGCCTATTATAACAAATACAATTTAGTACATGACAGTAATGACAATTTAAAGTATTTTCTATCAGCCATCAGAATGGTGATATTTAGGCCATTTCTAAATTGATATCAGAAATGTAAAATGGAAAATTCAGTTAATCAGTGAATTAAATACTCAAACCCAAAGGATACGTGACAAATGGATCTTAAAAATACAATTTTTTTTTGTTGACTTTTTCCTTTAAAAAATATTTTGGTGGATTAACTTCCAAAGCATGATTAAAATGCTCATGGCAGTTTTGTTCCTACTGTTTCTAAAGGTTTAAAATAAATTTCTCCTTTCTTCTTATCACAAGAATTTTATATATACAGAAATAACAGATAATGTATTTGTCTTCTATTGAGGGATAAACCAATATTTTATGAACATAACATTTGAGATACACATGAACCTTGTTTTTTACAAGTTGTGGAGAAGGTAGGTTAGATTTGAGCAGCTTGACATTATGTGAATTAGAGTCTTAATCTTCTTATTTATTCATCTGCAAAAGTGTCTTATCTAGTGAAACAGTTTAGTATACTCTAAAATAAAACTCTAAGTCAGATCATCTGTGTTTTGTTTTTATATGGCTTGCTTATTAAGTTTGTGACTCTGGATAAGTCAACTAATCATTCAGAGCTTTTAGTTTGCTCACTTGTTAAATGAGAATAATAATAATAAAATGTCTGTCAATTTGTGTGCCAAATGGAGATAATAATAGTAAGTGAAAGCTTTTTGCAAAATTTAAGTGGTAATATTATTGCTATTTCATTGTTATGTGTCATTCCTCCCTTATTTTTTACTAGTTGTGCTGTTAATTATGGCAACTGTTTCTTGGGAGAAGGGAATTAATTACTGGAGACTAGTACAAGATATCAGTTACTGTAAAATTCACATAATTCCATAGACAAATAAGTGAACCTAATATGGCAAACAATTAGTTGAACTACCTTGATAGCCTTTTGGATAGAATGGAGATATTGTAGTTAAATGAAAATATAAGTAGGTGGGTCTATAAATGCTTGAATGACTAGTCTTAAAAAATCATTGAAGAGTTGATATTAACCTAGTGAAAGAGATTTCTTTTTTCAAAATTGAATTTCAAAAATACCAATATTTTACATTTGTAATTGGGAAAATGAAACATTTCAGAAATTCTAGATAAAACTTTGAAAAGAAATATAGTACAATGCAAATAACAGTAAATGACAATATGTTATGTTAAAATATAAAGTTTCAAATTTCATATAAATGTTCTAAAGCAAATAAAAAATTATTTTCAATATTTCACTTTCCTCAGTTATATAAAAATTTATCATAATAAGAAGACAACATAAAATATACCTTATGACATTTTTAACTGTGCAGTACAGTATTGTTGACCATAGGTACAATGCTGAACAGCACATATCTAAAACTTACTCATCTTGCTTACTTGAAACTTTATGTCTGTGGATTACTAACTCCCTAGTTGCCTCTTCTTTAGCTGCTGGCAGCAATCATTACATTCTTTAATTTTATGAATTTGACCATTTTAGATAAACCATATAAGTGAAATCATGCAGTATATTTCTTTTTGTTACTGGCTTATTTCACTTAGCATAATGTTCTCAAAGCATATCCATGTTTTTACATATTACACACTTTCCTTCTTTTAAAGGGTGGAAGAGCTTTCAAGTATCTGTATATCCTACATTATCTATTCATCTGTTGATGGACATTTAGGTTGTCTCTACATTTTGGCTATTGTGAACAGTGCTGCAGTGAACATGAGAGTGCTAATATTTCTTCAATATCTTGATTTCTTTCTCAAAAATTTTTATTTTAAGTTCGGGGGTACATGTGTAGGATGTGCAGGTTTGTTACACAGGTAAATGTGTGTCATGGAAGGTTGTTGTACAGATTATTTCATCACCCAGGTATTAAGCCTAGTGTCCTCTAGTGATTTTTCCTGATCCTCTCTCTCCTCCCACCCTCCATCCTCTGGTAGGCCCCAGTATGTGTTGTTTCCCTGTGTGAGTCCATGTGTTCTTATCAGTTAGCTTCCACTTATAAGTGAGAACATGTGGTATTTGGTTTTCTATTCCTGTGTTAGTTTGCTAAGGATAATGGCCTTCAGCTCCATCCATGTCTCTGCAAAGGACATGATCTCATTCTTTTTTATGGCTGCATCGTATTTCACAGTGTATATGTACCACGTTTTCTTTATCCAATCTATGATTGTTGGGCATTTAGGTTGATTCCATGACATTGCTGTTGTGAATAGGGCTGCAGTGAACGTATGTGTTCATGTGACTTTATAATAGAATGATTTATATTCCTTTGGGTATACACCCAGTAATGGGATTGCTGGGTCAAACAATATTTCTGTCTCTAGGCATTTGAGGAATCTCCACACAGTCTTCCACAATGGCTGAAGTAATTTACACTTCTTCCAACAGTGTAAAAGCATTCCTTTTTCTCCACAACCTCACCAACATGTGTTATTGTTTGACTTTTCAGTAATAGCCATTCTGACTGGTGTTAGATGGTATCTCATGGTGGTTTTGATTTGCATTTCTGTAATGATCAGTGATGTTGAGCTTTATTTCATATGCTTATTGGCTGCATGTATGTCTTCTTTTGAGAAGTGCAAGATCTTGATTTCAATTCTTTTGGATAAGTACCCCAAAATGGAGTTGCCAGATCATATAGTAATTGTATTTTTAATTTTTGGGGGAAGATCTTAACACTGTTTTCCATAGGCATTGCACAATTTTGCATTTCCAGCAACAACATATCAGGGTTCTGATTTCTTCACATTCTCTCCATCATTTGCTGTCCTTTGCTTTTTTCTTTTGTTTTGTTTTTGATAATAGCCAGCTTGACATGTGTGAGGTGTTATCTCATTGTGGTTTTGATTTGTGGGGGATTTCTTTTAAGATTACTCTATTTTTGGTGCTGTCCAATGCAGTTTTTATCAATCATTTGGGTGAGGATATTAATGAGATGATAAGCAAATATGTGGAGAAATAGCTCAAATTCAGAGTCTCAAAAGATCATGAGAATCCAGAATGATGGGCTGAAACTATCAAAATGAAATTTAATGGAGATAAATGTAAAGATCTACAATTTATTTCTCAAACACAACCCTTCAAGTAAAAGTAGCAGTTATAAAAAAGTTCTGAGTATTTGAATTGACTATAGACACTGACTGATAGAGTAGTTAAGAGATGCCAATATGAAGAACTCAAGAATATCGGAGTTACTTGAAGCCCAGGAGCACATGGGGAAAGTGTCATAGGGTTACCATTTTGCTTTATAATATTACAAATGGATGTAGTTTAACTTTACTTCTTCCTGCTGGTCTTGCTGTCTCTGTATTTCCATATTAGAGTTGAGTGGGAAACTGGCATAAGAATCAGGAGAAGTGAGGGAACTGCACCCAAGCTCAAGAAGAGTGAGAAAATATGGTTACTTTTATTATGTAGGGAGTATATGCCATATATTAATAACATTTGTGTTCTTTGATTTGGACCTTAAATCTCATGATTATTAGAATGTGTAGCATTATGTAAACAAATGATGTTTGTTTTTATAATCAAGATTTTGACTTAGTCTGTGTTGTATTTGCAGTTCTTGTTTGAAGGATTAAAAATAAAAATGTACTAAAAGTTTACAAAATCTAACATATTTTATATAAAATGTAAATTTAAATAAAAATATTTTTGAAAAGTTATTTTTCTTCTAAAATATTAAAATTAACAAAACTAAAAAGCAAAATTAATGACACCATTTCAACCAAGATTATGTAACATTTAAATATGTTATATTCAGTTTTAGTACTTAATTTTTTATTTTTGTGGGTACATAGTAGATGTATATATTTATGGAGTACATGAGGTATTCTGATACAGGTATGCAATGTGAAATAAAGCACCTCATGGAGAATGGGGTACCCATTCTCTGCAGTATTTATTCTTTGTGTTACAAACACTCCAATTACACTTTTAGTTATTTTTAAAGAAGTTATTATTGACTATAGTCGCCTGTTGTGCTATCTAACAGTAGGTCTTACCCATTCTTTCTTACTTTTTTGTTCCCATTAACCACCTCCACTTCTCCCCCAGCCCCCTAGTACTATTCCAAGCTTCTGGTAACCATCCTTCTACTCTCTATGACCATGAGTTCAATTGTTTTGAGTTTTTTGTTTGTTTGTTTGTTTCAATCACTATTATCAAGATATATCTTTTAAAAATTTTCATTTTTTATTTCAATAGGTTTCTGGGGAAGAGGTGGTGTTTGGTTACATGAGTAAATTCTTTAGCAGTGATTTCTGAGATTTTGGTGCACCTAGCACCCGAGCAGTGTACACTGTACCCAATGTGTAGTTGTTTATCTCTCACCATACCCCACCCTTTCTCCCAAGTCCTCAAAGTCCAATGTATCATTCTTATGTCTTTATGTCCTCATAGCTTAGCTCCCACATATGAGTGAGAACATACAATGTTTGATTTTCCATTCCTGAGTTACTTCACTTAGAATAATGGTATACAATTCCATCCAGGGTGCTACAAATGCCTTTATTTTGTTCCTTTTTATGGCTGAGTAGTATTCCATGGTGTATACATATGTATTTGAGTTTATTTTTTTGTAGATTCTGGATATTAGTCCTTTGTCAGATGTATAGATTGTGAAGATTCTCTCACTCTGAGTTGTCTGTTAACTCTGCTGATTATTTATTTTGCTGTGCAGAAGCATTTTAGTTTAATTAAGTCCATCTATTTATCTTTGTTTTAATTGCATTTGCTTTTGGATTCTTGGTTATGAAGTCTTTGCCTAAGCCAACATCTAGAAGGGGTTTTCTGATGTTATCTTCTAGAATGTTTATGGTCTCAGGTCTTAGACTTAGGACTTTGATACAGCTTGAGTTAATTTTTGTGTAAGGTGAAAGATGAGAATTCAGTTTCATTCTTCTACACGTGGTTTGCCAATTATCCCAGCACCATTTGTTGAATAGAGTGTCCTTTCCCTACTTTATGTTTTTGTATGCTTTGTTGATGATCAGTTGGCTGTAAGTATTTGAGTTTATTTCTGGGTTCTTTATTCTGTTCCATTGGTCTATGTGCCTATTTTTATATGAGTCCCATGCTGTTTTGGTGACTATGGCTTTAGAGTATAGTTTGAAGTCAGAAAATGTGATGCCTCCAGATTTGTTCTTTTTGTTTAGTCTTCCTTTGGCTATATGGGCTGTTTTTTTGGTTCCATTGACTTGCTCCAGTGGAGGTAGCAGAGGAGTGAAGTGGACTCTGTGAGGGTCCTTGCTTGTGTTTTTGTTTAGTGGGCTGGTTTTGTGTTGATTTGGCCTCCAGCCAGGAGGCAGGCACTTTCAAGAGTGCATGAGCTGTGGTCCTATAGGGAGGAGGCAAACTTGCCCTAGGGACACCTGGTTAAGTATTCAAGTTTCTCAGGTGGTGGGAAGGGCAATAGAGCTCCCAAGAGAGTATGTCCTTTGTCTTTGCCTACTAGGGAGGGTAGAGAAAGACCACCAGGTAGGGGCAGGGATGGGCATGTCTGAGCTCAGCCTCTTCTTGGGCAGGGCTTGCTGCAGCTGCTGTGGGTGATGGGGGTGTCATTCCCAGTCCAATGCTGTTATATTCCCAGGAGGATTATGGCTGCCTCTGCTGAGTCATACAAGCTGCCAGAAAAGTGGGGGAGACCTGGCAGTCACCGGCCGTATCCTGCTCCCATGCAGCTCACAGTCCTAAAGGCCAGTCTCACTCCCACCATGCCCCACCCAACAGCACCAAGTCTATTTCCAGGCAGCCAGTGATCAGGGCTGAGAACTTGCCCCAGACCATGAGCCTCCCCACTGAAAGCAAATGAACCCACAGGTTTTCTGCATCTCAGGGAGCCTACAGCAGTGATCCAGTTCCTTCAAAGGGTCTGTGGATTCTCTTGGCTTTCCTCCTATGTTCCTGTGGTGGTTCTTGGAACTACAGTTTACAACGTGACTATCCCCATGCTGCTCTGTCCATCCGAGTGGAAGCTGCAAGCTAGTCCTGCCTTGAAATACATCTGGATTACCTGTTTTGAGTTTTAGATGCCACAAATAAGTGGCAATTTGTGATGTTTGTTTTTCTGTGCCTGGCTTATTTCACTTGGCATAATGATCTCCAGTTCCATCTATGTTTTTGCAAATTACAGGATCCCATTCTCTTTTGTGAATGAATAATACTCCATTGTGTAGAAATACTACATTTTCCTAACACGGTGAAACCCCATCTCTACTAAAAATACAAAAAATTAGCCAGGCATGGTGGCAGGCACCTGTAATCCCAGCTACTCGGGAGGCTGAGGCAGGAGAATCCCTTGAACCTGGAAGGCAGAGGTTGCAGTGAGCCGAGATCGTGCCACTGCACTCCAGCCTGGGTGACAGAGTGAGACTTCATCTCAAAAACAAAAATGAAAGACAAAAAAGAAATACCACATTTTCTGTATTCATTCACATGTTGGGTGGATGCTTAGGTTGATTCCAAATCTTAACTATTGTGAACAGTGCTGCAACAATCCTCTCTCTCTGTCTCTCTCTGACTTCCTTTCTTTTTGGTATATATTCAACAGTGGAATTGCTGGATCCTCTGGTAGCTCTATTTTTAGTTTTTGTTTTTTTCTAAGAAACCTCCAAACTGTACTTCATAGTGTTTGTACTGGCTTACATTTCCAACAGTGAACAAGAGTTCCCTGTTCTCAACGTCCTTGCCATCATTTGGTAATGCCTGTCTTTTGGATGTAAGCCATTTTAACTGGGGTGAGATGATATCTCATTGTAGTTTTGATTTGCATTTCTGTGATAGTCAACAATATTGAGCACATTTTCATATGCCTGTTTCCCATTTGTATGTTTTCTTTGAAAAATGCCTACTCAAATTTTTTGCCCATTTGTGGTTCAGATTATTAGATTTTGTCCAATAGAGTTCTTTGAGCTCCTTATATATTCTGCTTATTAATTCCTTGTCAGATGGGTAGTTTACAAATATTTTCTCCCATTCTGTGGGTTGTCTCTTGACTTTGTTGATCGTATCCTTTGCTGTGCAGAAACTTTTCAACTTGTTGTGATCTCATTTGTCCATTTGTGCTTTGGATGCAGGCACTTGTGGGGTATTGCTTGAGAAAGTCTGGTCAGACTAATGTCCTGGAGATTTTCCCCAATGTTTTCTTGTGCTAGTTTTATAGTTTGAGGTCTCAGATTTAAGTCTTTAATCCACTTTGATTTGACTTTTGTATATGGTGAGATATTGAGGTTTAGTTTTATTCCTCTGCATACTGATATACAGTTTTCCCAGTGCCATTTGTTGAAGAGACTGTCTTTTCCCCAGTGTTTGTTCATGGCCCCTTTGTGGAAAATGAGTTTGCAAGTGTGTTGATTTGTTTCTGGGTTCTCTATTCTGCTTCATTGATCTATATGTCTGTTTTTATGCAATTACAATGCTGTTTTGGTCACTATAGCTCTGTAGTATAATTTTAAGTCGGGTACTGTGATTTTTCCAGTTTTTTTTTTTTAATTTAGTATAGCTCTGGCTATTCTGGGTCTTTTGTGGTTTCATATAAATTTTAGGATTGTGATTTCTATTTCTGTGAAGAATATCCTTGGTATTTTGCTAAGGATTGTATTTAATCTGTAGATTGTTGTGGGCAATATGGACATTTAAATAATATTGATTCTTTTACTCCATTAACATGGAATATTTTTCCAATCTTGGTGTCCTCTTCAATTTCCTTCATCAGTGTTTTATAGCTTTCATTATAGAGGTCTTTCACTTCTTTGGTTAAGTTAATTCCTGGGTATTTCATATTCTTTGTGACTGTTGTAAATGGGATTATGTTTTCATTTCTTTTTCAGATTGTTTACTGTTGGCATATAGAAATGCTACTGATTTTTGTATGTTGATTTTGTATCCTACAGCTTTACTGATTTTGTTTATCAGTTCTAACCGTTTTTTGGTGGAGTCTTTAGGTTTTCCCAAATATATGATCAAATCATCTGTGAGAAAGAATAATTTGACTTCTTCCATTTCAGTTTGGATACATTTTATTTCTCTTGTCAGATTGCTCTAGCTAGTACCTCCAGTACTGTGCTAAATAACAGTCATGAAAGTGGGCATCCTTGTCATGTTTCAGATCTTACAAGAAAGGCTTTTAGTTTTTTCCCATTCAGTATGATACAAGCTGTAGATCTTTCATATTTGGCTTTTATTATCTTGAAGTATGTTCCTTTTATTCTCAGTTTCTTGAAAGATTTTTTTATCATGGAGGGATGTTGAATATTATCAAATGCTGTGTCACTCTCAGTTGAAATGATCATATGGTTTATGTTTAATGACCATATGGTTTATCCACTTTGTTGATATTATGTACCACACTGATTGATTTGTGTATGTAGAAACATCCTTGCATCCCAGGGATAAATCCCACTTGGTCATGATGAATGATCTGTCTAATGTATAGTTGAATTTGGTTTGCTAGAATTTTGTTGAGGATTTTTGCATCAATATTCATCAGAGATATTTGCCTGTAGTTTTTTTTTTTTTTTTTAATGTATCTGTGTCTGGTTTTGGTGTCTGGGTAATACCTGTTTGTAGAAACAGTGTGGAAGCATTCCTTCCTCCTCTGTTTTTTGTATAGTTTGAGTAGGATTGGTATTAGTTCTTCTTTAAATGTTTGGTAGAAACCCAGAAGTGAAGCCATCAGATCCTGGGCTTTTCTTTACTGGGAGACTTTTTATTACAGCTTCAATCTCTTTACTTGTTATTGGTCTATTCAGGTTTTGAATTTTTCCAGTTTGAAATTTGGTAGATTCTATGTATCTAGGAATTTGACCATTTCTTCTAGATTTTTTACTTATTTATTAGCATATAGTTGCCCACTAATGATCCTCTGAATTTCTGCAGTATCAGTTTTAATGTCTCCTTTTATCTCTAAAGTTATTTATTTGGTTTTTTTCTTTGTTAGTCTGGATAAAGATTTGTCAGTTTTGTTTGGCTTTTCAAAAAAACCAACGTTTGTTGTATTCATCTTTTCTATTATTTTATTTCAATTTTTCTTATTTCTGCTCTGAGCTTTATTATTTCTATTCTTCTACTAATTTTGGGTTTGGCTTGCTCTTGCTTTTCTAGTTCTTTAAGACACATGATTAGATTGTTTATTTGAGGCTTTTCCTCTTTTTTCTGTAGGCACTTATAGCTATAAACTTCCCTCTTAGTCCTCTACCTTCTCTTTAAGGTCAATAACTCATTTTATTTTACTTTAAGTTCTGGGAAACATGTGCAGAATGTGCAGATTTGTTACATATGTATACATGTGCCATGGTGGTTTGCTGCACCTATCAACCCATCATCTAGATTTTAAGCCCCACGTGCATTAGGTATTTGTCCTAATGCTATGCTCTCCCTCCCATTGCCCCCCACCTCCCAACAGGCCCCAGTGTGTGATGTTCCCCTCCTTGTGTCCATGTGTTCTCATTGTTCAGCTCGCACTTATGGGTGAGAACATGTGGTGTTTGGTTTTCTGTTCCTGTGTTAGTTTGTTAAGAATGATGGTTTCCAGCTTCATCCATGTCCCTGAAAAGGACATGAACTCATTCTTTTTTATGGTTGCATAATATTCCATGGTGTATATGTGCCACATTTTCTTTATTCAGTCTATCATTGATGCGTATTTGGGTTGGTTCCAAGTCTTTGCTATTGTAAATATTGCTGAAATAAACATACGCATGCATGCGTCTTTATAGTAGAATGATTTATAATCCTTTGGGTATATTCCCAGTAATGGGATTGCTGGGATATTTCTGGTTCTAGATCCTTGAGGAATTGCCACACTGTCTTCCACAATGGTTGAACTAACTTATATTTCCACCAACAGTGTAAAAAGGTTCCTATTTCTCCACAGCCTCGCCACCATCTGTTGTTTCCTGACTTTTTAATGATCAACATTCTAACTGGCATAAGATGGTGTCTCACTGTGGTTTTGATTTGCATTTCTCTTATGACCAGTGATGATGAGCTTTTATTCATATGTTTGTTGGCTGCATAAAATATCTTCTTTTGAGAAGTGTCTGTTCATATCCTTCATCCACTTTTTGATTGGGTTGTTTTTTTCTTGTAAATTTGTTTTAAGTTCCTTGCAGATTCTGGATATTAGACCTTTGTCAGATTGGTAGATTGCAAAAATTTTCTCCCATTCTATAGGTTGCCTGTTCACTCTGATGATAGTTTCTTTTGCTGTGCAGAAACTGTTTACTTTAATTAGATCCCATTTGTCAATTTTCGCTTCTGTTGCAATTGCTTTTGGTGTTTTAGTCATGAAGTATTTGCCCATGCCCATGTCCTGAATGGTATTGCCTAAGTTTTCTTCAAGGGTTTTTATGGTTTTGGGTTTTATATTAAGGTAATAACTCTTAGATTTTCCATCTTGAGGCTATTTTCTAGATTCTGTAGGCATGCTTGTTTTTCATTATGTTTTCTTTCATCTCCTCTGACTTTGTATTTTCAAGCAGCCTGTCTTCAAGCTCACTTATTCTTTCTTTTGGATGTTCAATTCTGCTATTAAAAGGCTCTGATGCATTTTTCAGTATGCCAATTGCATTTTTCAGCTCCAGAATTTCTGCTTGATTCTTAATTATTTCAACATATTTGTTAAATTTATTTGATGAAATTCTAAATTGTTTCTCTGTGTTTTCTTGAATTTCATTGAGTCAACTACAGCTAGTTTGAATTCTCTGTCTGAAAGGTCACATATGTCTTTTTTTCCTGGATTGGTCCCTGCTGTCTTATTTAGTTCACTGGGTGAGGTCATATTTATCTGGTTGGTGTTGATGCTAGTAGATATTCTTCAGTGTCTGGACATTGAAGAGCTAGGTATCTATTCCATTGTGGTCAGAGAAGAAGCTTCAAATTATTTCAATGTTTTAAGACTTGTTTTGTGCCCTAATATGTGGTCTATCCTTGAGAATGATACACGTGTTGATGACAGTAATGTGTATTCTGCCACCATAGGATGAAATGTTTTGTAAATGTCTATTGGGTCCATTTGGTTTATAGTGCAGATTAAGTCTAAAGTTTCTTCGTTGATTTTCTGTCTGGAAGATCTGTCCAAGGACTTGGGTGTTGTGATCTAAGCTGTGTCTGCTTTAGGAGGCACACCAAGCAAAGTAATGCTGTGGTCCTTCAGACTCATCAAGGTACTGCCTTGATGGTCTTGGATAAGTTCTGGGATAATTCTGTAGATTACCAGGTAGAAACACTTGTTCTCTTCCCTTACTTTCTCCCAAAGAAGCAAAGTCTCTCTCTCTGTTCTGAGCCACCTAAAGCTGGGCTGGTGTGACATAAGCACTCCTGTGGCCACCACCACTATGACTATGCTGGGTCATACCTGAAGCTAGTACAGTGCTGGATCTCACCCAAGGCCTGCCATAACCACTTCCTGGCAACTGTCTATTTTCCCTCAAGGCCCTGAGGCTCTACAATCAGAAAGTGGCAAAGTCAGCCAGGCTTGTGTTCTTCCCTTTAGAGTGGCATCTTCCCCGGTCCCCAGGTGGGCCCAGATGTGCTGTCCAGTAGTCAGGATCTAGAGTCCAAAACCTTAGAAGTCTACTTGGTGTTCTATCTTACTGTGGCTGAGCTCACACACCAAACACAAGAAGCAGTCTTTCCTACTCTTTCCTTCCCTTTGCAAAGGCACAGGAGCCTCATCCCATAGACACTGCCATCACAGAGCATGAGGAGTACTGCCAGACTACTGCCAATGTTCCTTTAAGGCCCAAAGGCTCTTAAATTATGTTGGGGTGAATGCTGCCTGACCTAGACCTTATCCTTCAGGGCAGTGGGCTTCCCTCCAGCTCAGGACAGGTCCAGAAAGGCCATCCAAAAGTCAAGGGATCCCAAGAGCCTGATTGGTGTTCTACTCCCCTGTGGCTGTGCTGGTAGCTAATGTTCAAGACAAAGTCTCCCTTACTTTTCTGTCTGCTTTTCTCAGGCAGAACGAGTTTTGCCCTATAGACACTACAACTGGGAATGTGTTGAGTCTCACCTGAAGCCAACAAGACTCAGAGGCTCACCCAAGGTCCTTGATGTGGTACCTGAGTATCGCTGCTCAATATTTTGGGTCCAATGGCTCTTCAGTTAGCAAGAGATGAATGGTGCCAGGACTGGGTGTTTTCCTTCAAAGCAACGGGTTCCCTCTGGCCCAGGGTGTGTCTAAAAATGTTATCTAGGAGCTAGGGCCTGGAACACGGGCCTCATGATTCTGACCAGTGCCCTATCCTGCTGTGGCTGAGCTGGTACCTAAGATGCAAGACAAAGTCCTCCCCGCTCTTCTCTCTCCTCTCCTCAAGCAGAAAGAAGGGATCACTTTTGGAGCTGTGAGCTGTGCCACCTGAGGATAGGAGAGGGGAGATGGCAACACTTTTTAGCTGCCCCAGCTGGTGTCTCAGTAAGTCATGTGATTCCCCCCCTTCACTGTCTTGGGCCTAGGTCAAGACTAGAACTCACCTAAGATTTGCAGTCCTTCTGGCCTAGGCTGCTTTTCAAGTTTACATAGAGACCCAGAACACTTTAGCTCTCAGTGGCAAGGCTTGTGGCAACTCAAGTTCTGACTGCTGGGATTAGTGATTCCTCTCTGGCTGGGGCTGTTTTAAATGCTCCCTCTGTGAGCAGGCATCAGCTGAGTTTGCTCCTGTTTTCATTTTTGCTCCAACAGAACAGCACTGAGTTTAATGCCTCATGATTACTGTGCTCTTCCTCTCTCAAGGCCCAGAGATGCTCTCCATACCACACTGCTGGGGCTGGCATGGGGTGAGAGGGTGGAAAGGTTGCTTGGGGATGGAGGGTTGGCATCAGTGATTCAAGACTGTTTTTTTTCTATCTCTTAAGTGCCTCTTTCAAGGATATGAAGTTAATACCAGGTACTATGAGCACTCACCTGATTTTTGGTTCTTATGAAGGTGCTTTTTCTGTATAGACAGTTCTTAACTTGGTGTCTTTGTAAAGAGGATGATTGGTGGAGCTTTCTATTCTGCCATCTTGCTGTGCCTCTGGTCTATTTTATTAAGGCCCTCAATTGATTGGATCCGGTCCACCCACATTATGGAAGGTAATCTGCTTTACTCAGAGTCCACTGATTTGAATGTTAATGCCATATGAAAAACACCTTCACAGAAACATCTAGAATTATGTTTGACCAAATATCTGGGTACCATGATCCAGCCAAGCTGTCATACAAAATTAACCATCACATCTACTTAGTTTTAAAGTTCTGAAATTCTTCATACTTAAATCTCTGAGTTTGCTACTTAAATAAGAGGCATCAAACTACTTGATATAATTAACTAGAATTAAAAATATAGCATAGAAGCATTAATGAAACTCCCTTTAAGACATGTTCTATAACCTCACATTAGAACAGCAATGTTTCAATTCATTCAACAAAATATTTTCAACCATCTAAAACCTGCCAATGCAACATCATGCTGTACATGGAAGATGATATGGAGAGCATAAACAAGCATGGCACCTGCCCTCATGGTATTATAGTTTGGTAAGCTGATGTAACCAGATATCAACTAAAGGTTCACATAAATAAATGTAAAGTTACAACTGGAATGAATGCTAAGATGTATACAGTACTTCGGAATCTTTTTATGAGACTTCTGTCTGAATGATTCGAAAGCAACATTTGAGCTGAGATATGATGGTTGATGAGACATTAACTAGGCAAAAGCTTTGAAGAAACTAGTGTGTGGTACCACCTGTATTGGGAGGAAACATGGTGAATATGAGTGTCTGAGAGAAGGCTAGTGTAGTTAGGAAAAAGCAAGACATGATTCAAATAATGTAGATGTATTTACGGACAGAACCATCAGAAGTCTTGATGAGCATATTAAGGAATCTTGCCTTAACCCTAAGCATTAAAGGAAAACACTAAAGATTTTTAAGCAAGAGGTAAACATCAGCAGATTTTCTTTCAAACACTTCATTCTGACTGTGGAGAACAGATGGAAGGGAGTGGAAAATGGATGGAAATTAAACCAATTAATAAGTTATTAATTTTTAAAGCAAAAGAAAATGAAAGCTTAGATTAAGGAGGTGATAGAGATGGAAAGAAGTAGATGTATTGGAGAGATGTTCAAGTTGGTTCAATGATACACTGTAATATGGAGTGAAGGAGAGAACATTTGAATATGTGGTCTTGAAGTTCAGGGGAGAGGTTTGTTCTGGAAATATGTAATTTTGAGTAACTTTCCTATAAGTGGAAAATATTTCAGCAGTTTTTGACCTCTTCATTTTCTTGATCAGAAAAATCAAGAAATAGGTGGATTGACTTTTCCAAAGTTATATAGCTTAAAGTAAACTGCCTACATTGAGACTCCAGGTATTTTTAATCCATAGATTGCAATTAAGCACAGACACACACACACAATCCATATGGTTTCACTTTAGGAATCTGGATCATACTGCAGGTGTGAATAAATTTAAAATAATTTTTTCACTAGGAGTGAATGATAACATTAAGAGTATAATGCTTATTTTTATAAGGTAACATACTAATTCTATACTGAGTTTACTGAGCTATATAGTAGACAGAAACCTCCTAATATAAAAACTGTATGGTCTTTTTAAATGCCACTCAAATAACCGTGTGACTAACTTTGGAATTAGGATGTTTAAATGAAAACACAAGTCATTTCACATATTCTGATGTAAATTAGTCCCAGGGGAAATCTCTTCAAATGGAATTTTTAAGGTTTCTTTGAACTGACTCCTATAATTTCCCAGGGGAGAAAAAATGAATAACAATCTACCTATGAAAGAGTTATTTAATTATACCCCCATATGCCCAATATCTTGATTTACATAATTTATTTTGAGATGCAAGGCCTGTTCTTTTCCTTAGCCTGAAAATATAATCACATTTTAAATTCCACTCTTTTAATATCCATAAATGTGTTGGCTATTTGCTCAGTACCAAGTATTGTGTTAGGTATTGTGGGTAATTACAACTACAAAACAAAACAAAAGCTTATGTCATGATTCTTGCACTTCATGTATATTCAAACTTATTGAGACTAGACTTTGATTAAAACTTAACAACAATATGTAAGTATTCTAAAATTTAATAAATGATATTGACTATCAATTATATTGAAATTCCCAGAAGGAAGATTAACCACTCTTGTCTAGTAATTTGGATAGCTTCATGAAGAAAGAGGGACTTGAGCTAGGTAGTAAAAGAGAGAGAATTGGAAATTTTTATCTCATTGTCTTCTTGCCCTTATATTTTGAACAGAACCTAGCTCATCCATAATCCCTGCCACCATATTTTGTTCTACATGTTTCCTATGCCCTTCACCATACCAGCTACGTGGTTGCCTATCTGACCCATGAACAATCAATCCAAGGACTGTTCAGTGACCCATATCGTAGGCTGACACAAAGAAATCAGCAGGGCCAACCAGATTCCTGGTTTCTAAATTTTCACTTAAGAATACTGACAGATTGAAATGTTAGCAGAGGAAATCTTGACATATATAGGATAGAGAGGCTATGATAACCATTTCCAAGCCTGTCTTATAAGGAAGTAGGAAATGTGAGGGGGCAGAAAATTTGAAGAAGCAGAAAAGTCTATTTGGTAGAGAGAAGAAAGAAAAGAAGAGTAAATGCACAGAGTGAGATTTAAAGTAGGAAATCAGAACTGGAAAGACCATTATGGCCCATAAGAGAAAAACAGAGGATAGCCAATTTTCAGAGCTTCCTCAGTTACTAGTGGCTTCCAAGTTAAAATTTTAGTTTTAGTACACATATTTCCTTACGATAAATTTCCTCACTACCTTATTGATATTACTTAGACTAGCTGCATTTATTGCAGTATAAAGAACCAAATTAAAATAGAAAATTTCTATTCAGATAAGTATAGAAGTTGGGTGTATTTCAAATAGGAGGGTATAATATAAACCAATGTATGCAGGAATAGGAATATAGTATGTTAGAGGGACTGGTAACATGATAACATTGGCAAAAGTTATAAGTGTGAGTTGAAGGAGTGATAACATAAGATTAGCTATATAGGATGGGCCCAAATTCTAGTATCCTTGCAAAATAAGTTGAATAATTTGGTTGAAATCTTGGATGTTGTGATAGTCAACATCCAAGTGATACAGTAAATGCAGTGTTGGAAGAAGGGTAATTTAAAAGATAAATTAATTGGAGCAATGGCACTAGCTTGGAAACTACTGCAGGAATTCAGGGATGAGGTAAGGCACGGGCCATAATGACAAACATACAGCAGGCATTCCACTATCCCTCATTCCTATGCCCATTCTGTGCATTGTTTTTTGCTTATGGCACTCTATCTAATCTGTTGAACATGGTTTAACTGTAATGTAAACTTAAGAGTAAAAAAAGTTTGATAATGCTGAAAAGAAAATAACATCTTTTTTATTACCTTTCCAAAAATACTATTGTCAATATAAGCCTTATAAAACCTCCAAATTTGTTTTTTACTAGAAATTCCATAAAGATATTAATTAATTAATTTTATGGAGAAATGCTTGGCTTAGTTGCTGCAGAATTCTTCCCAAATTTCAAGTTTATGTATTGCATAGTAACTGATTGTGGTAAACAAAGCTCAGACCAATTTTTTAGCATAGGGATGCTGCAAGTGTATTCCTAAGACAAGAGGCCTTAATTTTCTTGGCACTTGTTACTATGTAGTGAGCTTTTCAGAATAAAGTCTAGAGCTATGTGGACACTTTGGAGCTCTGATGAAACATAGATAGCGATAGCTTTACAAAATTCTTATTACATTCACCAGGGTGAGAATATTATGGAATTGTTGCACTCTGTAATATACTGCTCACTGTCTTTTGTCAATAAGAGAATCTTTAATCCAGGCACTCTTTAAAAATATCCTATATTTTCCCAAGAAGAGGTATGCAAATGAAATGTCACTAAATCTAAAGCATATTTTCCCACTTATTACTGCTTTCTTGCATCCCATATTTTTTTCTTTTTAATTTTTAAGTTGTATGGGTACATAATAACTGTATGTATGGAGTACATAATATATATTGATACAGGAATACAATGCATAATAATTACATCAGGGTAAATGGGCTTTCCATCACCTTAAGCATTTATCTTTTTGTTACAAACATACTAAATATACCCTTTTAGTTATATTGAAATGTACAATAAATTATTGATGACTATAATCACCCTGTTGTGCAATCAAATACTACATCTTATTCATTGTACGTAACAATATTTTTGTGCCCATTAACCATCTCCACTTCTTCCTATCCCACTACCCTTCTCAACAGCTGGTAATGATCATTCTACTCTGTATCTCCATGAGTTCAATTGTTTTAATTTGAAGCCCCCACAAATGAGTGAGAACATGCAAAGTTTGTCTCTCTGTGCTTGGCTTATTTCAGTTAACATAATGTCCTCCAGTTCCATTCATGTTGTTGTAAATGACAGAATTTCATTTTTATGAAGCATTTCATTTTTACGAGCTGAATAGTACTCCATTGTGTGTATGTTCCACATTTTCTTTGTTCATTCGTCTGTCGATGGACATTTACGTTGCTTTCAAATTTTGGCTATTGTGAATAGTGCTGCAATAAAGAAGGCAGAGCAGATATCTCCTCAATATACTGATTTCCTTTCTATTTTTTTTTTTTTTTTTTTTGAGACGGAGTCTCGCTCTGTCGCCCAGGGCAGAGTGCAGTGGCACGATCTCGGCTCACTGCAAGCTCCGCCTCCCGGGTTCATGCCATTCTCTTGCCTCAGCCTCCTGAGTAGCTGGGACTACAGGCGCCCGCCACCACTCCCAGCTAATTTTTTGTATTTTCAGTAGAGACGGGGTTTCACCGTGTTAGCCAGAATGGTCTCAATCTCCTGACCTCATGATCCGCCTGCCTTGGCCTCCCAAAGTGCTGGGATTACAGGCGTGAGCTGCCGCGCCTGGCCTGATTTCCTTTCTTTTGAGTCCATATCTAGCAGTGGGATTGCTAGATTATATGACAGTTCTATATTTAGTTTATTGTGAAACCTCAATAATGTTTTCCAAGTGGCTGTGCTAATTTGCATTCCCACAAACAGTGTACAAGGATTCCCTTTTCTTATTGCCTCATCAGCATTTGTTATTGCCTGTCTTTTGAATAAAAACCATTTTAATTGGGCTGAGATGATATCTCACTATAGTTTTGATTTGTATTTCTTTCATGATCAGTGATGTTGGGCAACTTCTCATATACCTGTTTGCTATTTTTATTTGTATACTTTTATTTCTTCATCTTATTTATATATTTATTTTCATTTTTAATTTTTGTGGTTATATAGTAGTGTGTATTTGTGGGGTACATGATACGTTTTGATACAGGCATGCAAAATGAAATAATCACATCATGAAGATATGGTGTATCCATGCCCTCAAGCATTTATCATTTCTATTCCAAACAATTCAATTACACTCTTTTAGTTATTTTTAAATGTACAATTAAGTTATAATTGACTACAGTCACCCTGTTGTGCAATCAAATAGTATGTCTTATTCTTTCTATTTTTTGTTCCTCTTAACCATCCTGACCTGCCCCTAGTCCCCCACTATCCATCCCAGCCTCTAGTAATAATCCTTCTATTCTCTATACCCATGATTGTTTTGATTTATCACATGATTTATCACATGATTATTTGATTTATCACAAATAAATGAGAACATGTGATGTTTGTCTTTCTGTGCCTAGCTTATTTCACTTAACGTAATGATCTCCAGTCCCATCCATGTTGTTGCAAATTACAATATCTCATTCTTTTTTATGGCTGACTAGTACTTTATTGTGTATATGTACCACATTTTTTTTACTCATTCGTCTGTTGATGGACGCTTAGATTGATTCCAAATCTTAGTTATTGTGAACGGTGCTGCAACAAACATGCAAGTGCAGATATGTCTTCAATATACTGATTTCTTTCTTTTGGGTGTATACCCAGCAGTAGGATTGCTGTATCGTAGGGTAGTTCAATTTTTAGTTTTTTGAGGATCATCCAAACCATTCTTCATAGTAGTTGTACTGATATACATTCCCACCAACAGTATATGAGGGTTTTCTTTTCTCCACAGTCTCACCAGCATTTGTTATTGTCTTTTGTATATAAGCCATTCCAACTTGGGTGAGATGATATGCCATTGTAGTTTTGATTTGCATTTATCTGATGATCAATGATGTTGCCATTTACATGTCTTCTTGTGAGAAATGTCTTTTCAAATCTTTTGCCCATTTTCGGATCTGATTATTAGATTTGATCTTATAGAGTTGTTTGAGCTCCTTATATATTCAGGTTAATAATCCCTTGTCAGATGGGTAGTTTGTAAATATTTTCTCCCATCCTGTGGGTTGTCTTTTCACTTTTTTTATTGTATCCTTTCTTTGCAGAAGCTTTTCAACTTCATGTGATCCTATTTGTCCATTGTTCCTTTGGTTGCCTGTGCTTGTATTGTTCAAGAAATTTGTGCCAAGACCAATATCCTGATGAGTTTCACTGATGTTTTCTTGTAGTAGATTCATAATTTGAGGACTTACATTTAAGTTTATAATCCATTTTGATTTGATTTTTGTATACGGTGAGAGATAGGGGTCAACTTTCATTCTGCTGCCTATTGATATCCAGTTTTCCCAGAACCATATATTGAAGTGGTTATCTTTTCCCCAGTGTTCTTGGCACCTTTGTCGAAAATAAGTTCACTGTAGGTGTGCAAATTTGTTTCTGAATTTTATGTTCTATTCCATTGGTCTACATGTTTGTTTTTATGCCATTGCCATGTTGTTTTGGCTACTATAGGTCTTAGTATAACTAGAAATCAGGTAATGTGATTCCTCCAGTTTTGTTCTATTTGCTTAAAATAGCTTTGGCTATTCTGGGTCTTGTGGTTCCATATAAATTTTAGGATTGTTTTTTCTATTTCTGTGAAGAATATCATTTGTATTTTGATAGGGGTTGCACTGAATCTGTAAAATGCTTTGGATAGTATAGACATTTTAACAATATTGATTATTTCAATCGATGAACATGGAATATCTTTCCACTTTTTGGTGTCATCATCAATTTCTTTCATCAGTGTTTTATAGTTTTTGTTGTAGAGATCACTTACTTCTTTGGTTAAGTTAATTTATGTTTGCAATACTATTTGTGGCCTTCAAAAATGAGATTATTTTTCTGATTTCTTTTTCAGATTGTTCACTGTTGGCATACAGAAATGCTACTGATTTTTGTTTTGTATCCTACAACTTTATTGAATTTCTTTATTGATTGTAATAGTGGTTTTTTTTTTTTTTTTTGGTGGAGTCTTTAGGTTTTTCCAAGTGTAAGATTATATCATCTGCAAACAAGGATAATTTGATCTTTTCCTTTCCAAATTGTGTGCCCTTTATTTTGTTCTCTTGTCTGATTGCTCTAGCTAGGACTTCCAGTACTATGTTGAAAAACAGTGGTGAACGTGGGCATCCTTGTCATGTTCTTAGAAGAAAGGTTTTCACTTTTTTTCCCATTCAGTATGATACTAGCTGTCATATATGACTTTTATTATGTTGGGGGTATGTTCCTTCTATGTACCCAGTTTTTTGAGGGTTTATATCATGATGTTGAATTTTATCAAATGCTTTTTCAGCATCAATAAAATGATCATACGGGTTTTTTCCCCTTCATTCTGTTGATACGATTTATTATTTATTACATTGATTGATCTGTGTGTGTTGATGCATCTTTACATCTCAGGGATAAATCCCACTTGGTCATGAGGAATGATCTTTTTAATGTATTGTTGAATTCTGTTTGATAGTATTTTGATGAGGACAGTTGCATCAATATTAACTTGTAGTTTTCTTTTTTTGATGTGTCTTCATCTGGTTTTTGCAGTAGGGTAATACTGGCCTCATACAATGTATTTGGAAGTATGTTTTTTCCTCTATTTTTTGTAATAATTTGAGTAGGATTGGTATTAGTTCTTCTTTAAGTGTTTGGTAGAATTCAGCAGTGAAGCCATTGGATCCTGGGCATTTTTTTTACTAGAAGACTTTTTATTATGACTTTGCTTTCATTACTTGTTATTGGTCTGTTCAGGTTTTAGATTTCTTCCAGGTTCAATCTTGGTAGATTATACATGTCTAGGAATTTGTCCATTTCTTCAAGATTTTTCAATTTATTGGCATATAGTTGCTCATAATAGCCCACTAATGATCCTTTGAATTTCTGCATTATCAGTTGTAATGTCAACTTTTTCATCTCTGATTTTTTTCATTTGGATTTTTTTCTTTGTTAGTCTGGTTAAAGATTTGTCAATTTTGTTTAACTTTTCAAAAAACCAACTTTGTGTTACACTAATCTTTTATATTGTTTTCTTCACCTCAATTTTGTTTATTTCTGTTCTGATCTTGATTATTTCTATTCTTCTCCTAATTTGGGGTTTGGTTTGTTCTTGATTTTCTAGTTCTTTAAGATGCATCATTAGATTGTTTATTTAAAGTTTTTCATCTTTTTAGATGTAGGCACTTACAGCTATAAACTTCCCTCTTACTACTGCTTTTGCTGAATCCCATAGGGCTTGGTATGTTTTGTTTTCATTATCATTTATTTCCAGAAAGTTCTCAATTTCTTTCTTCATTTTTTATGACCCACTGATTATTCAGAAGCATATTGTTTAATTTCCATGTGTTTCTATTGTTTCCCAAATTCCTCTTGTTATTGATCTGTAGTTTTATTCCATTGCAGTCAGAGAAGATGCTTGATATTATCTCAGTTTTTTGAACATTTTAAGACTTGTTTTGTGACTTAACATATGGTCTATTTTTGAGAATGATCTATGTGCTAAGGAAAAGAATGTGTATTCTGCAGCCATTGGATTAAGTGTTCTGTAAATATGTGTTAGGTCCATTTGGTCTATAGTGCAGATTAAGTCTGATGTCTCTGTTGATTTTATATCTGAAAGATGTATCCAATGCTGAAAGTGTGGTGTTAAAGTCTCCAGGTATTCTTACTTTGTGGTCTTCTCTTTGTTTTTTCTTTCTCTCTTGCCTTCCTTTTCATGGAGATAATTTTCTCTGTTGATATGGTTTAGTTTCTTGTTTTTCAATTTTTATGTATTCATTGTATGCTTTTTGGTTTTAGTTTACTGTAACATTGGCAAATACTATCTTATAACCCATTCGTTTAAGATGATAACAATTTAATATTGGTTGTGTAAACAAGCAAGAATAAAACTAATAGACTGTATTCCTTAACTTCATACACCTACTTTTTAAGATCTTATTATTTCTATTTATATCTCATTGTAATGTCTATATATCGAAAACTTGACCAGGTGTGGTGGTTCATGCCTGTAATCCCAGCACTTTGGGAGGCTGAGGTGGGTGGATCACCTAAGGTCAGGAGTTCAAGACCAGCCTGGCCAGCATGGTGAAACCCCATCTCTACAAAAAAATACAAAAATTAGCCAGGCATGGTGGTACCTGCCTGTAATCCCAGCTACTTGGGAGGCTGAGGCAGGAGAATCACTTGAACTCAGGAGGCAGAGGTTGCAGTGAGCCGAGATCGCACCACTGCACTCCAGTCCGGGTGACAGAGTGAGACTTCCTCTTAAAAAAAAAAAAAAAAAAGAAACCTTATTGTAATTTTATTTTGTGATTAGTTCACCACTTAGTCTTTCTACTAAGATAACAGTAGTTTACACACCACAGTTATAGTGTTATACTATTCTGTGTTTTTCTGTGTACTTACTATTACCAGTGTGTTTTGTTTCATCGCATAATTTCTTATTGCTCATTAACATCCTTTTCTTTCTCATTGAATTACTCCCTTTAGCATTTCTTATAGGACAGGTCTGGAGTTGATTAAATCCCTCAGCTTTGGTTTGTCTGGGAAAGGCTTTATTTCTCCTTCATGTTTGAAGTATATTTTCACCAGATATACTATTCTATGGTAAACTTTTTTTTTGTTTTGTTTTTGTTTGTTCTGTTTTTTTCATTCAACACATTAAATATGTCATGCTACTCTCTCCTGATCTATGAGGTTTCCACTGAAAAGTCTGCTACCAGACATATTGAAACTCTATTGTATGTTGTTTCTTTTCTCTTGCTGCTTTTAGAATCCTTTCTTTATTCTTGACCTTTGGGAGTTTTCTTATTAAATGTCTTGAGGTAGTCTACTCTGGCTTAAATATGCTTGGTGTTTTATATTAATAACTTTCTCGTACTTGAATATTAATATCTTTCTCCAGGTTTGGAAAGCTCTTTGTTACTATCCCTTTGAGTAAACTTTCTACCCACATCTCTTTCTCTACCTCCTCTTTAAGGCCAATAACTCATAGACTTGCCCTTTTTAGGCTATTTTCCAGATCCCGTAGGTGTACCTCATTATTATTAATTGTTTTTTATCTTGTCTTCTCTGACTGTATTTTAAAATAGCCTGTATTCAAGCTCATTAATTTCTTCTTCTGCATGATCAATTCTGCCATTAAAAGACTGATGCATTCTTTTTTTTTTCTTTTTTATTATACTTTAAGTTCTAGGGTACATGTGCACAACGTGCAGGTTTGTTACATATGTATACATGTGCCGTGTTGGTTTGCTGCACCCATTAACTCGTCATTTACGTTAGGTATTTCTCCTAATGCTATCCCTTCTTTACTATGTCAGTTGAATTTTTTAGCTCCAGAATTTCCACTTGATTCTTTCTAATTATTTTAATCTATTTGTTAAATTTATCTGAAAGAATTCAGAATTCTTTGTCTATGTTATGTTGAATTTTTTTTCTCAGTAAGGCTATTTTGAATTCTGTGCTTGAAAGGTCACTTATCTCTGTTTCTCCAAAATTGGTCCCCGGTACCTTATTTAGTTCTTTTGGTGAGGTCATGTTTTCCTGGATGCTGTTGATGCTTGTCAATGTCCTTTATTGTCTGGACATTGAAAAGTTAGGTATTTATTGTGGTCTTCTCAGTCTAGGCTTTTTTGTACCCATTATTCTTGGGAAAGCTTTCCAGATAGTCAAAAAGACCTGAGTGTCGTGATCTAAGCTGTATTTTCTTTAGGGGGCACCCAAGTCCAGTAACATTGTAGTTCTTGCCTACTCATAGAGGTATTCCCTTGATGATCTTGGACAAGATCTGAAAGAATTCTCTAGATTGCCAGGCAAAAGCTCTCATTATCTTCCCTTACTTTCTCCCAAAAAAATGAAATGTCTTTTCTTCTGTTATGAGCCACGTGGAGCTGGGTATGGTATGACACAAGCATCCCTGTGGCCATCAGCACTAGGACTGTGCTGGGTCAAACCTGATGCCTGCACAGTACTGGGTGTCACCCAAGGCCTGCTGAAACCTCTCCCTTGCTTTGACCTATGTTTGTTCAAGGCCCTGTGACTCTACAGTCAGTCAGTGGCAAATCCATCCAGGCCTGTGTGTTTCCTACAGGGCGGCAAGTTACCCCAGTTCCAGGTGTGTCCAGAGGTGCTCTCTGGAAGCCAGGGTCTAGAGTCAAAAACGGTAGAAGTGTACCTGGTGTTCTTTTGTACTGTTGCTGATCTGGCACTCAAATAACAAGACGCTTTCCTTTCCACTCTTTTCTTTCCTTACCAAAGGCAAATGAGCCTCACCCAATGGCTATAGCCACCACAGCCTCATGAGGAGGGCCAGACTACCACTGATGTTCCTTTAAGGCCCAAGGGCTTTTAAGGGAGCTTGTGGTGAATGCTGCCTGGCCAGGGCCTCACCCTTTAAGGCAGTAGGCTCTCCTCTGGCATGGGGCAGCTCCAGAAATGCCATTCAAGGCTCAAGTTCTAGAATCATGGACCCCAAGAGGCTGGTTGGCATTCTACCCTCCTGTGGCTGAACTGTTACCTAAGATGGACAAGTCCCCTTTGGTTTTTTTCTCCACTTCTTACAAGTGGAAGGAGTCTCGCCCCACAGACACCACAACTAGGAATGTGCTGAGTCTCACCTGAACCCGGCAAGTCTGAGGGTCTCACCCAAGACCCTCAATGTAGTACATGTAGTACCTGGGTATCACTGCTTTTCTTTCAGGGCCCAAGGGCTCTTCAATTAGCAGGTAATGAATGCTGACAGGACTGAATCAGCAAGTTCTCTTTTGGCCCAGGGTGTGTCTAGAAATGTCATAGGTGAAGTAGGTCTTGGAAAGGGGGCTTCATGACTCTGACATGTGCCCTAGTCTGCTGTGGCTGAGGTGGTATCCAAAAGGCCAGAAAACGTTTTCCCCAACTCTTCCCTCTCATCTCCTCTCCTCTCCTCTCCTCTCCTCAAGTAGTGGAAAATGGTCTCTTTTGGAGCCATGAGCTTTGCAGTGTGGGATTAGGGGAGGGATGATGCCAGTACTCCCTTATTCACTGCAGACAATCCCTCCCCCAGGACACTGTCTCTGGGTCAAGTTCAGCACAAGGGCTCACCTAAGATTTTCAGTCCTTGCTGCCTAGACTGCCTTTCAAGTATATTTAATGCCCCAGAGCAATTTAGTCTGTGGTGGCAGTCTTGCCTGAGCTCAATTTTGTATGTTTTTTGGTTTGAAGTCACCATGAGGTTGGCAAATACTATCTTATAACCTTTTATTTTATGCTGATAACAATTTACCACTGTTTGCAAAAACAAACAAGCAAACAAGCAAAGCAAAAATTTAAAAAAGACTGTACCTTAACTTCATCCGCCCTCTTTTTAACTTTTTGTTGTTTCTATTTATGTTTTATTGTACTGTCTAAGTCTTGAAAAGTTGTTGTAGTTATTAGTTTTGATTGGTTCATTATTTAGTCTTTCTACTTAAGATAACACTATTTTACATACCACAGTGTGCAAACTATTCCAGTGTTATACTATTCTGTGTTTTTCTCTGTACTTACTATTACCAGTGAGTTTTGTACCTTCAGATGATATCTTATTGATCACTAATGTCCTTTTCTTTCTGATTGAAGAACTTCCTTTAGCATTTTTCATAGAATAGGGTTGGTGTTAATGAAATCTCTCAGTTTTTATTTGTCCATTAAAGGTTTTAATTCTTCTTCATGTTTGAAGGGTATTTTCACTGGACAAACTGTTCTAGAACAAACATTTTTTCCTTCAGAACTTTAAATATGTCTTGCTGCTCTCTCATGGTCTCTAAGGTTTCCACTGACAAGTCTGCTGCCAGAGATATTAAGGACCCATTGCATGTTATTTGTTTCTTTTCTCTTGCTGCTTTTAGAATCCTTTCTTTATCTGTGACCTTTGGGAGTTTGCTTATTAAATGTCTAGAGGTAATCTTTGGCTTAAATCTGCTTGGTGTTCCATAACCTTCTTGTACTTAAATATTGATATCTTTCTCTAGGTTGGGGAATTTCTCTGTTATTATCCCGTGAGTAATCTTTCTACCCCATCTCTTTCTCTACCTCCTCTTTAAGACCAATAACTGTTAGATTCGTCATTTGCTTCCTGTCTGATTTTTTAAAGTTATTTTATCTCTTTGTTAAATTTTCTGATTAGATTTTGAATTCCTTCTCTGTGTTATCTTGAATTTCTTTGTTTCCTCAAAACAGCTATTTTGAATTATCTGTCTGAAAGGTTACATATATCTGTCACTCCACCCTTGGTCCCTGGTGGTTGATGTAGTTCACTTGATGAGGTCTTGTATTCCTGGATGATCTTGATGTTTGTGGATATTCGTCTGTGTCTGAGCACTGAAGAATTAGGAATTTACTGTAGTCTTCACAGTTTGGGCTAGTTGTACTCATCTTTCTTGGGAAGGCTTTTCAGGCATTCAAAAATAATTAAGTGTTGTGATCTAAGTCTTTGGTCACTGCATCTGTATGTGTATTGCATCTGTGTGGGTATTGGGGAGCTCCCCAAGGTCACTAAAGCTGTAACCCTTGCAGACTTGTAGAGGTAATGCCTTAATGTCTTCACTAAAACCCAAGAGTTTTCCTTGAATTAACAGGGAGATACTCTTGTTCTCTTTCCACACTTTTCCACAAACAAATGGAGTATCACCGTGCTGAGCTTCCTGGAGGTGCAGAGGGGTGCCACAAGCACTCTCGTGGCTATGAACACTGAGGATGCACTGGGCCAGATCTGAAGCCAGCAAAGAACTCGTTCTTGCCTAAGGCCTGCGACAACCACTGCCTGCCTGGCTACTACCAATGTTCAGTCAAGGCCCAAGGGCCCTTCAGTTGGCAAGTGGTGAGTCCAGCAAGGCTTGTGTCCTTTTCTTCAGGGTAGTGAGTTCCTCCTCAATTCCAGCCCAGGGCTGGTCCAGAAATGCCACCCAGAATCCAGGGCCTACAGATGGGAACCTGCTTGGTGCTCTATCCTACTGTGGCTGAGCTAGCACCCAAGCTGCAATACAAAGTTTGTCCCACTCTTCCGTCTCCTTTCCTCAAGCAGAAGAAGTCTATCCTCATGGCCATTACTTCCCCAGGCCCACAGAAATCACTTCCTGGCTACTGCCAATGTTTACTCAAGGCCCAAGACATCTTCAGTCAGCTCATGCTGAATGCTTCCAGGCCTGGGTCTCTTCAGGGCAGTGGACTCTCTTCTGTCCCAGGGAGGGTCCAGAGATGCCATCCAGGAGCCAAGGTCTAGAATCTGGGACCCCAGGAGCCTATTCAGTGCTCTATTTCACTGTAGAAGAACTGATAACCAAGTTGCAAGACAATGTCCCATTCATTTTCCTTCTCCTTTCCGCATGCAGGAGTCTCTCCCTGTAGCCACTGCAGTTGGGAATGCACTGCGTCACACCTGAAGCTAACACAGCACTGGATCTTACCCAGGGTCCATGGTGATTACTGCCTGGCTACAGCTACTTTTCTTAACTTTTATTTTAGGTTCAGGGCTACACGTACAGATTTGTTGTGTAGGGAAATTTATGTCATGGGAGTTTGGTGTACAGATTGTTTTGTCTCCCAGGTACTAAGCAAAGTACCCAATAGGTATTTTTCCTTTTCCTCTCCCTCTTCCTACACTACGCTCTGAAGGAGGCACCAGTGTATGTAGTTCCCCTCTTTGTGTTCATGTGTTCCCATTTATAAATGAGAACATGTGGTATTTGGTTTTCTGTTCCTGGGTTAGTTTGCTAAGAATAATGGCATCTAGCTCCATCAATGTTGCTACAAAGGATGTGATCTCATTTTCTTATATGGCTGCATAGTATTCCATGATGTATGTTTACCACATTTCTTTATCCAGTCTATCATTGATAGGCATTTAGGTTAATTCCATGTCTTTGTTATTGTGAATAGTGCTGCAGTGAACATATGCATGCATGTGTGTTTATAACAGAATGAATTCTATTCCTTTGAGTATATACCCAATAATGGTATTGCTGGATCAAATGGTATTTCTGCTGTTAGCTCTTTGAGGAATCGCCATATTGCCTTCCACAATGGTTGAACTAATTTACACTCTCACCAACAGTGTATAAACGTTCCTTTTCCCTGCAACCTTGCCAGTATCTGTTATTTTTTGACTTTTAATAATACCGATTCTGACTGGTGTGAAATGGTGTCTCATTGTAGTTTTGATTTACATTTCTCTAATAATTAGTGATGTTGAACATTTTTTCATATGTTTCTTGGCCACATGTATGTCTTCTTTTGAAAACTATCTGTCCTTTACCCACATTTTAATGGGGTTCTTTTTAATTTCTCATAAATTTGTTTAAGTTCCTTGTAGATTTTGGATATTAGACCTTTATTGGATGCAGCATGCAAATATTTTCTACCATCCTGTAGGTTGTTTGTTTATTCTGTTGATAGTTTATTTGTGCAGACGCTCTTTAATTAGATCCCATTTGTCAATTTTTGCTTTTGTTGCAATTGCTTTTGGTGTCTTCTTCATGAAAATTTTGCCCATGCCTATGTCCTGAATGGTGTTGCCTAGGTTATTTTCCAGGTATTTTATAGTTTTGGGTTTTATATTTAAGTCCTTAATCCATCTTGAGTTGTTTTTTGTATATGGTGTAAGGAAGGGGTTCCATTTCAGTCTTCTGCATATCCCAGGTATCCCAGCACCATTTATTAAAGAGGGCGTCCTTTTCCCATTGCTTGTTTTTGTCAGCTTTGTCAAAGATCAGATGGTTGTAGGTGTGCGACTTTATTTCTCAAATCCCCATTCTGTTCCATTATTCTATGTGTTCTGTTTTTGTACCAGTACCATGCTGTTTTGGTTACTCTAGCCTGTAGTATAGTTTGAAGACAGATAATGTGATGCCTACAGTGCTGTTCTTGTTGCTTAGGATTGCCTTGGCCATTTGGGCTGTTTTTTTGTTGTTGTTTATTCATATGAATTTTAGAATAGTTTTTTCAAGTCTGTGAAGAATGTCATTGGTGGTTTGACAGGAATAATATTAATTCTGTAAGTTGCTTTGGCCATTATGGCCATTTTAACAATATTGATTCTTCCTACTCATGAACCTAGAATGTTCTTCCATTGGTTGTGTCATTTCTGATTTCTTCGAGCAGTGTTTTGTAATTCTCACTGTAGAGATCTCTCACCTCCCTGGTTAGCTGTATTCCAAGGTATTTTATTCTTTTTGTGGCAATTATAAATGGGGTTGCATTCCTGATTTTGATTTCATCTTGGATGTTGCTGGTACATAGGAATGCTACTTTTTATACATTAATTTTATTCCCTGAAATTTTACTCAAGTTGTTTATCAGTTCAAGGAGCTTTTGGGCAGAGATGATGGGGTTTTCTAGTTATAGAATCATGTCATCTACATACAGAGATAGTTTGACTTCTTCTCTTCCTGTTTGGATGCTTTTTATTTCTTTTTGTTTCCTAATTGCTCTGGCCAGGACATTCCACAGTATGCTGAATAGGAGTGGTGAAAGAGGGTATCCTTATCTTGTACGATTTTTCAATTGGAATACTTCCAGCTTTTGCTCATTCAATATGATTTTGGCTGTGGGTTTGTCATAGGTAGCTCTTATTATTTTGAGGTATGTTCCTTCAATGCCTAGTTTATTGAGGGTTTTTGGCATGAAACAATGTTGAATTTTATCAAAAGTCTTTTCTGCATCTATTGAGATAATCATATGGCTTTTGTCTTTAGGATTCCTTACATGCTGAATCACATTTATTGATCTGCATATCTTGAACCAAACCTGCATCCCAGGGATAAGCCTACTTGATCAGGGCAAATTAGCTTTTTGATCTGCTTCTGGATTTGGTTTGCTAGTGTTTTGCTGAGAATTTTTACATCAATGTTCATCAATAATATTGGCCTGAAATTTTCTTTCTTTGTTGTGTCTCTGTCAGGTTTTGGTATTGGGATAATGCTGGCCTCATAGAATGAGTTGGGAAGAATTCCCTCTTTCTCAGTTTTTTGGAATAGTTTCAGTAGGAAATGTACTAGCTCTTCTTCATTCATTTGGTAGAATTCAGCTGTGAATGTATTTGGTCGGGGGCTCTTTTGGGTTAATATGCATTTTATTATTGATTCATTTTTGCAGCTCATTATTGCTCTATTCAGGGATTCAATTTCTTTCTGTTTCAGTTATGGGAGGTTGTGTGTGTTTAGCAATTCATCCATTTCTTCTAGATTTTCTAGTTTGTGTGCATAGCAGTGTTCATAGTAGTCTCTGATGGTGTTTCGTATTTCTGTGGGGTCATTGGTGATGTCCTCTTTGTCATTTCTGAATGTGTTTATTTGGATCATCTTTCTTTTTTATTAGTCTAGTTAGTGGTCTATCTTATTAATTTTTTTCAAACAGAAATATCCTGGATTTATTTATCTTTTGCATGGTTTTTATTATCTCAAGCTCCTTCAGTTTAGCTCTGATTTTGGTTGTTTTTTGTCTTCTACTAGATTTGGGGTTAGTTTGTCCTTGCTTCTGTAGTTCTTCTAGCTGTGATGTTGGGTTATTAATTTGAGATCTTTCTGAATTTTTGCATATGGGTTTAGTACTGTAAATTTCCCTCTTAACACTGCCTAAACTCTGTCCATAAAATTCTGGAATGTTGTATCTTCATTCTCTTTACTTTCAAAGAATTACTTGATTTCTGCTTTAATTTCATTATTTACTCAAAAGTCATTCAGAAGCAGATTATTTGATTTCCATGTAATTGTATGGTTCTGAGTGATTTTCTTACTATTAACTTCTATTATTGTTATGCTGTGGTCCAAGAGCGTGGTTGGTATGATTTCAGTTTTTTTTTTTTTTTTTTTGCATTTTCTAAGGATTATTTTATGTCCAATTATGTGGTTGATTTTAGAGTATGTACCACATGCAGATGAGAAGAATGCATATTCTGTGTTTTTGTGTAGAGAGTTCTATAGATGTCTATTATGTCTATTTGGTGAAGTATTGAGTTCAGGTTCAGGTCCTGAATATATTTGTTTAGTTTTCTGCCCTGATGATCTGTCTAATATTGTCAGTGGGATTTTGAAGTCTCCCACTATTATTGTGTGAAAATCTAAGTGTCTTCATAGGTCTCTAAGAAGTTGCTTTAACGAACCTTGGTACTCCTTTCTTGGGTGCACATGTATTTAGGATAGCTAGATCTTCTTGCTGAATCAAACCCTTTACCACTATATAATGCCCTTCTTTGTCTTTTCTGATCTTTGTTGGTTGAAAATATGTTTTGTCTGAAATTAGGATTGCAACCCCTGCTTTTCTCTGTTTTCTGTTTGCTTGATAGATTTTTCTCCATCCATTTATTTTGAACCTATAGATGCCATTGCATGTGAGATGGGTGGGTATCATGAAAATGGCATACCACTGGGTCTCGCTTCTTTATCCAGCTTGTCACTCTGTGCCTTGTAGTTGGGGCAATTAGCCCATTTACATTCGAGGTTAATATTGATATGCGTGGATTTGATCTTGTCATTATGTTCTTAGCTGGTAATTATGCAGACTTGTTTCTGTGGTTGCTTTATAGTGTCAATGGTCTACGTACTTAAGTTTTGTTTGTTCTTTTTTCTTGGTTTTTGTCTGACTTTTATTTCAGAGAACCAGCCTTTGAGCTCTGATATTCTTTTCTCAGTTTGGTCTAGTCTGCTATTAATACTTGTGGTTGCTTTATGAAATTCTTATAGTGTGTTTTTCAGCTCTATCAGATCAGTTTAGTTCTGTTTTATTTTGGAGATTTCATCTATCAGCTCTGGTATTATTTTATTGTGGTTCTTAGATTCCTTGGATTGGATTTGATGTTCTCCTGAATCTCTATGATCATCATTCCTATTCATATTCTGTATTTTATGTTTATCATTTCACTTATTTTAGCCTGGTTAAGAACCCTTGCTGGGCAACTGCTGCATTCATTTCAGTGAAAGAAGATACTCTGGCCTTTTTTGTTGCCAGCATTCTTGCACTGGTTCTTTCTTATCTGTTGATTTCTGTTTCTTTAACTGCAGTGTAAATTGAGTGTAGACAGTAGACTTATTTTCTGGATGTTTTCACAGGACCAAGGCTTTGTGCAGGGTCTTTATATGTAGTTGAATTCTTGTCCTTGGTTTTTCAGTGGGACATATTAGCAAAAATATTTTTGGTGTTGAAGTTTTGATGATCCAGTAGGTGGCACTTACGGGTAATGTCCAGTAGGTGGTCTCTTGCTCAGTCATGTGGCTCCTCTGTATTTCCTCACAATTGCAGCTATGCTACCTCTGAGTGCTCTGAAAATGTTGGCTCCTCTTTCACTCCAGTGCTGGTTGCAGATCTTGGCTTGGCACTCCCGGGCAATCTCAGGCTTTATGTTTCTTCCCAGTTTGGAGGCAGTAGAGGACGAGACCTTAGCAGTGGTTGTGGCAGAGAGTCTTTCAGTTGTTTCTTGGGGTTCCACCCTAGAGATATACAGAGCTACTATTAATCAGCGTGATCAGCCCAGGATGGGGCAGCTGTGCTCTGGGCCCAAGACAGAGGGGCCCTGCCTGGTGACAAATGGGGTGCAGGGTGAGTGGGACACTGGGGAGATGGACTGGCCTGCTCTCCTTAGGATGACTACAGCTTGTTGGAGGTGTGGGTAGAGCACTCATGGTTTTTGCTCATTCTCCAGTCTGAGATCAGCAAGGGTAGTACCATTGCAGTGGCAGTGGCAGAGGGGCTTTTGGTTGCCTCTGGGAGCTCCACCTTTGAGAAACATGGAGCCACTCCTACTGGGAATGTTCAGCCAGTGGGCGGGACAGCTGTACTGGTGGCCTGAGCTGGGGACTCCCCTAGTTGGGGAGTGGGGTTTCAAAGATTCACAGTGAAGAGAGACTGGTTCACTTCTGTATGGTGGCTGTGGTGTGCTATAAGCCTAGGTGAAGCCCTCAAGATCTTTGTTTCTTCCCCAGACCAGGGCAGCAGGGGTAGAACCACTGCTGTGGCAGTGGCAGAAGGGCTGTTGGTTCCCTCTGGGAGCCCCTCCCCAGGGAAATTCAGAGACACTACCAGTGGATATGCTCAGCCATTGGTGGGGTGGCTGATCTGCAGTCCTGAGCTAGGGGCCCTCCCTGGTGAAGAGTGGGGGTTGGGAACTCCCAGGGAAGAGAGACTGGACTCTTTTCCATATAGTGGCTGCCATGTCCTGGAGGTGCCAGCATAGCGGGTAGGTCCTTTGCTCCTTCCCTATTCTGTGGGCAGTTAGGGCAGTACCACTGTAGTTGCAATGGAGAAGGGGTTGTGGGTTGACTCTGGGATTTCCTCAGATAAATGCAGTGCTGCCTCTGACTGAAGTGTTCAGGTTGGGGCAGGGTAGTTGTGCTGGAGTCAGGAGGCGTCACTCAGTGAGGAAAAAATGTAAATGGGGACCGATTTAAAAAACAGTCTGGCAGCTTTTCTGTGGGATGGCTGCACTGTGCTGGGGTTCTGTACCATGCTCAGCCTCCTGGATTTGGTTCCTTTCCTGGGGACATGTGAGGGAGCATAACCACTCTCTTTGCCAGAGCTGCAGCCACTAATGCTAGGATGCCCAGGGATCCAAGGCTCCTGGGGCTCTGTGTGTGCTTGAGTGGTGGCTCTTCTCAGACTACATGTAGCTCTCCACATCAGTCTGAAAGTCCCACAAGGGGATCTCCTGAGCCCAAGATTGCAAAGATCCATAGAAAAAGTGTGGATCCCCAAGGTCTCTCACTCACTCAGTTTCCCTGTGGTGAGGAAGCCTCTCCTGGCTTCATGTGACTCCCGGGTGGGTGGTTGTCCTGTGTTGCTCCTCTCTGTTCTCCATGGGCCACGTTTTTTCCTTGATGAATCCCTGCATGATGTTTCAGTTGAAGATGTAGTATTTATTCACCAATTTTTCTCCTCTCTGTAAGAGTGGCATACACTAGCTGCTTCTAGTCGGTCATCTTGACAGTTTTCTTGATGTTTACTCAGTGTCCAAACATTCTTTAGTCAGCACTTGTTGAATTCTGCCAGGACTGGGTCCTTTCCTTCAAGGCAGTGGATTCCCGTGTCTAGAAATGTTGTCTGAGGGCTAGGGCATCAGGACTCTGCATGGTGCTCTGTTTTACTGTGACTGAGTTCATATCCAAGTTGCAAGACAAATTCCTCTTTGTTGTTTTTGTTGTTGTTGAGATGGATTCTCACTCTGCCGCCCAGACTGGAGTGCAGTGGCTTGATCTCAGCTCACTGCAACCTCCACCTCTCGGGTTCAAGTGATTCTCCTGCCTCTGCCTCCTGAGTAGCTGGGACTACAGGTGTGCACCACCATGCCCAGCTAACTTTTGTATTTTTAGTAGAGACAAGTTTTCACCATGTTGGCCACGCTGGTCTTGAACTCTTGACCTCAAGTGATTCACCCGCCTCAGCCTCCCAAAGTGCTGGGATTACAGGCGTGAGCCGCGGTGCCCGGCCAACAAAGTCCTCTTTACTCTTGTTTCTCCCCTCCTCAAGCATAAAGAAGGAGTCTGTCCTGGAGCTGTGAGCTGGGCTGCCTGGGTTTGGGGGACGGGTGATGCAAGCACTCCCGTGGCCACTCCCACTGGTACCTCACTATGTCACATACACACCAAGTCTGCTGGCTACAAGTCCAGCACAGCACCAGGACCTCCCTAGGAACTGCACTCCTTGCGTCCTAGACTACCTTTTGAGTTATTTTTGGACCCCAAAGCACTTTAGCCTGTGGTGGTGGGACTAGCCAGACCTCAGGTTCTGCCTGCTGTAATGGACAATTCCCCTCTGGCTAGGGCAAGTTGAAATGTTCCGCCGTAGGTGCCGGTTGAATTCTGCCCAGTGTTGCTTTCTGCTATGACAGGACAACACAGAGTTGCAATGCAGAGTTCCACAATCACTGTGCTTTTCTTCCCTCAAGCACACAGATTTTCTCTCTGCACCACCTGGCAGCTGCTGGGGGATGGGGAAGGGGTGGTACAGGCAATTCAGACTATCTTTCCTCCCTTGTTTAGTGTCTCTTTCCTTGATGTGATGTTAAAACCAAGTATTGTAATTACTCACTTGATTTTTGGTTCTTTTAAAGGCACTTTCTTGTGCAGATAGTTGTTCAATTTGGTGTTCCTACGGGGAGGAAGATCACTGGTGGTTTCTATTAAAACATGTTTTTCTGCCTCTTCCCCATATCCCGTAAGTTTTAGTATGTTATGTTTTTGGTTTTGTGTGTCTCAAGATATTTTCTAATTTCTCTTGTAATTTCTTCTTTGACCCATTGGTTATACAATAGTATGTTGTTTAATTTCCACATATTTGTGAGTTTCCAGTTTTTCAATGGCTGTTGATTTCTAGTTTAATTCTCTTGTGGTCAGAAAAGATACTTGGTAGGATTTCGATCTTTTACAATTTGTTAAGACTTCATTTGTAACCTAATGTGTGATCTTCCCTAGAGAATGTTCTGTGTGCACTTGAGAAGAATGTATATTCTGCTCCTGCTGGAAAGAGAGTTCTGTATATGTCTGCTAGGTACCATTGGTCTATAGAGTTGTTCGAGTCCTATGTTTCCTTATTGATCTTCTATCCACTTTTCTATCCATTTTTGAAAGTGATGTATTAAAGTCTCCTATTACTGTTTCACTGTTCATTTCTTCCTTCAATTCTGCCAATGTTTTCTTCAAGTACTTGGGTGGTCTTGTTTTAGATGCATATATATATGTATATGTATATATATTTGTTATATTTTCCTGGTGAGTAGGCACTTTATCATTATATAATGTCCTTTATCTCTTGTGATAATTTTTGACTTCAAGTCTATTTTGTCTGATATAAATGTGGTCACCCTTGCTTTCTTTTGGTTATCATTTTTATGGAATATATTTTCCCATCCTTTCACTTTCACCTTATGTCTGTCTTTACATCTAAGGTGATTCTGTTGCGGACAGCATATAGTTACATCTTGTTCGTATTTTTCTTTAATTCAGCCACTCCACTTCTTTTGATTGATAACTTATTCATTTATATTTACAGTAATCACTGATAGAGCAGGAGTTACTATTGCCACTTGGTTAACTGTTTTGTCTCTGTCTTGTAACAAGTTTGTCACTCTTTTTTTTTTTTCTCTTGCTGCCTTCCTTTGTGTTTTGGTGATATTTTTGTTTTGACATGCTTTGATTCTTTTCTCATTTTCTTCTGTGTATATTTTTTTGTGTGTGGTTACCATGGGGCTTACATATAGATCTCATAGTTACAACAATCTATTCAAAGCTGATAACTTTAATAACATACAAAACTCTACTTTTTAAATATCTCTCCATTCCCACTTTATGTTATTGACGTCACTGATTACATCTTTATATATTGCATATCCATTAACATAGTTTTATAGTTATAATTATTTTTCATGTTTTGTCTTTAAAATTATTTTTATTTTAATGATTATGGCTACATAAAAGTTATACATATTTCTAGTGTACGTGTGTTGTTTTGATAAAGGTATACAATGTATAATGATCAAATCAGGGTAACTGAAGTATCCATCATCTCAAGCATTTTATATTTCTTAATGTTAGGAGCATTCCAATTTCACTTTTTTAGTTATTTTAAAATATACAATAAATTATTGGTAATTATGGTTACCTTATTGTACTACCAAATATTAGATCCTATTTATTCTATCAAACTGTATTTTTGTACCCATTAACCATCCCTACTTTATCCCCCCATCCACTACCTTTTCCAGCCTCTGATAATCATCATTCTATGCTCCTATTTTTATGAATTCAATTTTTTTAGATCCTTCATGTAAGTGAGAACGTGTGGTATTTGTCTTTCTGACCCTGGCTTATTTCACTTTACATAATGTTGTCCAGTTTGATTCACATTGTTGCAAATGACAAGATCTCATTATTTTTAATATGAATACTTTCTGAATTATATTCCATTGTGAATAATATTCCATGTGTATATGTACCACATTTTTTTTTACCCATGAATCTGTTGATGGACACTTAGATGGATTCGAAATCTTGGTTATTGTATATAGTGCTGCAATAAACAGGGAGCACAGATGTATCTTCGTTATACTGATTTCCTTTCTTTTGGGTACAGTAGTAGATGTTAAAACCAAGCAGCAGTAAGATCGCTATGGTAGTTCTATTTTTAGTACTCTGATAAATCTCCATACTGTTTTCCACAGAGGTTGTACTAATATGCATTCCCACTAACATTGTACAAGTGTTTTCTTTTCTCTACACCCTTTCCAGCATTTGTTTTTGTTATTTTTGTCTTTCTGATAATAGCCACGCAAACTGGGATGAGATGATGTCTCATAGTGGTTTTTACTTGCAGATCTTGATGATTAGTGATGTTGAGCATTTTCTTTTATATATCTGTTTGTCATTTGTATTTCTTCTTTTGAGAAATGTCTATTTAGGTCTTCATTTCTTAACTGGATTTTGTGTGGTTTTTTAGCTATTGAGTTGTTTGAGCTCCTTATAAATTCTAGTTATTAATTTTTTGTCAGATAAGTAGTTCACCAACATTTTCTCCCGTCCTATGAGTTGTCTCTTCATTTTGTTGATTGTTTCCTTTGCTGTGCAGGTTTTTATCTCGATGTGATCCCATTTGCTCATTTTTGCTTTGGTTGCCTGTGCTTTTGTTGTCCTACTCCAGAAACATTTGGTTAGACCAGTGGAAAAATCAATATTGTTAACATGTTCATACTACCCAAAGCAATATACAGATCCAGTCCAATCCCTGTCAAAATATCAGTGATATTCTTCACAGAAATATAAAAAAATTACTAAAATTTACATGGAACCAAAGCTATCCTGAGCAAAAAGAACACATCTGGAGGAATCACATTACCTGACTTCAAATAATACTACAAAGTTATAAGCAAAATTGCATGATGCTGGCAGAAAAATAGATGCTAGACCAATGGAACAGTATAGAGTACCCAGAAATAAATTGATATATCTACGATGAACTGATTTTTCACAAAGGCATCAAGAACATACACAGTGGAAGAGACAGTCTCTTCAGTAAATGATGTAGGGAAAAGTGGATATCCATATGCAGAAGAATGAAACTAGACCCCTATCTCTCACCATATACAAAAATCAAATCAAAATGAACCAAAGACTTAAAATCTAAGACCTGAGATGTGAACATACTAGAAGAAAACATTGGAGAAACACTGTATGCTTTGTCTTTTAAATTCTACACTGAAATTAAAAGTGCTTTATATATCATGATTACAGTATTCTATTGAGACCACCATGGAATTTTTTTCAAAAAAGTATCTCTGAGAAAGGGTTATTATACAATCTTTAGTTCAGATTAAATGTGTTTCTTCATTTTGCCAAAGCCATCCCATGAAAAGTAAACATTTCAAACCATTATCAACTGGTTTCCTCTGATTACTAAAACTCCTCTGTTAGGCCATGTCAGACTTACCTATATCTTTTAAATTAGAACAGGTAACTAAGCTGTTCCCTCTCTGCTATTTACTCTACTCTTCTCATTACCTCCTACCATCAAGCTTTTTTCTCCACATGTCTCTTATAGCCCTTTCACTACTGTGTATCTCCTACAACACATATCTCTTTATGCTTCCTCAGTAGCTTCCAACGTAGCTGAAGAGAAAAAGAAAAACATAGTGAAGTTAAATTCTCTTTAGTCAGGCTTCCCAAGGCCAAATTTATTGTCCACCTCATTACTGCAACCATTCAAAGCCTAGTTCTGCCGCTCACTCCAGGCTAATGTGGGTGTCATAGTGTTCAGAAGGATCAAAGACACTGAAAACATTTGCCCTCTAAAAATTGATTAACTTCACTCAGATATCTATATGCTTCCAAATTTCCCTTTATGTCCAACTTGGAAAACTTAAGAAAGACTTAAAATTTCTGCATGCTTACTATATGCCAAGTTCTTTTTCCAAATATTGTACATGCAACATGGTATTTAATTTGTACAAAAACTTATAAGTTAAGTGTTTTTAGTGTTCCTTTTTTACTGATTAAAAAACTGAAATTAGGAGAGGTTGTTCTTTGCCAAAGGACACACTATTCCTATGGAACACAGTCAAAATTAGTAAAAAGAGGATTATCTATGGGCCAAGGAGCCAAAAATTCATTAGACATGAAGCAAGGATTGTGATTAATCTGATTCTGTGTATGTAAGGTTTAAAAATGCCTAACATCGGCCGTTTCTTCAAGGACTCCTGTTTGTTTTTAAGTATAGTACTAGAAACATATATGTGGGCAATAGGTGTAATTATTGCTACTGGGGTGCTATTGCTTCTAGGTCATCTCAGCTGATAAGAAATGCAAGTGTATATGTTAATCCCTGTGTATACACATATTTACAAGTATTTCTATTTGTAACTATCTGTACCTATATTAAGCTAAACACATGTTCGTGTTGATATCTCCTACTATAAAGCCTCCTACCCTTGTTTATTGTAAACTCCCACCCTAACAGTGAGAAACATGATTCCAACCACCGGCCATCCATTTACTTAATTTTTCAATTCTAGTACATGTGTATAGTAGTATTGATATAGTTAACCTATGCCTCCATGAGGGAAAAATCTCTATCAACTAAAGCTTATTGCTTATGAACACTTTCTTTTGCTTTTAATCTTATAGTCTCTATTTTCTTCCAAAGATTTTAGGTCAACACCTTTGTCCTTTACTCCCTTTAGTGAGATTGTTTCACGCACTTATAATACAGTTAGATTGATTTGTCACATTCTTCATTCCATGCCAGAATTCCTTTTCTCCTAGATAATGTTTTAAAATTTAGATACCTTATGTTTTACTCCTTGTTTTATATAAGCCTATGGGCTTTGATAAATGCATACTGTCATGTATTCACCATTACATTTCCGTACAGAATAGCTTCATCATCATCAAAACAAAACCAGTGCTTCATCTATTTCATTCGTCCTTTCTCTTCCTGAACCACTGGCAACCCCTGACTTTTTTTTTTTTACCATCACTATAGTTTTTCTTGTTTTAGAATGTCATGCCATTGTGATCATAAAGTATATAGCCTTTTCAGACTGACTTCTTTCACTTAGTAATATGCATTTAAGATTTAGTCGTGCCATTTCATGACTTAATATTTTATTTCTTTTATTGCTGAATAATAGTTCATTCTATCAACATACCACAATGTGTTTATCCTTTGATCTACTGAAGGACATCTTGGCTGCTTTCAATTTTTGTTAATTAGCAATTACAGTGCTATAAACATTTGCAGGCAGATTTTGTGTCGACCTAACTTTTCACATCAGTTAGATAAATACATAGGACTGAAGCATGGAAAAAGGAAAGTGAGCCTCAAGCATCTTGTCATACCAGAAAGTAAGGAAGTGCTCAAAAAATGAAACAAACCCCACAATAGTGGATGGTATGTCAAAGGGACACAGGAATTGAAAGTGCGCTAAATGGCAAAAGCTGGAATAATTTGAGTAATAAAATAAATAAATTAGCAATGTATTATAACCCAAAGTAAAAAATAAATATTCGTGAGTCCATGTTACCATAAGGATATGACTGGATAAATAAGTGAAGAAGAAGAATCAAATTTTTGTGCAGAAAAATTAGAAATAATTTATGTTGATACTACTTCCTCACTGAGGAGGAGCATAACTCTATGCTCCTTAAGTGGGACATGAAAATACTCATTTCTTTCCAAAGAGTACAGTATGGAAAGAGGGAAAAAGAATAGCTGTACAGTAAAGAAACCTGACAATTGCTACCTTGGCCAGGTCAACATCAACAGTGATAGTGATGTTTATATCATGTACCCTTGATATGATGTGATAAAAAAAGGCACTTTACCTCTGTGTTCTTCTTCCCATTCCCATAATTCCAGACTAATTATTTAAAAATTATCATATGTCTTCCAATTAAGGAGGATTCTACAAAATATCCAACTGGCAATTCTCAAAACTGTCTAGGTCATCAAAACAAGCAAAATTTGAGAAACCATTACAACCAGAGGAGCCCACAGAGTTATGATGACTAAATGTAATACCTTAGCATGGATGGGATTCTGAAACAGAAAAAGGACATGGGATAGAAACCAAGAAAATCCAAATAAAATATGGACTTTAGTTAATAATAATTTGTCAGCATTGTTTCCTTAATTGTAACAAATGTACCATACTAATGTAAGATGCTAATAAGGGAAACTAGGTGTGGGATACACAGGAATTATCTATAATATATTTACAATTGTTCTGTAAATCTAAAGCCGTTCTAAAGTTTTATTTGTTTGTTGTTCAGATGCCTCAGTTTGGAGTCACCATATACTGATCCTTGAAAGGAAGTGGTCAGGTCTCTCAGAAGGAGAGAAGAAAGTGACTGGATAGTTGACCTGGTATTTATATTACTGGGAGGCACTGACCCTATCTAATGTTGGATTTCTGGGCTTCCAGTATGCTGTTTTCCTTTTTCTCTCCTGTTCTCAATCAACATTTTAGCCCACTCTCCCCAGAAAAGGGCTTTTGGTGACTTGGAAATTAATGAGTTTCATTCCTCTTGGCTGAATTATAGATTTAACTGTAAAAGGGATAGTATCTTATTTTATTACCAGTACCCCCAAAGCATAACCCTAGTTTGGGGAGAGGTCTGATCTTTATGTGGTTTGAGTAGTAGAATAGAACCACTAATTTGTTTCTGGTATTGCTAAATGAACTAGACTTACACTTTTGTTGTTGTTATACTAAATATAATTGCTGTTTCGTTACTTTAAAAATTCAAATATTTGTAATTTTATCTGGTTTGACCAAATAATAATGCCAAGAATAAAAAAGAATAAACATTTATTTGAGCATCGTGTTAAGGGTTTCCATGGATTATGTGATTCAATACTAATAGTAATCCTATAAGATAGGTACGATTAATGTCTCTGTTTTATAGATTAGTCAAATAAGACCCAAAGTAGCTACCCAATGTCAGATATATTGAAGGAACACAGGATTCAGATTCACTTCTGATGTCTAAACTAGCTTTCTCTTCACAATAGCATACTAAAGGGTGAAAGCCATCTATATCTGTTACATATACATCTAAAAGTCTGTTACATTAAGGGGCTACCTGTTGGCAATAGATAGATATACTAGGCTTTTTTAAAAAAATTACTGGCTCTGGACTGGCCTATACGGGTATAGGAAATTATTGGTGTCGAAAGCCATGCTTTTACTTTATGGGCATTATCTGGGTGGAGACATGAACTACAGTTTTGTAAAAGCTTTTCATAGTGCTATATGAGGCACCCTATTTCTCTAATGGTACGGGGGTAACGAAAAGGGTGTTAAGCTAACAATTTCTTGCAACCTTTTATCTGGTCCATTGGCTTGAAGGTACATGAGAAGAATAGGTGAACATACTTTTAAGGGTGTTGAAAAAGTCTGAACTCCAAACTCCTATATGCAACTGCCTGCTTGGCGTCTTCATTAGAATGTTGAATAAGCATCTGAAACTTAACATGTCCAAATATAATTCCACCTCCTCATTCCCTTTCCCACCTCCTGCAAAATTGCCATCTCTTTCTCAATCTTCCCCATGAAACTGATTGGAATTAAATTTTCTCAAGTTAATTTATTTACTCAATTTAATATTCTTACTCTATTAAAAAAATCTTGATTTCTCTTTCTAGCTTATTCCTTATATCTAATCCATGAGCAACTCTTATCAGCTCTATTTTGAAAATGCTTTTCAAATACAACTATGTCTTACCAATTCCACAACTATCTATCCTACTTCTAGGCCTCAATAACCTCTCATCTGTATTTTCTTCTTACTGCTTTATTTGCTTTCACTGTTGTCCTCTTACAGCCTGTTCCTCACACAAAATGTAAACTAGTTTTCACTTTTTAGTGTGAATTAAATTATTACATTTCTTTGCTTAAAGTCTTCTAATGGTTTTCATTACAGTATAAAATCTAATCACTGTCTCCTGGTTTACAGGTCACTGTTAGATGTGTCTTCATCTTTATCAATCCCTTCCATATTCATTTAGTCCCCAGAGAGTGATCTTTTTGCTGGTCCTGAAACAGAGCGAGCCTGCCCTTCCTCAAAATATTTTCTTTTGTGTTCCCCTAGATCTTTATTTATCTGAATTCTTTTGCTTGTTTTAGCTCAAATGTTACTTCCTCAGTGAAGTTGGCCTTATTTGATGTCTTTCATCTCTCTCCTGCAATAGCTCTTTATGGCAGCATTCTGTTTCATTTTCTTCACAGAATTTGTTACTATCTAAAATTACAGTATTTATTTATAATGCTCCTAATGAGACTAGGAATTAGCAACAGTTGGTGCACAACACCTTTGAACTTCCCCTGAGAGCGAAATAGCATAATAAAAAAATTATATGATTTGAAATGAGACAGACAACTTTAAATCCCAGTTTTGTTGCCATCTGTCTGTATGACTTTGGGCCAGTTGGTTAATTTTCTGGCTTTTGGTTTTCTCATCTGTAAAACAGAAATAAAAATGAGACATCAAAAGGTCAGTGTGATGATTAAAGAAGATGAGGCTAGTGCCTCAGTGTAGTGAATGGTATGTAGTAGATGTTCAACTTTTCTTTCCCCAAGGTTCTGGTATCTTTCATCTAAAAACATCTGCCCTTTGTTCTCATCTTCTGGCCTAATCTCACTTCCTCATGCTCGGATCAAAGGCCACCGGAAAATTTTCCGGTGGTAGTGATGTCTCTTGAAATGCCCTCCAGATTCCTCTCTGTAAAATGAAGGCAATATTAGTTCTTACTTAATAGGGTGGTTTTGAAAATTAAATACAGTAATACATATTGAACTCATAAAATAGTGCCACCAGGAATTATTAGTGCCGTAAGACGTATTAGTGCAATAGGAAGCACTCAGCAAGTTTTAACTTTACTATTAAACACATTCCTTTCCAAAGTGGGGGTAGAGAGAAACTATGAGTTTTCTACATCACATGGGGGGTCTCATGTAGTGATTCTCAGACTTTAGCGCACAAAATTGATATGGGGGAGATTTGCGAATTGCAGACTCTGTGGCCTCACCTCTAGGCTATCTGATTTCTTAAGTATAAGATATGGTCTATTCACAAAGCATTTGAGTTGATTCTCCACAAATCACACTTAGAAAAAGTGATAAAAATGAACATACCTGATTTTAGTCGACATTAATAATTTACAAGATTTTAAGTGTTTTGTCACCAGTAAAGGATGAGAGAGAGGTATTTTAGATCTTTTTTACGTCCACAAGGTTATAGAATCTCTTTATTTTCTCCTCTGTGAATCTGAAACAGCCAGTGCTACTACCATCATGTATCACCAGTAAAGGAATAGCTACTGATGTAGAATTAAAAGGCAAAAAGGACATGTGAAAATAGGTAGTTATAAACTTTCCAGGATCAAACTGAGGCCTTTATATGAAAGAATTTCAGCAATGAGTGATGTCATGGATTTTCTGTGTATTGTGTGTGTGTGTGTGTGTATATATATATTTGATGTTTTCTTGGCAAATAAAAAGCAACAGTGGCCGGGCGCGGTGGCTCACGCCTGTAATCGCAGCACTTTGGGAGGCCGAGGAGGGCGGATCATGAGGTCAGGAGATCGAGACCATCCTCGTTAACACCGTGAAACCCCGTCTCTACTAAAAATGCAAAAAATTAGCCGGGCGCGGTGGCAGGCGCCTGTAGTCCCAGCTACTCGGGAGGCTGAGGCAGGAGAATGGCATGAACCCGGGAGGCGGAGCTTGCAGTGAGCCAAGATCGTGCCACTACACTCTGGCCTGGGCAAAAGAGCAAGACTCCATCTCAAAAAAAAAAAAAAAAAAAAAGCAACAGTGACTCCTAATGCATCATATACATTTTGAGTCTAATAATTGCTTTTGAGGTATCTCATTCAAACATTTAAAGGTAATAGCAGATGCTGGTTGAAAAGTTAAGCATTAGTCACATCGGTAAAAGGACAATGGTATTCTAAGTTGCCTTTTGATTTCTGTGGCTTTAAAATTTATTCATTCCACATTTTCCCTCTCAAACAGACCTGACAGATGAAAATACCACTTTCAGCTTTGTTGTATTTTTTTCTTACCACAGGCTCCCAAGCATATTATCTTATTGGCTCTCTGGTGGTCTGCCTTATTGACAAATATTGTCTATTTGAAAGCTGGCTTCCATGTTTGCTTAACTTGATTTTGCTTCTGCTGTTGTTGGGGAAGTTAATATTAAGTTAAGCAATAAGAAATAATTCTCTTGAATAGTCTTGTCCTCTAACAGCTCTCATCACTAAGAACATGTTAAGTAGATATCTCTATCATGATTTATAGCTATCTATTGTCTAACATCTATCTATCTGTCATCTATCATCAATATACATTTTGTGTATCTATATACACAAAAATGTGTAGTATTTTGTCAACTTTCTGTTCATCCACTAGGAAAGAAAATGAATAAGTGAATGGAAAAAGGAAGGAACTTACCATATATTTTCCTGTATATAGTGGTTAAGATTATGAATTTTCTCAAGTCTGGTAGACCCAGATTTAAATCTTGGATCTAAACACTGTATGACTTTGGGCAATTATACAAATTATTTTAGGCCCAGTTTCCCTCTGTCTGTTAGAAGGGACAATAATAAAACCTTTTATAAGCAACCTGGAGGGAGTGTGGGGCAAAGCTGGCTGCAGGGACCCGGTGACAGCATGAGAGCTCCAGATCGACTGTAAGAACAAACCAGCCATCCCAAGAGGACCCACAGACCCTCTGAAGGAAGCGGACTGCTCCTGTAGGACCCAGGAGACACCCCAAATACTGTGAGTGCCCCAACTGCGGAAGTGGGAAAGGGAGACCCTACTCTCCCTAACACATGCTCTCGGGAATCAGGCATGCAGACTTCACAGGTTGGGGAAGAACTAAGGCCCTTTTCTTTGGCAGTTGGGAGGTGGGTAGCCTCGGGCAAGTTTTCAAGCCCCTCTCAGCCTCCTCCTGGAAACAGACTTGGGGCTGTTGCAGGGGACATGATGGGAGTGAGACTAGCCCTTCGGTTTGCGTGGGTGTGGCCTGTGACTGCCGGATTTCCCCCACTTCTCTGACAACCTGCATGACTCAGCAGAAGTAGCCATAATCCTCCTAGGCACAAAACTCCAGTGACCTGGTAATCTCACCCCCATACCCCACAGTAGCTGCAGCAAGACCCGCCCAAGAAAAGTCTGAGCTCAGACATGATGAGTGCACCAAAATCTCACAAATCACCACTAAAGAACTTACTCATGTAACCAAACACCACCTGTTCCCCAATAACCTACTGAAATTTTTTTAAAAAAGAAAGTCAAGCACCTGATCAAATATAGGGCTTATTATATTTTTCTCTGTTAACTCACATATTTCAAAATGCGAAGGGAGTGTACAAAGGGTGATGGAGATAAATTTTGACTTCAGGAGCTCTTTCTGTAGTAGAATGACTTGAATAAAATCTTTAAAAGAAATGTGTGAGCAAAAAGAAACAGTGAGGCATTATGGGTAAAAGAGATTCTGAGTAAAACCACAAAGTTAGGAGAGTGAGTGGTATGTTTGGGTAACAGCTGCTTGTGTTGGGTGGCTGAGGTTGATGGCAGAGATCAGTATTAGATAAAACTGAGGCTGTTTACTGGGATTACTCTATAGAATAATAAGAAATATCAATTTTATATCATAAATGGTGAAGATCTTGTTAAGGGTTCCTGAGGAGAGACAGGATATGAGAAAGTTTATACTTTAGAAGGTAGTTGTGATGATATGTAGGGTGGGATTGACGACAGAAAGCAAGATAGGAGTCTAATGCAATAATCTAAGTGTGAGATGGCATAGGCTTGAACTTAAACTATGAGAGAAGAAAAATCAAGGTTAAGAAAATTTAAATGGAAGAGGTGTGTGGAGAAACCGATCCGGTGGTAAGAGTGTGGGCATATTGAGCAGCTGTGATCCAACTGGTAGGAATAAAACAAGAAGAGTGGATAATCACGAGAAGACAAAGATAGACAGAGTCTTGAAAATAAACGTGGCGGGCAATGTTAACAGGAGGACCAAGGCAGTACTATGAAATGTGGGGATTTGGAGTTCCAAAATGACTTTTGCAAGAGTTTCAAGAAGAGCTAGGGGCAATCAAAGTGAAATTCTAAAGACATCTATAAAAATGATTTGAAAACTGATTTGTATATCCCACTTCTTCTGTTAGTAAAGACTTCACGCTTACACAGATTCTTGTCAAACTGTTACAGAGAAATAATTGCAATGTAAATTACCTGCTTTCAAAAAGCATTTTAATTAGATATGATGAGACATTTATTGTGTTTTAATTAAACAATAGGTGATTTGAGGGAAGTATTGTTGAGGTACATTCAGTTTAGAAGAGTTAAATATTATTGCTTTTTAATTATGTCAAAATTACTGAAGCAGTGAATCAAAGTAGACAAAAAGCTCTGAGGAAAGTGTGAAGTGCTGAAGGGCATACTATCAACACTTGCAGTAACATCAGCACTAGCTAGAGGACTCTGTTGATTCTATTTCTGGGCAGAGCAACTGACAACAGTGTGTATAGCAGATGCACTGTATCTCCAGTGTTAAGTCAAAAGCTTTAATGGGCCCCTGTTTTCTTCCAACTCAGTCCTATATTGCTTTTACATCACTCTCTTACTCAGATGGCAGGACGATAAGGCAGTATGCAGTCTTGCCCATAAGCACACTAACACTACCTCTATTTCTGTATTGCTGCCATCTGCTGAGAATTTAGCCGCAGGTCCAAAAACACTCAAAAAAAGGGAACTGGCTGGGTGTGGTGGCTCACGCCTGTAATTCCAGCACTTTGGGAGGCCAAGGCAGACAGATCACCTGAGGTCAGGAGTTTAAGACCAGCCTGGTCAACATGGTGAAACCCCGTCTCTACTAAAAATACAAAAAATTAGCCAGGTGTGGTGGTGTGCACCTGTAGTTCCAGCTACTGGGGAGGCTGAGGCAGGAGAATTGCTTGAACCGGGAAGGCGGAGGTTGCCGTGAGCTGAGATCGCGCCATTATACTCCATCCTGGGCAACAAGAGAGAAACTCCGTCTCAAAAAAAAAAAAAAAAAAAGTGGAAGGGGGGGTGCGGGGAATTGTTAAGTACTTGGAGGATTGGATGTATTTTCAAACTGTTCCTAGGACTCCACATATTCAGGGAAATTGAGCTCTTGAGAATGATGATAAGACAAGAGGAATCTCAGGCTGTTGTTTAAGCACATGCTACCTGCTTAGTAATTGGTATGATAACTATTTCTTATAAAGAATATTTGTGAGTAAATTTTCTTATTATTCCTAGTATTAGTTTCCTATTATTTCCTAAAACTTTTCATTCCACTGGATGAAAAAAAAAAAGACTATATGTAGTTCTTTACCTGGTTCTGCTACAGACCTTAGAAAATGCTTTTGAGCTTTGGGGTGAAGGCTAAGGTATAGTTGTGATCCAATAACACGGCAGAGATAATTGATCCTTACAAAGATTTTTAACTCACAACTTTGCTATTATTAGCACCAGCTGAGCTCACACAATAATCGACAAATTCATTTCAGAATGGTAGCAAGGCATAAAATAATTTTGTCTACAGTCTATCCTTGATCTATCAAGAAAGCCAATGCCAACTTCTAGTTAAACATGGTAGAGTGAATATGCATTAATCTCTGCTCCCTTCTAAAACCCACTAATAGGATAAAACGACATAAATCCACAGGGAAATAGAGAGCAGCACAACAGACGACATGCTAACACAATTTTGGAAGTTGGAAAGCAGGTAAACAAATGGCAAGCCATGGGGCAGAAAGGAGAAAGGTGAAACCTAAGCTTGAGGGGGCAGGACAAAGATTGTGGTGGGACATAAAGTTAAGAAGTCAAAAAAAAAAAGCTAATAGGTACTTTAGAGTTTAGGAAAGAGGTAGAAACTGAGGTACCTTATAGCTCTGTAAGGCAAATGTTAACAGGGTCATGTTGAAGGTCTATTTAAGAAGGACAGCTGCCAAATCGTCTCCCAGACCATGTTCATCCACACCCACACATACTTCTGGGCAGAACACTAGAGATTTATTCTCCAAAGAAGTTTAAGTAGCAGGACCTGGACTTGGAGAAACCAGACAAAGCTGAGGGTAGTGGTCCTATACTGAAAACGGATTAAGAGGGAATCAACATACTACACAATGAGATCCCCAGACCTTTCTGTAATTTAACTCTGGGAAAACCAGCAGTCCAGTTTAAAGTTCTCATGCAGAAATTAGAAAGATTCCTCTTTAGAGAAATTTTCCAGGCTGATAATAAAGGTCTACAGAGAGTAACAATTTAGAGATCCCAATAAAACAGCTATGTACTTATTAAATCAGTGTACAGTGAAGTACATCATTTGATAGGCCCTGCTCAAACACATAAAGCTATTGATAAACATTTTTTGTCTCAATCTTAAATTAAAAATGAATAATCAAGGAATAACATTTGAGGAAAAGCTCCAACATGAAAAGCAGAAATCAAAACAGACAAGTAACTAAGAAATAGAGTGACACATGGAACAGAAAAAAAAAAAAACAAGCCTTAGTATTTTCATAAAATGTTTTAAAAGGGCTATTGAATAGCAGTATATCATAATGATTAATAAGATAAGGATATAGGCTTTTGAGTTAAACTCCTTAAGTTTGAATCCCAACTCTTAACATTTAGCTAGTTCCATGACCAGGGACATGTTACATAAACTCCCTCTTTCTCAGTTTCTTCACGTGTAGAGTGAATATAATAAAAGCACCTCATAGGATTATTGTAAGGATGTAATAAATTAATGAATATGAAGAAGTGTTTACATGAGTTCTTGGTACATAAAAACTTCTCAGTAATTATTCTTAGTTGTTAGGAGTAACAAAACGTGGAGGCCATCTGATTCCTCTCTTTGGAAGATTGTGATTTCATTAGAGAGGTAGTAATTATTAAACTGCATTCAAGAAACAAGAAATGGATTCTAGCAACATAGAAAAAGAGAGTTCAAGAAAGATAGGCTGAGTGTGGCGGCTCATGCCTGTAATCCCAGGACTCTGAGAGGCCGAGGCGGGTGGATCACTTGAGGCCAGGAGTTCAAGACTGGTCTGGCCAACATGGCGAAACCCCATCTTTACTAAAAAGACAAAAATTAGCCAGGCATGGTGGTGCGCACCTGTAATCCCGGTACTCAGGAGGCTTTGAGGCACTAGAATCACTTGAAACTGGGAAGCGGAGGTTGCAGTGAGCTGAGATGTTGCCACTGCACTCCAGCCTGGGCTACAGAGTGAGAAAAAGAAAAGAAAAGAAAGGAAAGGGAAAGGGAAAGGGAATGAAAGAAGAGGGAAGGGGAGGGGAGGGAAGGGAAGGGAAGGGAGAAAAGAGGAAAGAGAAAGCAAGCAAGCAAGCTAGCTAGCTAGCTCTTGGATGTTAACCAAAGCATGGCATAAACGTTTACAAAGTAGTTGGAAAATAAAGTTTAATAACATTTTGATCTGCATTAATTTCCAACCTAAAAGTCTACACTCAGATTGTTAAATATGTGCATTAGAATGAGGATATTTTCAGATATTTGATGTCTTAAGAATTTACCTCTCATGTATCCCTTTCTAGGAAACTCTGGATGATGTACTCCATCAAAATTAGTTGGGAAACCAAGTTAGAAAAGAATATGGGATCCAGGAAACACTGGATTCAACAGAATAGAAAAGAGAAGGGAATTCCCTTGATGTTGTGGGGGGAGCTTTGGGATGAGCACCTCATAGCAAGTCCAGACAGCTACAGTTCAGAACAGAGCAGGAGGGCAGAGAGCTCCCAAAAGAATGACAACCAGAATAAAGAAAGGAAGGAAGGAAGGAAGGAACAGTATGACTATTTGACATGGCTGAGAGGATTTTCATGTCTTTTATAGAGAACTTAGCACTAAATCAGTGAGTTATATTGATGATAAAGTGAATGGAATGGAAAACTAAAATCATGTTGAATTCCAGGTAAAACAAAAAATTGTGAAAAAAGGAGGTAATCACGGCACCCTGCATCCCTTGGCAGTGAATAGTAGTTATATAGCCCTAACAGTTTAAGTACTGAATACTAATTTAACCTAAATTGATTATATAAATCTATGGTGCAGATGGGTCAAGGGGAATGTGTGTGCGTGCGTGTGTGTGTGTGTGTGTGTGTGTGTTGTGTATAAGACAATGTGTAAAAGTGATGAGTTTTTATCTTCCACAGCAGGAAGATAGATGATGGAAAATATACAAAACTGGAAATTTAGGAAAAAACACTATAAGCATGTTATTAATATTTATAATCACAGAGGTAAAAACAAAAAGAAACAGCTCAAATAGATGAACATTTTCTATGGAGAGAAATCTAGGATGTGGTGGAGAGGGGCAGGGGACCTGTTTCCTGTTATAAGCCTTACGGAATGATTGGATTTTTAAACAATGCAAATATACTAATTTAATTAAAAACACCGTTTTTTAAAAAGCAAAAAACAAGATACAGAAAAAAATGAATGCCACATTTCTATTGTTTCTCTGATAGAGGGATAGAAAATAAATATTGGTCTATATTTTGCATCTTTGCATGTTTTTTCCCCTATACTGCAAGGAACTTTTCTTTGTGTGAAGGTGACTTTGAAATCAGTGGGAAATTCTTACTTAAATGTACTGCATGCGGGTGTTGCCCAACCTTCACAATCTGACTCATGAATGGAAAGCAATAAGATGTCAAATGTCCATGCTGTTTCTTCAGAAAACAAGCACTTTTTGAAGTTGCTGTGGTAAGTAATGGACCATTAGCCAGAAATTTCATTTATAGAACATCTTAATGTTCAACTGGTCATGTTAACAAATGCCTCTTGATCATGTTGATGGTGCTATTATATTTTTGTTATTGACATTAAGGACCCATCATAAACTTATTTTCTGGCATAAAGGAAGCCTGCTCCTTCCAAGGAAAACTATTTTCTGTGTCATTGTTTGGAAAAATTACAGTTGTTTATAACTAAATTCAAACCTATTTCTTAGGGAATTTATTAATTTATTATTTAGTGTGTGCTTCTACTTCCAAAACTTTACTGTTAATAAGGTTTTGAAGAATTGCTCTTATATATAAAATAAAAATTTTCTTTAAGATATTTGAATTATTTATGCCTGACATTTGTTTAGCCACTGTGTCCAATTGTATTTAAACTCAGAAAAATATTTTTTGTTATTTATATGAACATTATTAAATACACTCAGAGAAATATAGACTAAATCACAAATAGGATGAGTGTTATGAAATATTTATAACCTGTGTCCGTCTCATACCCGCAGAAAGTATACCGATTTTTAAACTGCATTTTTTGTTTTTAATTTGCAATAGATGTGAAAATCAAACTTTTCAAATTTTTGTGCATTGCTTTTAATTAGTTATTGAAAAATATTTATTTGGCTGCAATGCGTGGTACTCATAGTACTAAAATGGTGGAGATGTGATAAAAAAAATGAGAACTGTAGGATCCCTTCTTCATTCAAGTCAGGGAGAAAGAAAAAAAAGTAAGATGACAATATAAATAAAAGAATTGCAAATTGTATTCAGTGCAGTGAAGGAGACAAACAAGGAGCTAAGCTAAAAGAATAAGGAAAGAATACTTTTAGACCAAGTTTTTAGGAAAGTTCTTTTTGAAGAAGTGACATTTAAACTTAGACCTAAAAATTGAGGAGTTGGCCATGTGAAGATGTGTGTAGTGGTAGTGGAAAGATCATTTCTGACAGAGGAAGTAAAACCTATGAAGAACCTCAGGTGGGAAAATGCTTGGTGCTTTACAAGAAGAGAGTCGAGCCCTCATCTTTTATAAGAGAAAGTTGATAGATAATATCTAAAAGTCAATAATCAATGAACAGCAGTACAAGCGTGTTTATTTCTAAATATGTGGCTGAATACTAGAGCAAGTGTCACAAAAGTGGTTGGAATAGAGTGATCAAGGGGAGGACAGGAAATCAGATTGGAAAGTTGGCAGGGGCCACATACTGCAGGGAATTCTAAGCCCTAGTAAAGAGCTTGATTCTACTCTAAATGCGATGGGGAGCCACTGCTAGATTAAATCAAGGGAGTGACATGAATTGATTTACATTTTAGGAAGATCATTTTTGTTTCTGTGAGTAGAATGGATTGGGGAAAAAACAAGACTGGAAACAGGGAGACAGGTAGGGACATTGTGACACAGAAATGATAGTGACTTGCATGAGAGCAGTGTTAATGCAGATGGAGAGAAACTGATGGCTCAAGATATATTTTGATGGTAGAATAGCAGGTCTTCTTAATTGATTGGATGTAGAGGTGGGAGACAGGGTGGATTTGATGATAACTCTTAGGTTTCTAGTTTGGAGGAGGAATATGATGCCATTTACTTAGATGAAGAAGACAGGATAATAGGGAACAATCAAGAGATTTATATAAAGGATGTTAAGTTTTTGATGTCTGTGAACTATCCAAGTCGAAATGTCAAGGAGGCATTTTATTTTAAAAGACTAAGGCTGTTTCTGATGCTCTATTTCTGGGGAACAATGAACACACTTAACTTTTTAAATTTAGCTCCATACAAGGTAAATGAACTACAAATACCAGTTGCTAACCTTTCATACTTATTATTCAACCATCTATGTTAGGCACTGTAAGAATTGCCTATTTACTTGTCTATCATATCTATCTATCTATCTATGTATTTATATCTATGTATGTATGTATGTATCTATGTATCTATCTATCTCTATCTACTATCTATTCCATCATCTATCTCTAACTATCTTATGTCTATCTAGTTATCATTGAATATAGCTGTATATCCACCTGCTACTAAAATTAATTTGAAATGGCTTATGTTAAAAGACACAAATACAATAGAATTGTTAAACTAAATCATCAGGGTTCCATGGAAAAGTGGGGAAGAAGTTGACAGGGTAACAATTAAGTATGATCCCTGTAATGACTGTATTTTCGGAACTGAAAATCGTTACTTGACACATAATTTGACAAAGGCATTTTTTCTCCATAAATTTGCAAATGTATTTATAGAAAAAGTTTTGCAAAGGTGGAAAAAAGTATATGTGTATGTATATGCATACATGAATATATCTATATATGTATGAGTCAACAACTTGTTTTGAAAAACAAACTTACATGAAGTCAAGATTTCATATATTGTCTGTGAATCAGGTTTCATACTTTTTGGCCAAATAGGAAAAAAAGAATAGTGCTTTCTGAGATGGCTCTACCTAATATTTAGCTCCCTTTTCCTAGCTCATCAAGGTGACAAGTGGTATACCAACGAAACTTTCACTTACCTGAGGGAGAACTTGATGTTCTTTAGTTCACTCATTTCTTTATTCATTCATATATTTAGTCAACATTAATTGATCACTTATTATGTGCCCACTACTTGGCTAGAAAATGGAAATACAGAAATAAATTTATAGTTAAATTCTGTAAAGTTAACTTCAAGGACTTCACAGTGTACTAAAAATGTTATAAGTATAATGGTTGACATTTATTGAGCTCATAATTTGCACTAAGTACTTTCCATATATTGTATCATTTTACCTACATAACAACCCCATTAGACAGTAAATTTATTTTTTAAATGCCAGGAAATAAAGGCACAAGAAGGCCTGGTTTAAGGTCAGATAGTCAGTGATGGAGCTGGAATTCAAATCCAGGCAATGGGTTCCCAAAGCTATGGTCTTCATTACTGTGTTCTTCCTCTTGGATCACTAACCTCAGCTTGTGATATCTAGCTGCTCAGGAAAATGCCTGATAGGACCCAAAGAGCCTGAAGAAGGAGAAGGATGTTGACTAGATTTTGTTAAGAAACTCTTTAAACTATATTGTTTCCCCTTCTTTTGTTCTCTCCCATGTCCCCAGATCTTATCCCAAACTGAAAACTTGTACACACACACACATATACACACAAATCTACCAGTTTCAGGAAATAGAGTCTTATTGACAAAATTGCAACAGAGTAAACACTTGGGGCTTGGGTTGTAAATGCTTGTGGTCTCTTAAGGACAAAACCCAGGACACATTTATGTTGAAGTGATTTCAAACACTAAAATAATTATTATGTTCCTATAACATAAACAAATCTTGGATTATCACGGATTGGAAAAATAGCCTCTAATTAGTTGGAGTGTTCTTTTGTCTGGACAATTAGGAAGGTAACAGGAAAGCCTCACATCTTACTCCAAATCACTTTTCCCACCTTTTATCAAGTTGCCTGAGATTACATTTTCAGTCATCATTCCTTTGGAAAAAAGTATTGCCATTTCCAAACATTAAGCAAGTACTTTGTCAGCTTTTTGGAGTGTGTGAAACTATTGGATGACTATCTTTTCAGAGAACAAGGATCAGAGGGAACGGCTGCTGTTGTAGTGGCAGGTGTGGGGTAGTAAGGTATCTTCAGAGCTTGCATATTTTGCCTATTTTCAAATGCCTCCTAGGGTTGATTTATACTGCAAAACATAGAAGGGTCATCAAAAAATAGCCTAAATTTCTCTCATAAATGTATGTACAAGATTAACCATTGCAGCTTTATTTGTAATAATAGAAAAAGATGAAACCAATCCATATCCTCATCATAAAGGGATTGTTACATAAATTATGGCACATGTACACAGCAGCTGAAGAAAAGAATGAGGAATATATATACTCTATATAATATATAGAATGAGGAATATATATATATTCTATATACTGATACCGAAAGATCTCTAACATACCTTGTTACGTGAAAAAGGCAAGAGTCAGTACAGTGTTTATAATATTCCATCTATTTTTTTTGTAAGAAAGTGGTGAAATGAAACTATATATTCCTCTTTTCTTATATTTGTGTAAAGAAATACCGCAGTGATAAATCATCAATGGATAGGGGCAGCAACAGGAAACGAGTGAACTAGGGTAGGGGTGGGAGACAAACTTCTCCAATTTATTTTGAACCACATGAAAGAATTACCCATTCAAACTATAAAAATACCAAAACATTAATTGCACCATGAAATTTCTACCTAAGGAACGCTTTTACACTGTTGGTGGGAGTGTAAATTAGTTCAACCATGGTGGAAGACAGTGTGGCGATTCCTCAAGGATCTAGAGCAGGAAATACCATTTGACCCAGCAATCCCATTACTGGGTATATATCCAAAGGATTACAAACCATTCTACTGTAAAGACACATGCACACCTATATTTATTGCAGCACTATTTACAATAGCAAAGACTTGGAACCAACCCAAATGCCCGCCAATGATAGACTGGATAATGAAAATGTGGCACATATACACCATGGAATACTATGCAACCATAAAAAGGAATAAGTTCATGTCCTTTGCAGGGACATGGATGAAGCTGGAAACCATCATTCTCAGCAAACTAACCCAAACACCGCATGTTCTCACTCATAAGTGGGAGTTGAACAAGGAGAACACATGGACACAGGGAGAGCCTTAGGACAAATACCTAATGCATGCAGGGCTTAAAACCTAGATGACGGGTGGATACGTGCAGCAAACCACCATGGCACATGTATACCTATGTAACAAACCTGTACGTTCTGCACATGTATCCCAGAACTTAAAATAAAAAAAAAATTCTACCTAAGAAAATATATATATTTTAGATGAAGCAATGCAGTTTGGGGGTAAGAGTCCTGAACTTTGTATCAGAATATCTGTGAAGAGATGAATTAATTTTGAGAGAAGTTACTAAGAGGCACTGTCATGTAGTAATGTTTAGCATGGGCTATGGAGATGGACTGCCTGGGATGAAATTCTGGCTATCCAATTCTTAACTAGGGATTAAACGAGATAATGTATGGAAAGAATCACCTGGCATAGATTAATTGCTCATTATAAAATATAAGATGTCCATCTGTTTTAAAAAGAATAATTGGGGATACTTTAGACCTTAGGGTAGAGCATAAGAGTAATAATTTTGGAAAGAGTTGACTTAAGACCAGGCAATATAATTCGAATTTCAAGAAGCGATTCCCAAACTTGGGACTAATGCTGAGATCAGAAGCTACTTATAGCTGGCCTACAACCATCTTCTACCTGAGTTCCTACTATAATTCCAGTTGAATGTCTTTTACTACGACCGTACAGGTTGCCAAATTATCTGCAAACCAACAGGGAGAACCATTTCCATAGGATCATGTCTGTCTAACAAGTATAGTCCTACCTTGTTGCAGCCAGAATAAATCTGATGTCCCATGGTGACTAGAGTCTCCGTACCCTGTGTTGACAACAGCTAATGGGATGAGTGTGCATTTTTGATGCTGAGCAAAGATATGAGGGGTGCATGGAAGCTCTCTGTACTATTTTTGCAAAACATTTGTAAATCAAAAATTATTTCAGAATAAAAATTTAAAAATATATGTAGCTTCACAAAATCGGGATATACAAATGCTACAAAAACATAATAAAACATGCTCAAGCTCATGAATAAGCATGGAAATATATATTAAAACAAAAATGCTTATAAGAAATTTACTGGCATTTTTGAGATGGATACCATAGATACAATATTTCTAACCAACAAAATTACACTGAGACTTTGGTCTCACCCTGGTATTCTAAAGGGAGAAATGATAAAGCTGGGATATCAGTTTCTTGCTTCTCAGACAGTGAAGAAATCAGGAACTGTCTATTTTTCTTTTTTTAATTTTTTTTTGCAATGAGCACATATCTCCTTCAGTCCAACTAGAATGATTTTTGTCTGAAAGTGCTTTTGTTAATTTGACATACTTAAAAAATTTATTTTGCTTTATTTTCCAAAAAGGCAGTAACAATGTAATTGAGATCAGTTAATCAGTGGTAAGAAAGATAATTGCTATAGTTTTCCGATAATAGTCTCCCTATTGTAAGTAAAGTGTTATTTCAACTGTACCAGAACTAATGTAAATATTGCCATTTACATCAGTAGATATAGACAAAACCATGATTTAAACAAATGGAAATCACTGGTATGGAAAAGAAAACTTATTAAAGTAAAATAATATCTACCAATTGTATGAACTTTTCCATGTACTCTCAAAGAGTTTCTTTCAGAAGATATTTTCAAGTTAACAGCAGTCATAACAACAAAATAAAGCCACATTTGGCAGTAATGTGCCTGGGTTTAAGCTTAACATAAATGTAAACCTTGAACAGCTTTACCTCTCTGGACTCCAAGATATCATCATATGTAAAGGAACCTATTATTTCTTTGGAGGGAAAAAAGAGTTTGGATGAGGAGGCTATAGTGAGAAGGACCCACTAGTTCATGTTGTCTGCTTGATGTTAATCTGCTTTCTCTCAGGGATTCTCAACCAAGGTCCTCCTACTTCTGTATTACCCTTGCCCTTTAGGTAGCACCCCAGATACCTCACAGGTTTTAGGTTGATAAGTGGCACTTATGACATGGCCTGATACGTTTTATAATAAAAATTCCCTCTTTGGTGGCACTTTTAAGTGCTAGTTAGGGTTCAAATCCAATCAATAAATGTTGTAATAGAAATTCCCTCTTTGGTGGCATTTTTGAGTGCTAGTTAGGATTCAAATCCAATCAATTGACTGATGACTCATTAGAAATGTATTGTCTCTCTAATTAGCACATAAATACTTTCCTTCCATAATACTGCCACTTCTCTGATTACTCTTTCATTATCAACCTCTGGCTGGTGAAGCTCCTAGTCTTCTGGAAGTCTTAGAAGGTGAGTTATGTATTAATATTATTTCTACCCTTAATGTTTGGTGATGGTCATATCCTTATCACAGCCATCCAGTAACTTCCTGTGTGAGGAATCACAGGGGAGGCAGTGCTTTGGGGAAGTCTCTTTAGGGTCTATAAAACAAGAGTTCCCTTGTTTTCCTCCTAAGTTGAATAGCTCTCCTTTACCCTAGAAAGGTAATGGTAATTAATGGACTCTGGAGCAGACTGTTCCTGCCAGCCTGCCGGCCTTCGAATCCTGGATTTACCAATTAGAAGCATTCTATTAATGCTCTTGTGTGTTTTCCTTATCTACAAAATAAGGGTGCTGATATTAGAGTTTTGTGATGATTAAATGAGTTAATATGTGTTCAGGACTTAGAACAATGTCTGGCAGATAGTTAATACTATTCAAGTGGTGGTTGTCACTGTCATTGCAATTATCATCTACATTTAGGGCTTCCTTTTTAAACAATATTTGTGGAAAGAATTTCTCTGTTAAAGTCTTTGAAAATCCTTAGAGTAAGTGATGGCTCAAGGCTCTTCTTGGACTAACATTCTATTGCCTTAACTTACTTTAGGTCACATTTTTCTTTCATGGTGAGCTGGTAATTATATTAAGATGATGTGATTTGATGTGAGCAGCTTTCAAGCACAAGAGTGGTAATACGAAAGGATTAGTACTAAAGGTTTGTTGCCTTTTAATTAAATTATATAAACCAAATCAAAAACGGAATTGCCCCAATAGTGCATTTTAAACTACTTTCAATTGAAGAACATATTCTGCTTTAACTGCTCCTTCTCCATGACAGATTTTAGTCCAATGCAATGAAAGTTAGCTAAAGGATATCTGTAGCCTCCCAAATTAAGTTTGTATGATCCTTACTTAAATTTGTTACTTCAAAACACTCTTCATCATATTGAAGGCAAAGCGATACCAGAGCTAAAACGTTAATGAAAAACCTAATTAACTTGGCTAGGTAGCTTTCTGCTGTCAATTTTACTAGGGCAGATAACTTACAGAGCATCAGATAATGAAAATGTTGATTTGGACAGCAACAGACACTTAGCCAGAGGAGCATTAAGAAATATCATAAAATTGGTGCCTCAGAAATCCCCTCTAAAACTCATCTATGTCAGCCTCCTACTTCCCAGCTCTCTGAATGCCACTGCTGAGCATGACCTCTGCCTGCAATGTGCTTTCTTTAATTTTAATGCTAGAGATACAATTATAAAGAGTAAAAATAAAAAAAATCTATGTTTTAAAAAGTAAGTCTGTGGATACAAATGTAAACCTGTGTGTGTGTGTGTGTGTGCATGCATTTGGACATAAACGGAGGATTAGCTTAGAAAAATTACTGGCTGTGTCTTACTCAAAATCAACTTAGTAGATGATATGATATAACCAGACATTCAACTTTTTAAGGGTCTCATTGAGGATGATTCCTTCTGATCTTTATTGGATTATTTAGAAGCTGTACATGCTAGAAAGGCAAGAACATTTAGGTTGACGGCTCACCCACAAGGCCCTAATAAGTTGTCCTTATGTGAATGTAAAATGGTCATGGTCTGTATGGAAATTAAAATATTCAAATAATACCTTCTAACTGTTGCGATGAAAATGTATTGTCATACTCATATAATATTTTATGTGTGGGAAATCAATACACACAGTGGTTTGTATTCAAGAAACCTGTAGATATTAATATGTATCAAGTTGTTGCTGCTTACTTTACTTATTGAATCATTTAACCAATATTTATTGAATGCCTACCATGTGCCAGGCACTATGGTAGTGCTACAGATATCGTGGTGAGTAAAACGGTTATAATTCCTATTCTCGTAGAGATTACATTGTGGTGTAAGAAAGTAGCAAGAAACAAGGTGTAAGAAAGCAGCAAGAAAGTGCATATATAGATCAGTGTGCAGGTGCTATAAGAGTAATAGAAACACCTACTTTAGATACAGGGTCATGGCAGGTCATCCTGCAGAAGTGTGCTAAAACCAGATGAAGAATGGGTGGACAGAGTTTCAGGCAGAGACACAGTGTGTGCAGAGGCCTGAAAGGGGCAAAGGGCTTGGCCTATCCAAGGAACGAAGACAAGTGTGGCTGATGCCAAATAAGTGATGGAATAGAAGCCTGGGATGAGACTGGACTGCAGACAAAGGCTAGATCACTCAGAGGCTTGCAAATCCACATTAAAAAGTCTGGATTTTACTCAAAATGAATTAGAAGCAAGTAGAGTTTTACAAAGAGTTACATAATGTAATTTTATATTCAGGATCACTCTGGTTACTCTATGTATAATAGAAGAGATAGTCCAGAGAGGAAGTAGGGAGACCAGTTTGGAGGCTTTTGCTGCATTCCAAGTGGTGACAGTGTCAGTGGGAATGAAGAAGCAAGTTGAAGATATATTTTGGAAGTGGAATAAACTGCATTTGGTAGTGGAATGAGTGTGGGGTGGGAGGAGGAGAAAGAGGGAGGTGTCTCTGTCTTGAGCAACTGGGCAGATGGTGGTATTATTTACTGTGATGTGGAATATTTGCATAAGGACTGTGTTCAGGAGAAATGTTAAAGAATTTGCTTAGGACATGTTAAGTTTAAGATGCCTGTGAGACATCCAACCCACTTGAAATTCCTCCTGTCTGGACGAGACTTGATCACTAAAGCAATTATTCAAGTTAGGCCATAGTTGCAGTTCTGTAACAAAAATCCCTTCCCCAGAAGATGTGTTTCTCACAGCCATCTTTGGCAAATGGCAGTTTTATTAGTAACAGAAAAACTACACTTACATCACATGCTTGTTGTAAACATAAAGGGCTAAGTACTCCAAGCACTTACTATGTATATACTGTTAGGCACCTTAGAAACATTAGGCTGCAACTGAGCTTCAAACTGTATGGGGCTGGCAGTGCAATGTGATCCCAATTTGACAGATGATAAAGATGAGTTTCAAAGAAATAAGTAGTTTTCCTATGCTTATACATCTACTATGTGATAGTGATATGTTTGAAATGGATAAAAGTATTAAAGTATTATCATATACAGTCTGTCTGCCTTATTTTTTAGTTTTTTATTGTGGTATAATATACATAATATAAAATTCTAATCTTAACAATTATTAACTATTCAACTCAGTGCCATCAAACGCATTAACAATGTTGGAAAACCATCACCACTATCCATTTTCAGAACTTTTTCATCATCCCAAACAAAAACTCTATACTCATTAAGCAATAACTCCCATTCTCTCTTCTCCCTGTCCCAGGTAACCTCTAATCTACTTTCTGTCTTTATGAGTTTGCCTAATTTAGATATTTTATGTTAATGAATTTATGCAATTTCATATTAATGAATTTATTCTTCTGCGTCTTCTGACTTATTTCACCTAGCATAATGTTTTAAAACTTTATCCATGTTGTAGCATGTAGCTATTGTGAGTAGTGCTGCTGTGGACGTTGATGTACAAGTATCTGTTTGAGTTCATGCTTTCAATTATTTTGGATATGTTCCTAGGAGTGGCATTGCTGGATCACATGGTAATTCTATATTTAACTAACTTTTTGAGGAATCATCATAGTGTTTTCCACAGTGGCTGTGCCATTTTGCATTCCAACCAGCAATGGATAAGGGTTACAATTTCTCCACATCCTCGCCAACACTTGTTATTTTAGATTTTTTAAATAAAGCCATTCTCGTGGATGTGAAGTAGTATCTCATTATGGTTTTGATTTGCATTTCTGTAATGACTAATGGTGCTGGGCATTTTGTCATATGCTCCTTGTCTATTTGTATATCTTCTTTGGAGAAATATCTGTTCAATGTCTTCATTTTCATTGGAGAAATGCCTGCCCAATTTTGAATTGAATTATTTTTGTTGATGTGTAGGTGTTTGTTATATATATTCTGGATATTAACCTCTTGTTATGTATATACCTGCAGATATTTTCCCTAGGTCTTTACCTGTTTTCGAAATGGGAATCTGTGCTTTTATAGCCACTGGGCCTTTACTGTATGGATCTAAGAAATGGATGGAGAGGAGAATTGAAGAAGCCAAACAAAGGATAAATTGGCTTATGGAAAACTCAAAGAAATACAAGGAAAAAGTTAAATGATCCAGAAGGTGAAAGATGAGGTCAGGGATAGAGAAAGGAAGAGTGAAGGGAGAGAAAGGTGATTAGAGTAAATTATGTGAGGAGAGAGGGAAGAAAGATTGGGCATAGAACTTTGGTGTAGAGTATTTTTTGAAATATAACTTATTTATTGAAAAAGCCAAACTGTATAAATTATAAACCTTAAACAATTTTATTATTTCTCCCTGTTGAAGTTATGAGGTGACCTGAATTTTCCCCATCTGGATTTTGAATTTATTAAAATATTTATAGATACAAATAAGAAAAAAATAAATACATCATCTCTATAATTAGTAAAGCTGATATTCGATATCGTGGCTTGTATGTGTGGGCAAGAAGCCTTTCTTTTACAATACTCCAACATTAGAAAAATTTATCCTCCCAGCCACAGGAAGCATTGGAAAACCTTAGACTACCCCTTATGGGGGATCTGGCCATGCTTAAAGCTTATCGCATAAAGGAGTTGACCAGAATATGTACTTCATAGTGGGTGCAGGATCCCAAGTGAAAAAGGAGAGGCAGAGGCTGAGTGATACATGTCTGGTTCCTTATTCCAAATTCACCAATCACATAAGTCACAACTCTTATCCCCGAGAGTAGACTGAATGAGGAGGATGGAGAGAGCTCAGGGATGTTTCTTTAAATTGATCTCCTGCTACATAGAAGAAAACATTAGAGGGGAACAGAAGCATTCCTCTTTAAAATGCAGCACTGGCCCTCCAACTCCAATTTGTTGAGTAGTTCTTTCCTGCTCCTTTTATTACATTCTAGGGAGATATCACAGCTTTTCTGGTCATTCTTGCATAACAAAACTCCAGTACAGCTGATGGAATATTCTTATTTATCTTGGTATTTACCTGTGTGACTTTGGATATTAGGAATCCAGGAAACAACTTGGAGTTGAAGTAACTATGAATATACTAAAGGACCTATATCCCATTTATGATGTGAAGGAACCCAACACTAGCACAGACTAGCTCTCTGATATCACCTATATAATGTGAATAGGGGTTCAAGCCACCTATATAAGACCAGGCATTTCTACAGAAGCTCCTAAGTGAAAAAAAAGTACAAAATTATTAAGCAAGGGGGGAGGGTAAAGGGGAAAAGAGATAGAAATAGATGAGTACCCTAAGTACAATGAATCTATAAGTCACACATAGCATAAATAAAGCTAGGAATAGTAGCCCAAATATCCACAGTTGGAGGATACATTTGTTTTATTTAAAATAAAAATTTTAAAAAATTGGGAAAAGATTTAAATTAAGTGTATAGTTAGGATCCACAAAGACATAAATGAATATTCATAAACAGAATTGTAAAATATATATGAAAAATAGGGAGAATAAAATATAAACAGAATGAGATAAAAGGGACCCTATTAGAAATTTTAGAAATGAAAAAATATTATTATCGAACTGACAATTCAGTAGACAAACTCTAAACTGGACACAAACAAAGAGGGAATGCATGCAATCAAATATGTGGCCAAGGAATCTACTTAGAATGCAGCACATAAAAATATAAAAATGATGAAAGATAAGTTAATAAAAATAGAAGATAGATAGTTTAACAGATTCCACTATGAGTCTAATCAGATTTACAAAATAAGGGAAGAGAGAGAATAGCAGAGAAACAACATTCAAGGAGGTTTTGCAGACGACTTCCAGAATTGAAGAAAGGCATGGGTCCTCACTCAAAAGTTAACTGTAAATAGCAAAATAATTAAAACTAAATTTGTAAATATATACAAGTTAATGAAACTGCTGATGACCACTGCCGAATATTAAGGATAGAGGGAAATCATTTAAAACTAACATACATAGAAGTCAATGATCTACAAAAGAACAATAATTTAACAGCTGGATTTCTCATCAGTATGAAGAGATACCAGAAGTACATGGTATAATATATTCAGCCCAACAACTACCATCCAAATGCAAAGATAAAGACATTTTTAACAACAGAAAGAATAAGATGTATAGCCATAAAAAGACTCTTGTAGAAAGACACTCTAAAGGATGTCTTCCAACAAGAAAAAAGGTGAAAGTAAAGATGTGGAATGCAAAAAACAATTGCAAGCCATGAATGATGATATTTTAGTAAATTTAATTCATGACCGAATAGAAAATAGCATTTTGCAGGAAGGGGAACATCACACTCTGGGGACTGTTGTGGGGTGGGGGGAGGGGGGAGGGATAGCATTAGGAGATATACCTAATGCTAAATGACGAGTTAATGGGTGCAGCACACCAGCATGGCACATGTATACATATGTAACTAACCTGCATATTGTGCACATGTACCCTAAAACTTAATGTATAATAACCTGCACAATGTGCACATGTACCCTAAAACTTAAAGTATAATATAAATAAATAAATAAAAATTAAGCTTATTATTCTGATATAACTATAGATTAATTAACTATAATTAATAAGCAGTTATAAGAAATAATATAGAGAAAGGATTTTGAACGTTCACAATATGAAGAAATAAATGTTTGAGGTGATGGATATGCTAATTACTCTGATTTGATGATTACACATTGTATGTGTGTATTGAAATATCACTCTGGGCCGGGCACGGTGGCTCATGCCTGTAATCCCAGCACTTTGGGAGGCTGAGGTGGGTGGATCTCTTGAGGCCAGACATGGTGAAACCCTGTCTCTACTAAAAATACAAAAATTAGCTGGGCGTGGTGGCTGATGCCTGTAATCCCAGCTACTCGGGAGGCTGAGGCAGAAGAATCACTTGAACCCGGGAGGCAGAGGTTGCAATGAGCCAAGATTGCGCCACTGCACTTCAGCCTGGGAAACAGAGTGAGACTGTTTCCCAGTCTCAAACAAAAAAAAAAAAAAGAAAAGAAAAGTCTGTCTCAAAAAGAAAAAGTCTGTCTCTCAAAAAAAAAGTCTGTCTCAAAAAAAGTCTGTCTCAAAAAAAAGAAAAAAGAAAAGAAATATCACTCTGTATCCCATAAATATGTACAATTATTACATGCCAACTAAAAATAAAAGGAAAAAAAGAAAGAATTCAGAGAGATCCCGTTGTACCTTTTATTCAGTTTTCTCCAATAGTAACATCTTGTACAATATCATAACCAGGATACTGACATTTACTGATCTTATTCAAAATTCCCTATTTTACTTGTACGTGTGTGTGTATTTACTTCTATACAATTTATCATGTTAGGCTTGTGCGTCTATAACCACAGTCAAGATGCAGAACAATTCCATTGCCACAAGGATCCTTTGTGTTGCCCTTTTAAAAATCACAACCCTTTCTTCCTCACCCTCCTCCCACGTGCCCATCCATCTTCATGGCCTTCACTAATCTGTTTTCCACGTCTACATTTTGGCTTTTCAAAAATGTTCTATACATGGAATCATGCTGTTGAAGGACATCTGGGTTGTTTCCAGTTTTGGCTATTATGAATAAAGCTTTGTGTACAGGTTTTTATGTAAAAATCTATGTTTTCCTTTCTCTGGGACAAATACCTGAGTGTCATTACTGGGTTGTATGGTATTTGCATGCTTAATCTTGTAAGAAACTGCCAAATTGGTTACTAGAGTGTGAATCATAATTTTAAACACATTGTATTATAACTATTTCTCCAAATAATTAAATTATCTTAAAAAACAACAAAATAATAATAATAATAATAATAATAATAGAAAAAAAGAAAACAGCATTTTGCAATTAAATGAAAGATAAAACTAAAATGGTAGACAACAATAGCAACAATAGGGGATTGAGTGCATGCTCTTCAATATGTTTAGTGATTACTTAAAGGAAGCCAAGATTAGTATGTTTGTGTGTGTGTGTGTGTGTGCATGTGTGTGTGTGTTTATGGAAGAGGAAAGGTGTACCAAATAATGTTAGACACTATTGAAAACAGTTTTAGGTAAAGATATATGGAAAAATAAAGTCTATTCATAAAATAGAAATGTAATCCACATATTTATTTCATGATAGTTGAGGTAAGAGAAAAGCTTACAGAAAACTTTAAGAATAAAAAAATCAGTAAAGGGGGCAGATGAAATATAAAGAGAGGATAGTAAAAAGAAAACATTTTTAAAAAGTGGGTGAAATGTATAACAGATATGAAATTATAGCTAGATAAGAGGGATGATTTCTGGTTCTCTGCAGCACTGTAGACTGAGTACAGTCAACAATAATTTATTGTATACTTTCAAAAATTCGAGGATTTTGAATGTTTACAACACAAAGAAATGATAAATGTTTGAGGCAATGGATATGCTAGTTACCCTGATTTGATCATTATACGTTGTATACACTTATCAAAATATTGCTCTGTATCCCATAAATATGTGCAATCATTATGTGTCAACTAGAAACAAACAAAAAAAGAGAGGTAACTAAGAGTATCAGATTGGGGATGCAAAATTCAGTTATATTCTGCATAAAAGACAGACCCAAAACACAGTTTAACTTTGGGAAATGGAGATATTAGAAGAGGTATATAAAACTGTCATTACTTACACTTGATATGATTACCTACATTAAAAAACTGAAAAAAAACTACAGAATTAATTAATCTACAGAATTAATAGAATTAATAAGACAGTTTGGCAAGTTTGTTGGATATAAAAATCCATAAAGTACATTTATATTCTCCACAATATATAAAAAGATACTATGATTAGTAGGATAAAGTATTTTAAGATATTTTAAGATTACAAAAGTTTCTAAATTATATGTAAGGGCAAAGGCCAAGGACAGTCAAGACACTGCTAAAGAAAGAGGTCATGTTGGAATGCCTTGCCTTACCAGATGTCAATAATTATTATGAAACTATACTAATTAAGACTGTGGTATTTGTGGTATCTGCACAGGGATAGATAACCTGACTATAGGAACCAGATAGAGTGCCCAGAAAAAAAGTCATGCATATGTTGTAGTAAACAGTATTATTCCTCCCTCAAATTCCTTCTCTTGCTATAAGATTATATATTTCCACTCGTGGCCATATAACTTGCTGTGCCTCCCTGGGAGAGGAGTGAACTCCTCCCTACTCCCCCCATACCCTGCCATTGATGTTGGGCTTCGCCTACCTTGCTTTGGCCAATAAAATGCTAGCAGAGGTGACATCACACCTGACAGAAACTTTAATCATGGTGAGTATATAACTATAATGACAGAAATCTCATTGCGAGGTTTGACAATTCTTTTCCTTCTGCCAAAAAAAAATGTCATATGCCTAATAAGGACTGCTCTTTCAGTTTTAATCCTGAAATAAAGAAAAAAGAACTGTAGATGGAACCCAGTGCTGACATGCTGTCAGTATGTAGTGTGAGCAAGAAATAAGCTGCATAAGCCACCATGATTTGGGGATTGTTTGTTAGTGCAGCATAACTTAGTGAGAACTTCATGTGTGACAGAATCAGCATTCCAGTTCAATGGGGGAAAGGATGAACTTTGCAATAGAAAAATATGACATTATTACTCCTGTATCACTTTGTATATAAAAATAGATACTGGGTGTATGAAAGACTTCAGGCTAATATTACAAAAACTTTTAGGTGACAATCTAAGGGAAAAGAAGTAGATATAATAGAGAAAAAGTAGATGGACTACATCGAGATTAAAAGTTTCTGTTCAGCAAACAAGACAAAAACTGGAAGTTACGTGCAACACATATCACTCAGAAGGGACTCATATACAGGTCATAAGAAAAAGCAATCCACTTGAAAAATGAGCAAATGTCTTCAATAGTCATTGCACAGAAGAGGAAACCCAAGTGGCCAATAAACATACAAAATGATGTTCAGCCTCATTAAATTAAAATCACAATGAGATACCATTTCACATTCCTCATTTGGCAAAAATATAAAAGTTTGAAAGCTGTTTCATCCCTGGGTGTTTTCTCTGCAGGGGTTGGTACTTGGGTCATGGGCAAGTATGTCCTATGGCCTGTTTTGGTAAGGTTCTGCACACTAAGAATGATTTTTAAATTTTTAAAGGGCTGTAGAGAAAGAGAGAATATGTGACTGAGATCACATGTGGTCTAAAAAGCCTAAATTGTTTATTGTTAGGCCCTTTAAAGGAAAAGTTTGCCAACCCCTGAGAGGAACTCGTGTGTGTGTGTGTGTGTGTGTGTGTGTGTGTGTGTGTGTGTGTGTGTGTGTGGAGAGAGAGAGAGAGAGAAAGAGAGAGATTTATAAAAATATTCCTACAAGCACTATTTGTTAATGCCCCTAATCTAGAAACAATACAAATGTTTATCCATAGTAGAATAGACAAATTGTTGCATATTCATGCAAGTGGCTATATTCAGCAATGAAAATGAATGAACTGAGTTGCATACCAACATGAATGAATCTCCTAGTACTAATGTTGAGTGAGTCACAGAAGAAAGTTACACAAGAATATATACAATATAAGTTCACTTATCTAACATTAAAAATATAAAGGATTAAATAATATTTTAGGATTCAAATATAACTAAACAAGTTAAAACACAAAATTCAGGACTGAGGCTACTTACATGAGGAGAGGGGAGGGATGGGTAAGGCTTCTTTTGATAGAATTTAAAGCACAAAGCATTAACTGAAATAAGTGATATCACATAATAACAGGAAAAAGCCACCAATAAGATATAACTGGTATAAGCTTTTATGCACTGAAAAAACATAGCTTCAAACATATACATAGTATTAACAAATTTAAAGTAGAAATTGGTAAAATTGTATTACAGTGAAAGAGTTTCACACATATCTATCTGAAACCAGTAAATCGAGCAGGCAAAAAATTAGTAAGTATTTAGAAATCTAAAAAAAAGGCAATTAGCAAGCTTAATCTAACACATATATACATTTCTTCAGAGAAGAAATGCATAATATAATTTGTGAGCTTGATTTTCAAGCTTGCATATAAAATTTACAAAAATATATTATGTTTCAGATCCTGCAAAAAATCTAAACAAATTTTTAAAGAGCCAATATCATGCAGGCAGCTTTCTCTGAATGAATTTCAGTTAAAAGATAGAATATATATGTGTATATATATATATATGATTAAGAACCACGTGCTTGGAGATTAAAAATATGAATTATTAAATAACTTTAGGAATAAGAAATCAGAGGAAATCATACATATTTAATAGTAGATAACAATAAAAATAAAAATTCCAGCATGATATGCATAGGAAAGTACCATTTATGTAAATTAAAAATATAAAACATTAGCACATATTTTAGAGATGAATACTTATGTAGCCAATATATGAAAACAAATTAGAATTGTATTTATCATCCTTAGTATTGAAATGGGGGAATGGAAAATAATGGGATTTGAGAGATACACCCAAGAGGCTGCAATTCTGTGTTTTTTTAAAGGTACAAAAGACATGAAAGAGTTAAAATTTATTTAAGCTGGGTAGTGATTAAACATTCTATTATTATCTCTACCCTTCTGTATGTTTGAAATATTTCATGATAAAAAGAAACATAAAATAAGAGAAGGAAAATGCACTGTGCATAAAATAGTACATATTTTTTTTGTTTCTAGTGTGAATAAGAGATAATAAATGTAATTTTTTAGAACTTTTTCTCTCTGGGAACAAGAGATTGCCTTTGAAAACAAAAGGGACTTTAAACTGACGCATGCTGTAAGGAGATAGCAAATGTGATACATTTTATGTTTTCTTGAAGTGTTTGTTGCTTTTTATCTGGTGGATGTTTTATAATCCCTCTCTGGTGAACTAGGTTGGGCAGTCTACCTGGATATAGCTGAATATAGCAAATATAATGGAGATACCTATTTGGCTTAGTTTGTGGATAGCTTTGGGTTAAGCTTTGTTACACTAAAATCCTGGCCAGAGTGAGTCCTACTGGAAAGCGGGCAGTAAGCTGTGGACACCGAGAGAAAGCTCTATGTGGGTTCACTTTCTCATGCCTCCTCTTATTATTGGTAGTCAAATGACAAGGGTATGGTTTTAGGGGGATGGTGCCAAGGAACAGGGCACTTGACTTGCTTCTACCTCATTCCTGAGCCAAAGGTCAAAAGGAGTTTGTTTAGCTTCTACTGGTTCAGCCCAGCTCAGTGGATAGGTGGATCATTATGTGGTACTGGATAAGGTCTTAGTTAATAAAAAGTACGGATTTTCTTGGTTTCTTGGTACTTTGTAGCTTGTGAATATACTGTGGCAATAGACAGCTAGTTGAGAATTCAGGAATGTGGGATATGATCAGACATCTGTTTCATCTCAAAGCATGATGAAGGGAATCTACTATCCCTTTCTTGTTGAATTTTCTCTCCTGTCTTGGCTAGGGATCTACTTACCTTTTCAGAATGTCCTGCACTCTCACAGTTCCATTTCATTCTCTCCCTCTGATTCTTCATCTTCTAACCCCTCACTAAATATTTATGTCCTCTAGGGTTTTTCAGCCCTCTCCTCTCCTCTCTCCTCGCCCCTACCTACCCCCCGCCCTGCTCCTCGCTCCTCCCCTCCCCTCTCCCCTCCCCATCCCCTGTCCCCTCCCCTCTCCCCTCCCCTCTCCCCTCCTCTCTCCCCTCCCCTCTCCCCTCCCCTCTCCCTCTCCCATCCCCCTCCCCCTCCCGTCCCCCTCCCCCTCCCCTCTCCCCTCCCCCTCCCGTCCCCCCTCCCCTCTCCTCTCCCCTCCCCCTCCTATCTCCCCTCCCCTCCCCTTCCCCTCTCCCCTCCCGTCTCCCCTCCCTTCTCCCCTCCCTTCTCCCTTCCTCTCCCCCTCCCCTCCCATCCGCTCCCCTCCCTTCCCCTCCTCCTCTCTCTGTACTTTTTCTGTGGGTGGTTTCACGTCCCTTCCGCATTGAAGCCTAAATGCTCTATCTTTAGGCATAGCTTCAGACCTGCATACCCAGGAGGGTGTTGCACAAATTATCCCAAACTCAATTCATTACTGCTGCAAACCTGACTTCATACTTTTTAAATTTACATTCGTTTTGCTGATGAAAGATGTAGCTATCTATTAAGTAAATCAGGTTAGTAACCAAGGAGTTATAGTTGCTTGATTCCTTTCCTCACTCAATATGAAGTCATTCTCTGGGTTTTGTTTTTATTTCTTCAGATTCTTTCGTGTTGCTTATTTTCCATCTCTACTCCTTCTTCCCTAGTTCAGATTCCTAGCCTTTCCTACCAGCTTTCTAATTGGTCTCTACATCTCCACTGTTTTCTATAACAAATCCATTCCTTACATTTATGCCAAAGTAATCATTCTGAAACATGTCTTAGCACATAATTCATTTGATTAAACATTTTTAGGGCCTCTTTATTATCTACAATATAAACTCTTTCTTCCTTGCCTGGCATTGAAGACTGATCACTTGACCCTGGCCCGCCCTTGATTCCTGGCATTTAATTTGCCCCGTTTCCTTATCATGCAAACTCTGTTTCAGCTCTACTACACTAATTGCTGTTCTCTGAATCTGTAGTATACTTAGATATCCCTTGGCATTTGCTCATGCTATTTCATCTGCCTGAAATTCCCTTGTGATTCCACCCATTATACAATTTTGCCTTATGAAAACCTACTCATCCTTCAAGATTCTGCTCCAATGTTACTTTTTCTATGACACGGACCTGTTCTTGATCAACATGCTTGTATTTAATTGTTTATGGCATTTTTGGGTTTTGGAATTGGATTTGCTTTCTTTGGATGCACTGCCATGCTTAGCCCAACCTCCATAAAACCTGGTTTTATTTGAGTAAGATACTAATGCATCTTATTTCTAATTGCATCTTTTAGCTAGGAAAAATGTCTTTCTGGTTTTTTAAATGCACTTTTAGCACTCAAGAAAGTGTACACAAGATATTATATATCATTATTCTCATTTAATGAAGAAGAGAATTTGTGCTAAGTAAATATGTGTAAGCAGACTCTATAGCCTACTCTCAAAGTAGCTAAATAGCTCTAATTTTGTTAATTAAGAGCACTATCTGAATTCCAAACCAATTTTTAAAGCTGATCACTAAAATGTAGAAGTACATTAAGTATCCAAAAATCAAATTTAAAATATAGCACAATAAAGACTGAAAACATTAATCTTAGGCCCCATGTAAACAAAATAAATCTTTCTTTTGCCTTTAATCAATATTAGCTGAACAGAACTTCAAACTATGGTGACTAAAGGAATGTCACCATGCCCTGGTAAGGCAGAAAAGAAGAAAAAAAAGAAGAAAAGAAAAAGGAGCAACCAAAGAGAGTGCTTCAAAAATGGGAAACATAGATGAAAAATCTGAGAGAAGATTCAGAGATTCTTGTTCTACCAAATTCTCTGGATTCAATAGCTTTGAGTAGTCTGGTCCATATCTTGGTTACCCTGGAACTTCATTAAGCACGTCTAGGTGCTTGATGAAATTTCATCTTTTCTTTTCCTCATAGTTTATATGTTCTGTCTGAAGCCTCTGGAATTTAAGAGATTCAGATAGTCTAGTAAATAGCTTTCAAATTTTGGAGTTATTACCAATAATTAGAGCATCTATATATTTCTGTATCAACACAAAAGTCAGGTGTCTCCTTGGATTTTGTGTAGAACATCATAGCAATAACAATGAAGTAATTTCCTAATATATAATTTATTTTTAGAGATGGTGCTGTTTAATGAAATCTAAGCACATGGAAAAGTTTCAATAGGCTGACTTTATCCTACCTTGTTTGGAATATGCGTTTCTATCAAAATGTTAACTCTCCTGATTTCATTAATTTATACTAAAGAGATTTCCCATAATTTCCAGTTTGTACTTTGTTTGGCAGGACTTGGATTTTGTTAGGTAATATTCAGGCAATAATGTTTCAATATGCCATATTCTCACAAGAAAATAATCTAATAATTTTCACACATGCATAGAGTCTTAATCAAAATTTGAGAGAACAGGTCAAATAAATGTCTGGTGATATAAAGGGTGTTGTTTTAATATGATTTTCATGAGGTACTGTTAAATGGGAAATATAAAGCAAAAAGAATGTTTTAAAAAATTTTATAGTCAGATCATTCAGAAGTGGAGAAATCTGCAAATTTTCTGAAAGCAGAGTACTTAATATTCTTTTACTTTAGTAATTGCCAAAAATATTGGAGGTAACATTCTCCATTTATCCCAACATGAATATTCTGCTCCAGCTATTATCCCCTAAACACATATTAGTCATTTTCATCTCTGAACATTTTTCTCATTGTGTTATTAATTCACCTTGCCTTCCATGTCTAGTTGCCTGAATTTTCCCATACTCAAAGCTTTCTTATCCTCATTGGTCCACATCAACTTATTCATAAAACTTTTGTCACAACCTGGCCTGTTTCTCAAATACTGGATACGGTTTTTACCTGGTTATGGGACACCTAATTATGACATAGCTTCAAGAAAGGACTGGCACTGCTCAAATAGTGAGACTACTTTCATTATAATGAGATGAAGTGATGGAGTCTATGAATTGGTCTACTCTCCTCATTGCTTTCTGAAACAAATTCACCTTCCCTGACCTTCACTAAGCTTAGTCATAGTTTTGGATCTTGGTATTGGCGCACTAGCATAGAAATCTGGGTCTACTAAAAGTTCCCATCTCTAGCTCACTACAGTAATTTAGCAAGTCACAACTCCTCACCTGTCTGTTTCTCCTTGTCTCTGCCAAAAAATGGTGTAGTTGAGGCCACTACCCCGCTTTTTTAAAAAAAATTTCTTAAATTTTTGTGGGTACATAATAGGTGTATATATTTATCGGGTACATGAGATGTTCTGATACAGGCATGCAATGTGAAATAAGCATATCGTGAAGAATAGGTTATCCATTCCCTCAAGCATTTAACCCTTTGAGTGACAAAGAATTCAATTACACTCTTTACCTATGCTACCAGTTGAGTCTCCCAACTAGTCTATTTGCTTCCAAAGTTTCCCTCATCCAATCAACCCTTCATACTTTAGTCACAGTTATCGCTCTAAAATACACTTGATCATACCACAATTCTGCCCCTCTTAAAAGCCCTCTGTGGCTTCCTGTGGTCCTTAGAATAAAGCCTAGAGCTCTTTTTTTAAGAACATGTTAAGTTTATGAACTATTGGTTATTCTAGATCATCTTATGTACAGCCAGCTTTCTGGTTGGTTTCTATCATAACGCTTTAAAAAGCCAAACTTCTGTCATGGCACTAATCTGGTTAATCAATTGTAATTTTTTAAAATTTGACTGAATTCTTCAGAATGCAAGTTTCACTAGGGTGGGGTTCTCTCTGCCCTGTTCTCTGTTGTATTCCCAATGCCTAAATCAGTATCTTTAAGCTCCCATTGAATGAATATGTGAATTTATGTATATATGAATGTATACCTACTCTTCCAGCCTCCTCTTTAACCACTTCCCCCAAATACTTCCTTTGCTCCAGTCATAGGGAGAAAACTTACACTTCTCTGAAGAGTCATGATGTTTCCAGTTCTCTGCTTAAATAAATGCCATACCTTTACTTTGTCTTTTCTCCCTCTCCTCTATTTTTTCACGTAGTGACTCCTAATTGTCATTCATAACAGCTTCTCCCGAACCCTAGTTTTATATACTCTCTCACAACACTTTATGCTTATTTTAATTACATTGTATTTTTCTTTTTTCACATTTAATTGTTTATTTTCTTGTCTTTTTGCCTTACTAGACTGAGCAACTTGAGAGCAGGGACCATGTCTTACATGTTTTTGTCTCCTTGTTGCTTTGGAGAGACATGGTAAGTTCCCAATAAGTATGTGTTGTAGGAAGAGTTAGTCTTTCATGGTCTTATATGGTGCTTCATCCCATACTACCTTCTTGGTATTGATCAGCTAAATTATAGAATTCAGTACTTCTTTGACAGCATTTTCCTGAATTGTGATCTCACCTCATATTATTAATGTGCTCCCCAATCCAGTCTCCATCTGGTATATTTCCAGGTGGATGGTCTCCAGGTGGCCAGTAGGAGGAAGTTTTTCTCTTTTTCTGTTCCTAGTCCCTAAAAAAGAAGTTATAAATACAGTTTTTCACAGAATCTAGGCAAGTAACATAAATGAGTACAGCAGGCAATAAAATACAATAGGGAGTGGAGAGGATTGTGGTAAACTAGAGAGTATAGAGTTAATTGATTTAGATGAGGCAGTTGCTGCTTAGTTACACTTGATTTTTGTCATGCAGAAACGTAGGGGCCGGGGTGTCTAATTACTCCACTTTTTAAAAAAGAAAAATGCAAATCTGGATGTTTAGTAGAATGTCCTGATCTTTTAGCCTTTGTGTAGGCTAAACAAAGCACATCTGCTTGTTAAATGCAACCCAAGGGTCTGTCTGTTTGCAACTTCTGTAATTTAACCCCTTTGAAGCTCTATAAGTCCACAATAGCCAAACCAATTCACATCATATCTATAATTGAGCCCTTGTGTGCTAGACTTATTTGGTCAGCATTCTGGGACCCCCACAGTCTACAATGATGTCATCCATTTCTGAAATCCTGTGACAGTGATATGTGTGGGAGATGTAGTTGGGTGTAATATAATATTAAAGGACCATGGACTTTGAAGACAGACAGACATATATTTGAAGCCCTTCTCTGCAGGTTATTTAGTTACGTGATTTTTTTGAGAATTACTTAAAGTCTCTGAAGCTCAGTTTACTAATTCATAAAATGAAAACGATTAGACCATTATCATGGTTGTAGTAAAGGTTTTTTGTGACAATGGGTATAAAATGCCTGGCACAAATTGTGCTGCCTTGTTTGGTTGTTCACCAATCCTGGCGAGCTCAAAACTATTTCCCCCCTCAGATACTTATAATATTATGATTGTTCTGTACTCTGTGCATTTTGCATTTTCAAAAAGTAGAAAATCTCACAGAAAACAGTGAACACGTACTTCTTTTTCTGTTCCCAAAGATCATTTTTAAATTTCATCAAATCAAGATTTTTTTTAGTTTAAAGGAAATCCAATGAGAAATCTTAATATATCAAAGGATAAATGGGAAGCTACTCTGGTTTAAGCAGAGGTAGGGATGTCAGGCAAGCCATGTATAGTCAATCTTACTTCATAAGATATTGCCACAGGCCGTTTGCTGTGGCTCATGCCTCTAATTCCAGCACTTTGTGAGGCCAAGGTGGGTGGATCACTTGAGGCCAGGAGTTCGAGACTAGCCTGGCCAACATTGCAAAACCCAGTCTCTACTAAAATAAATAAATAAATAAGTATTGCCAAAGGATTCCAAGGTCACTAACTGGAATGTTAGCTTTCTATAGATCAGGGTTTGAGAAACCATGGGCTAGGGGATAATACTTTACAGTCAGGGCCTCAATAGAAGTCTATAATTTGACTCATCTGTTGACAAAGTGAGTTTCTCCAGAAATAGAGTATTGCATCTCCAGTAGCAGCTCTAAACTTCTGCGGTATGTGTACCCATATTTCTTCAGTGCAGTCATGCTGATGAAGGCTAAAGACATTTTGCTTCACAAAGTTATGTCTTGGAATAGCTGTGCACTGATGACTCACTGATGATATTTTAGTATTGTTTTGGTTAATTGTTAAATTTTAAAAGGAATATGCCCATGCCAAAATTGTATTCTGTACAGAAGTCAAATTAGTTTTGAAGCAAGAGTTTGGTCATAACTGAAGTATTGAAAAATTATATCTTCCCATTTGAAAGCTGTAACACCGATGAGGTGAAATAGCTGCTGTAACACAATGATTGCTTCAGTGGGCTGAGTCTCTGAAAACATTTAAAGAATATTTTAATGCATCTATCGGGGGACCTGCCCCGATAATCACGTAGGTTCTTTTCTATTTTCCTAAGCATCGGCTGGCTTGAGAAATAAAGGGACAGAGTACAAAAGAGAGAAATTTTAAAGCTGGACGTCTGGGGGAGACATCACACGTTGGTAGGATCTGTGATGCCCCACAAGCCACAAAAACCAGCAAGTTTTTATTAGGGAGTTTCAAAAGGGGAGGGAGTGTGCGAATAGGTGTGGGTGACAGACATCAAGAACTTAACAAGGTAATAGAATATCACAAGGCAGGTGGAGGCAGGGCGAGATCACAGGACCACAGGATGGAGGCGAAATTAAAATTGCTAATGAAGTTTCGGGCACCATTGTCATTGATAACATCTTATCAGGAGACAGGGTTTTGAGATCAACCCGTCTGACCAAAGTTTATTAGGCGGGAATTTCCTCCTCCTAATAGCCTGGGAGTGCTATGGGAGACTGGAGTTTATTTCACCTCTGCAATCTTGACCAGAAGAGACAGGTATGCCCCGGGGGGGCCAGTTCAGAGACCTACCCCTAGGTGTGCATTCTCTTTCTCAGGGACGTTCCATGCTGAGAAAAGGAATTCAACAATATTTCTCCCATTTGCTTTTGAAAGAAGAGAAATATGGCTCTGTTCTGCCCGGCTCACCTGCGGTCAGAGTTTAAGGTTATCTCTCTTATTCCCTGAACAATTGCTGTTGTCCTGTTCTTTTTTCAGGGTGCCCACATTTCATATTGCTCAAACACACATGCTGTACAATTTGTGTACTTAACGCAACTATTACAGGGTCCTGAGACGATATACATCCTTCTCGGCTGACAGGATTAAGAGATTAAAGCAAAGACAGGCATAGGAAATCACAAGGATATTGATTGGGGAAGTGATAAGTGTCCATGAAATCTTTACAATTTATGTTTAGAGACTGCAGTAAAGACAGGCATAAGAAATTACAAAAGTATTAATTTGGGGAACTAATAAATGTCCACAAAATCTTCACAATCCACATTATTCTGTCATGGCTTCAGCCGGTCCCTCCGTTTGGGGTCCCTGACTTCCCGCAACATGCACCATGTCAAGACTAGGGAAGCTTCATTCACATGGTGACAGCTCCTCCTTGTCTGCTGTGTATAAATTAATTGCTAAGTAAGAGAAAGTACTTAAGGCAAGTTCACTAAGACTGGCCAGAAAGGGCAAAGATTTTTTGTCTAAGAGCTCAAAAGCACAAGCAACCAAAACAAAAATAGACAAATGTGATTACATCAAGCTTAGAAGCTCTACACAGCAAAGGAAACAATTAACAAAGTGAAAAGACAACCTGCAGAATGGGAGAAAATATTTGCAAGCTGTCCGTCTGACAACGAACTAATAACCAGAATACATAAGGAGTTTAAACAACTCAATAGCAATAAAACAAATAATACAGTTAAAAATGGGCAAAAGATTTGAATAGACATTTCTCAAAATAAGATATACAAATGGCCAACAGGTATATGAAAAAATGCTCAACATCACTAATCATTAGATTCAAATTGAAACCACAATGAGATATCATCTCACACCAGTTAAAATGGCTACTGTAAAAAAAAAAAGCAGGAAATAATGGATGCTGGCAAGGATGTGGAGAAAGGAGAACTCTCAGAAATTTAAATTAGTACAGCCACAATAGAAAACTATATGGAGGTTCCTCAAAAAAAAAAAAAAACAAAAATAGAACTACCATATGATCCAGCAATTCCACTATTGGGTATATATCCAAAAGAAAGAAAAATCAACCTATCAAAGAGATACCTGCACTCCCATGTTTATTGTAGCACTACTCACAATACCCAAAGTATGGAATCAACCTAAATGTCCATCAGTGAATAAATGAATAAGGACAATGTGGTATATATACACAATGAAATACTATTCAGCTATAAAAGGAATGAAATTATGTCATTTGCAGCAGCATGGATGGAACTGGAGGTCATTATGTTGGGTGAAGTAAGGCAAGCACAGAAGGATAATTTTTGCATGTTCTCACTAATATGTGGGAGCTAACATAGTGGATCTCATGAAGATAAAGAATAGCTTGTTGTTATTAGAGGACAGGAAGGATAGCAGGGAGGAGGGATAAGGGGGGGTTGATTAATGGGTACAAATAACAGTGTGATAGAAAAAATAACACATAGTGTTTGACGGAACAATAGTGTGATTATCATTTACAATAATCTGTATTTTAAAATACCTAAAAGAGAATAATTTGAATGTTTCTAGCATGAAGAAAAGACAAGTATTTAAGATGGTGGATATCCTAAGTACACTGATTTGATCTTTACAAATTATATGAATATATTAAATTATCACATGTACCCCCCAAATACATGGTACATAATAGATGTGTATATCTATTATGTATCATTAAAAAATAAAACAAAAAGAATTGGCCAGCAAAAAGGAAGGCCTTCTAATAAAGGGAGGAGGTAACCGCCAGTGACTTTTCAGATCCTGGAAAGACTTCTGTTCCCCCCAAACACAACCTTGAACCATTGGTTGAAGCCTAGAGTCCCTTTAACAAGGGAAAAATCTTCTCAGTTTTTAGAGAGGATATTTCTCATCTCCCGTATAAGGAATTATAGAAATAGAAACTCAACTGCATCCCAAGAGGCAGTGTAATGTAGTTGCCAAGTACACGGTTTCTGGAGACAGGCACTATGGGTTTGAAACCCTGCTCTTCAGCTTAACTAGTTGTGTAGCCCTAGGCAGGTCACTTTGCCCATCTGCCTCAGTTTTCTCTTCTGTAAAATGGTGATGATAGTGTTATAGTTGGACCTCCATACCCGTGGGTCCCGGCTCTGTGGATTGAACTAACGGTGGATTAAAAATATAGTCACGTACCACATAGTCAATCAATCAGTGATGGACCATATATATGGCAGTGATCCCATAAGATTATAATACCGTATTTTATTGTACCTTTTCTATGTTTAGATACATAAATACTAACCATTGTGTTACAGTTGCCTACAGTATTCAGTGTAGTAACATGCTGTACAGGTTTGCAGCATAGAAGTGATAGGCTATACCACATAGCTAGGTGTGTAGTAGGCTATACCATCTAGGTTTGTGTAAGTACACTCTAGGATGTTTACAAAATGATGAAATCACCTAATGTTGCACTTCTTATAACGTATTCCCTTTGTTAAGCAACACATGAGTGTACTAAAAAAAACAGGTCAATACTAAAAAATAATACAGATAAAATACAGTATAACAACTATTTACATAGCATTTACATTGTATTATGTGTAATCTAGAGATGCTTTAAAGTATACAAGAGGCTGTGCATAGGTTATATGCGAATATTATGCCATTTTATATCAGTGACTTGAGCTTTCGCAGATTTTGATATACACCAGGGATCCTAGAACCAATCCCCAGGGAGACCAAGGGATGACTGCACTTATCTTAAACGCTCGATAAGGATTCATGTGTGATTGCTTAGATAAATATTATCTAATTTGCCCATATTTTTGAATACTTACTTTTGAATACTTGCCAAAAACTGCGTTGAGAATTTTGTGTGCATTTCCAAGTTTAATTCTCACTACAGTTCTGCATGGTGGCTACTATTAGTATCTCCTTTTGACAGATGAAAGAATTGAGGCACGTAAATGGTTATGAACTGTCTCTAGTAAGTGGGGAAGGCAGAATACAAAATCACATCTGTCTACTCCATGGCCCATGTCAGTGGCCACTATATTATACTCTCCCTCATCATATTTCATCTGGAAATGGCTTAGCAGTTGACACTTACTGAAGGAGATGCTACTTTTTCCAAAGCCCTGCATTATATGTTTATTTATTCACTTTTCATTATTAAAATTTCAAAATTCTGGGTAAGCTTTATGAGAGTATTTCAGAATAACAAGGGTATAATCCTCCTGCTTCAAGTAACTCCTGCCTATCTATGGTGATGAGGCTCGGGTGCACATAAAAATTAGGGAATAAACAAAAAAGGCTTACAATATGAGATAACCAGTAATTTCCCCTTTTTATTTTACTAAGCAGCAAGACATTAAAAAAAATTACCTAGACATAGTTGCAGCTTATATGTCTTTTCTCCCGATCCCCTCTTCCTCAAGCCTAAGGTCACAATATAGAGAAAATAAATTGTCAGTTACTTGTCCACAGTAACGTTTGAGTCAAGAAACACTGGTAAGAATTGGATAGCATATGTATGAATGCCTGTTCAACAAGGAGATTAGACTCAATCAGTAATAAGATTTTACTGGATGTACTTCAATGTTCATTTTCAGAAAGTCTGCTTTTCATGTCATATCTCCATGAGAGACAATGTAACATAAGGAAGCCTGAATTTAAACTGGCTGGATCCAAATCCTGGTCCTGCACTTGGTATCTGTATAACCCTGGACAAGTTATTTACACCCTCTGTACCTCAGTTTCTTAAGTCGTAAAACAGGGATGATAAAAAGAGTATTTGTGCCACAATATAATTGTGAGGATTAAAAAAACTGAAGCAATTAGGCTAGTGCCAAGACCATAACAACTTCCTTAACAACATTAATTACCTATGATGGTGGTAATGACAATGACAATGGCAATTATATTAATGAAAGATTTCATTTGCAAAAGCTTTTATGGCTGTGATTATTAATTTTAAGTGTCAATTTAGAGGACGTATTTGGATAAAATTCATACATGGATGTCCTATTCAACATCATATTGGAAATTCTGGCCAAAGCAATCTGGCAAGTGAAAGAAATAAAAGGTATCCCAATAGGAAAAGAGAAAGTGAAACTATCCCTGTTTGCAGATGACATGATTCTATATCTAGAAAACCCCATAGTCTTGTCTCAAAAGCTCTTTGATCTGATAGACAACTTCAGCAAAGTTTTGGAATCCAAAATCAAGGTAAAAAAATCAATACCATTCCTATACACTAACAGCATCCAAGCTGAGAGCCAAGTCAGGAACACAATTCCATTCACAATTGCCACAAAAAGAATAAAATACCTAGGACTACAGCTAACCAGGGAGGTGAAAGATCTCTACAATGAGAATTACAAAACACTGCTCAAAGAAATCAGAGATGATACAAACAAATGGAAGAACAATCCATGCTCTTGGATAAGAAGAATCAATATTGTTAAAATGGCCATACTGCCCTAAGCAATTTACAGATTCAATGTTATTCCTATCAAACTACCAATGGCATCTTCACAGAACTAGAAAAAAACTATTCTGAAGTTCATATGAAACCAAAAAAGAGCTCGAATAGCCATGGCAATTTTAAGTAAACAGAACACAGCTGGTGGAATCGCATTGCTGGGCTTCAAACTGTACTACAAGGCTACAGTAACCCAAACAGCATGGTACTGTATAAAAACAAACACATAGAACAATGAAACAGAATAGAGAGCCCAGAAATAAAGCCACATACCTACAACCATCTGATCTTTGACAAAGTCTACAAAAACAAGCAATAGGGAAAGGACTCCTTATTCAATAAATGATGGGATAACTGGCTAGCTATACGCAGAAGACTGAAACTGGACCGCTTTCTTACACCATGTACAAAAATCAACTAAAGATGGATTAAAGACTTAAATGTAAAACCTAAAACTGTAAAAACTCTGAAAGATAACCTAGGAAATACCATTTTGGACATAGGAACTGGCAAAGATTTCATGCCAAAATTCTAAAAGCAATTGCAACAAAGGCAAAAATGGACAAACTCGACCTAATTAAACTTAAGAGCTTCTGCACACTATTTTAACAGAGTAAACAGACAACCTATGGAATTGAAAAAAAAATTTGCAAACTACACATCTGACAAAGGTCTAATATCTAGAATCTACCAGGAACTTAAACATATAAGCAAAAAACAATCCCATCAAAAAGTGGACAAAAGACTTGAACAGAAACTTTTCAAAAGAAGACATACATGCAGCCAGCGAGCATATGAAAAAATGCTCAGTATCACTGATCATTAGAGATATGCAAATCAAAACCACAATGAGGTACCATCTCACACCAGTCAGAATGGCTACTATTAAGAAGTCAAAAAATAACAGATGCTGGTAAGGTTGTGGAGAAAAGGGAACACTTACACATTGCTGCTGGGAGTGTAAATTGGTTCAACCAGTGTGGAAAGCAGTGTGGCGATTCCTGAAATAACTAAAAACGGAATTACCATTCAACCCAGAAATCCCACTACCTGGATTTATATTCCCAAAGAAATATAAATCATTCTACCCTAAAGACACATGAACATATATATTAATCACAGCACTAGTCACAATAGCAAAGATATGGAATCAACCTAAATCTCCATCAGTACAAGATTGGATAAAGAAAATGTGGCACATATACACCATGGGATACTATGTAGCCAAAAAAAGAATGAGATCATGTTCTTTGCAGGGACATGGATGAAGCTGGAGGCCGTTATCTTTAGCAAACTAATGCAGAAACAGAAAAGCAAAAACTGCATGTTCTCACTTATAAGTGGGACTTAAATAATGAGAACACATGAACAGAGAGAAGGAGAACAGACACTGGGGCCTACCCATCTGTACACCAAATCCCCGAGTAATGAGTTTACCTATATAACAAACCTGCACATATACCCCTAAACCTAAAATAAAAGTTAAAATATTTTTAAATAAAAATAATAAATAAAAAGATATCTAATACACACACAGACAAAAGAAAATATCTATTACTGTAACTGTTTGCAGATATACAAGCAAAAATTATATGCCCAAGGTAAACACATTGGTCCATGGGAAAACTAGACACGGGAAATGAAATGGATGTTGGAACTGCTTACAGGTTTTAAAAAAGTTTTCCTTTTCTATGAAGAAGAAGCCGTACTCAAGAGATGTGCAGTCTTGCCTATAATCAAAGAAAATATATTGAAGTGCTATTTTTCACCTATTGAGTTGGCAAATTAAAAAATGATCACATCCATTGTATGTATCAAGAGTGATAAAATACCATTCCTTTTGAGCCAGGTACAACCACTCTAAGAAAACAATGGAAAATATAAAGAGCAAACACTGTGAAACATAAAAATACATAAATAAATATATTTACATTGGTGAACTTTGAGTAAGAGGATTGTCCTCCATAATGGGGGTGGGTTTCAATCAGTTGAAGGCCTGAACAGAACAAAAAGCCTGGCCTCCCCAAGCAAAAGGGACTTCTGCAGCATATTGCCTTAAGACATCATCTGAAGCATCAGGTACCCTGGATCTCCAGCCTGCTGGTTCACACTGTGCAGATTTTGACTGTCCAGCTTCCATAATCACATGAGCCAATTCCTTATAATAAAGCTCTTCATGTATATATACACATCCTATTGATTCTGTTTCTCTGGAAAACGCTGACTAATACAATGGCTAATATAAATGTTAAAGCCACCAGACTACATTTTTCCTAAGCAATCTTCCTATGTTTGCTACTCTATGAATATAATTAATTTTATTTTAAATCCTGAATGTACGTAAAGGGATACAATTTATGTTTACTATAGGTTAGCTTAAGGCAGATTTCTTGAGAAAAGAGGATTGCGAAGGAAATAGTGCATAGAAATTGGAGGAAAGGAGGAAGAAACGTTCTCCGGGTAAGAAAAAGCATGGAATTACGCATGGGAAAAAATATGTGAAATGCATGTATTTGTATGATGTGTAGTTGTAGAATTGGTCTGACTGAAGTCAATAACCTTGTTAAATTTTGTATATCTGTTATCTATCTACCTATCTATCCTGTTGGCCCTCTCTATTCATAGGTTCTGCATGTGTGGATTTAACCAATCATGGATCAAAAATATTTTTTTTCAATTGTGTTTGTACTGAACATGTATAGGCTTTTTTTGGCCATTATTCCCTAAACAGTACACTATAACAACTGCTTACATAGGACTTCCATTGCATTAGGTATTATAAGTAATCTAGGATTACTTAAACTATACAGAAGGATGTGCAAATACTGCATAATTTATATCAGGGGCTTGAGCATTTGCAGATTTTTGGCATCCATGAGAGGTCCTGAAGCTAATCCCACACAGATACAGAGGAACTACAGTATATACATGCACATGTATATTTAAATAGAACAGGTTCTTAGAAGAATTGTAGAGTCAAACTTATGCAATTTAAAAATTTTATAGATGTTGCCAAGTTGCCATCTCAATAAGCTATACAAATACATAGTCATCAATTGTATATGAAAGAACCCATAATATTCTATTAAATAACAGTATAATATTATACACCTTTTTCAGTGGTGCCAAACATGGGGTAAAATCTTATTTTTATTTTAATGTATATTTATTATATTATTTGTGAGGTTTAACATCTTATGCTTATTGATCCTTTGTTATACTTCTTTGAATTTCCTGTTCATATTTTTTGCCAAATTTTATATCTTTTCTTATTGATTTGTAGTGATTTTGTTTTGAATGATGATCCTTTGCTTATTATTTATGCAACAGGTATATTCTCCAAACTTATTTTTTCTTTACTTTTATTGTGTAAAATATTTTCATTTTATGCAGAAAAAAATCTGCCAGCCTTCACTTGTGAATCTTTGTTTTTCTGCCCTTTCCTCTTCCAAGATTTTTTTTTTCTAAAAATGCACAGTTTTGTAATGATATGTTTAACTCTTTCATCCATCTGGAGTTTTTTTCATATGGGATAAAATAAAGGCCTACATTATCTTTTTCTAAGTGGATATCTAATTGTACCATATTTATATGTTGAATACTGTGTTCTTGTGTCAGTAAGACAATATATTAAATACCATGTAGCTTTAAAGGGTTTTGAAGTTTAGTATGACAACTTTTGCCTCATTATTCTTGGTTTAACAAATGTTATTGACTATTTGGAAGGACTTTTCTCTTCCATATGAATTTATAGTTGTCTTACCATGCTGGTATTTTAAGATTAAATTCATAGGTTAATTGTTTTCCAAGTTTGTTTGCCATATAGTCAATGCAAAAGAGTGGTATTAGATACGTGTAACTAAATGCAGTTCCAACAGTTACCTGCAACAGCCAGATAGATTGACATTTTTTCTTTGGATTGACCAAATATTTGAATAAACTCATAGGCTAAGCCTTACGCATAGCAGTAGATGAGCCACATCAAGTAATATCAGGCATGCTGTCTGCAACCTAATACCTATACTGTCCAGTATGGTAGCTACTAGTCACGTGTGGCTATTAAGCACCTGAAATGAGTCTAGTGTGATTGAAAAACTGAATTTTTAAATGTCATTTTATTTTAATTCTTTAAAATTCAGATTTTATTACTGAAGCAGTATAAAATGTTTTCTATTAGATACAACTTTATTATTTTGGTAGGACAACATTTTATTTTACCATTGATTCACGTACAAGAAAGATACTATTCTTGCATTAGAGTTTTTATGTCATATTCGTGTGTCATTTTTAGTATTACACATAATTACATCATCAATCTAGTTAGTATCAAGACATTGATTCAGTTTAAATGATTTATTCTAAGCACTGACATAAGATAGTAATATGTTTATTTTCACATTTTTTGCAGACAGTTATGTTTTATAGTCATACTATATAAATTGTAATTGGTTATTAAAATACTTATTTTAAAAATACAATATAGTTAAATTATTTTTCTAGTTTAAAAAAAGCATGAGAAAATTTGAAATTTAAAATGAAGCATACTGTACATACAGAATTGAACGGAGATGCAGAAGCTAAAAGCACAACTGGAGCAATAAAAAAAAAAAAGAGTGGAAGAAAGTATGTTAAAAATTTCTCAATGAATGGTAATTGCAGTTTGCTGTGACAGAGCAAAATGAAAAAGGAAAAAAAAACTATTTGCAGTTTAAAACATAACAAAACAGAAAATATTCAGTGACATTTTTCTGCAAAAACATAATGAATTTGATGTTTCCTCTCAATGGTCAAGTGCAATCAATAAAACGTGTAGCCTGAAACAAGATGTCCAAAAATATATATAAATGTTATTAGTTTGGTGCAAAAGTAATTGTGTTTTTTTGCAGGTGAAAGTAATGGCAAAAACCGCAATTACTTTTGCACCAACATAATAATAGGGCCTGAGCTTGTGATTTTAGCCAGCTATAAAACCACTTGAATTTTTGCAAAGAAAGAAAACCATATTTAGGTAGAGAAGTGATAAGGTAAATTATTATTTCAACATTATGTATTTTGTTAGAAATTCATCAGGAAATGAATTTAAAAAGATATATGTATTTTAAAAGTTAAGATATTTAATTGAGATATCAAACCAATTCCCATAGACCACAAGACACTTCTAACTATATTATAGCTCACAATTTCAAAAATGAACTGAATGATGTCAGGAAGATGGCGGAATTGGTACACACTGATTCAACAACAAAACATGAGAAAATTCCCTTTGTGGGAAATTCAGAAACCAGTTGACAGGCTACTATACCCTGGGCAAGAGTGAAACCGGCCACATCAAAGCCAGTAGGGAAATTTGATACATTCGCTATACCTGCCCCTGTCACAATGCCGTACAATCAGGAGGAAACCTTTCAACTCCCATCTTCTCCCTAAGTAGGGAAAGAGTCAGACTACATGTTCAATACCCCAAGTTCTCTGAGGACTTTCTAGAAAACTGACTTCTGTCTTGCCTGTTTTGGAACAGTGATGGAACCTGATATACTTTAGCTGCCTGGGAACCAGTGAAATCAGAGATGGTGATTTGGGCTATTAGTCATTATGGCCCTTCCCCCCAGTTCAGCACAAAGAAAGTGGACAAAAACTCCAAGATCCTAGCTTCTCTTAAGGAAGGGAAGGAGTTGAACTGTCCATCCAAAGCCCCAACTTCTCTGGTGGTTGCACAAAGAACTGGCTTCTGTTCTGCTTGTCTTGGAGCACTGACAGAACCTGGCATACAAATGATTCCTGGAGGCCACTAAGAACAAATAAAGTGTTTGTTTCAATTTTTACCTTCCACAAATAAGTGAGAGCATGTGAGGTTTGTCTTTCTGTGCCTGGCTTATTTCACTTAACATAATGTCCTACAGTTCCGTCCATGTTGTTGCAAATGACAGGATATCATTCTTTTTTATGGCTGAATGGTACTCCATTGTGTATATGTACCTCATTTTGTTTATCCATTCATCCACTGATGGGCACTTAGATTGCTTCCAAATATTGTCTATTGTGAATAGTGCTGCAATAAACATGAGAGTGCAGATAGCTCTTCAATATTCTGATTTCCTTTCTTTGGAGTATATACCTAAAAATGGGATTGCTGGGTCATATGGTAAAACTCTATTTTTAGTATTTTTTAGGAACCAGAAAAGTGACTCACCACATGCAAAGAAACCTCCATAAAACTATCAGTGGATTTTTCAAGAAAAACTATGCAAGGCAGAAGTGAACAGGATCACATGTAGATTCAACGTGCTGAAAGAAAAAAACATTCAACCAGGATTATACTTAGCAAAAGTGTCCTTCAAAAATGAACAGATAAAGACTTTCCTAGACTAACAAAAGTTGAGAGTTCATCACGACCAGACCTGCTTTATAAGAAATAATAAAAGGAGTTCTTCAAGTTGAAATGGAATGATGCTAAAGAGTAAGAGTAACATAAAAGTACTTTGTCTTACACATGCACACGTATGTTTATTGTGGCAGTGTTCACAATAGCAAAGACTTGGAAACAACCCAAATGCCCATCAATGATAGACTGGATAAAGAAAATGTGGCACATATACACCATGGAATACTATCCAGCCACAAAAAAAGGATGAGTTCATGTCCTTTGCAGGGACATGGATGAAGCTGGAAACCATCATTCTCAGCAAACTAACACAAGAACAGAAAACCAAACACCGCATGTTCTCACTCATAAGTGGGAGTTGAACAATGAGAACACATGGACACAGGGAGGGGAACATCACACACCGGGGCCTGTCAGGGGGTGAGGGGCTAGGGGAGGGATAGCATTAGGAGAAATACCTAATGTAGATGATAGGTTGATTGGTGCAGCAAACCACCGTGGCACATCTATACCCATGTGACAAACCTGCACATTCTACACATGTCCAGAACTTAAAGTAAAATAAAATAAGTAAAAAGTACTTTGTCTTAGTCGGTTTGAGCTGCTATAATAGCTTATCACAGAATAATTCTCCTTGATTCCATACTCTTCCCTCCAGGCCCACTTGGGCAATGGTACCATGTTCCAGACCCATGAGCATGGGAGTCCTGCCCGCAGGGTTCTCCTGGGCAGGTTTTGAGCTCCCTTAGTTTTGGAAGGTCCTGCCCCCATAGCATTGAGTGGAGGTCATATGGTCTGTTGAAAGTGAGGTGGTTCCCCCACAATTTTGAAAGTGAGGAGGCAGCCCTGATATTCTCTGAATTGCTTTCAGGTTTGTTCTTCCCTTGTATTGAAAAACAGAACATGCTTACAGCAAAATACCTACAGGGTCTGTCTTATAAAACCCAAAAGGTCTGGCAACCTTCTTTAATTTAGTTTAAACTAGAGATTTTCCTGTCGAAGTAGGTGATTAAGTCAGTGTTTGACACCCATATTAATCTCCTCATCAAATGTTTGTTCAGCCGTACCCTTAGTGCTCTCTTCAGTACATGTTTTCTGATTTTTTTAGCAGCATGGAAAGCCTGAGAATTTTCCACACCTTTAAGTTCTACTTCCCTTTTGCTTAATAATTCTCTCTTTAAGTAACTTCTGTCTTTTCACATTTTACTATAAACACAGTCAGGAGGAAACACTTTGCTTATAATTCGCATCAGCTAAATATCCAATTTAATCATTCACAAGTTCTGTTTATTACAAAACAACAGAACATGAACACAAGTCAAATTCTTTCTTTGCCACTGTATAACAAGGATCACCTTTTCTCTATTGTCCAATAACATGTTCTTTATTTCCATCTGAGACCTCATCAGAATGGCCTTTCTTGTCCATATTTATACCAACATTTTGTAAATGATGATTTATGTATTCCCTATGCAGATGGAAGCTTTTCTTTCTGAGCTCTCACCAGAATCACATTTTAATGTCTTTCCACAATATTCTCAACTTTTAGCATACACTTCAAAACTCTTCTAGACTCTTACCATTCCCCAGTTCTTTAACCACTTCAACATTTTTAGTTTTTTGTTTTGTTTTGTTTTTACGGTAGCACCCACTTCTTAGTGCCAGTTTCTTAGTCAGCTCTGACTATTATAACAGCTTACCATAAACAGAGTGAGGTGAACAACATTTATTTCTCATAGTTTTGAAGGTTGAAAGTCCAAGATCAGAGTGCCAGCATGGATAGATTCTGGTGAAGTTCTTACTCTAGGTTGCAGGAAGCTGACTTCTCCTTGGATCTCCACATGGCAGAAATAGAGTGAGAGCTATCTGGGGTCTCATTTTTAAGGACACTAATCCCATTCATGAAGTCTCCACTCTTATGATGTTCCAAAGGCCCCACCTCCTATCATCATGTTGGGATTAGGATTTCAGCATATCAATTTTGAGGGTACAAAAGTATTTAGACCACAACATATGTGAAAATATAAAACCTACTGGAAAAATAAATATATAGACAAATAATGTACTACTGTAACAGTGTTTAGTAAATTATTTTTAATTCTAGTATAATAGTTAAAGAATATTAAAAATAGCAACAAATAAAACATGTTAATGGATACACAATATAAAAAGTTGTAAACAGTGATATCAATAACATAAAATGAGGAGGAAGTAGTAAAGAAAAAAATGTTGGTATGCAATTGAAGTTAAATAATAAAATACACTACTATAAGAAATTTTATGTAAGTCCAGTGATAAGCACAAACAAAATCCCTACAAAGACACACACACAAACACAGAGAAAGAAAAAGGAATCAAAGAATATAAATACAAAAAAATCAATAAAATGAAGAAAAGCAGCGAGAGGAAAAGAGGGACAAAATTTCAGGACAAAGAATAATAAATAAAATGGCAATAGTAAGACTTATGAATAATTATATTACATAAAAATGGGTTGAACTGGCAAATTAAAAGGTAAAGAGTGGCTAAATCAATTTTAAAAAAGTCTATATACTGTCTACAGAGATTCACTTTAGATTTAAGGACACACAGGGTGAAGTTGAAAGGATGGAAAAAACGGTATTTCATGCAAATGGTAAACAACGAGAGCAGTGGTGGTTAGATTTATGTCAGACAAAATAGACTTAAGTCAAAAACTTCCACAAGAGAAAAAGAAGGACATTATATAAGGACAAAATGGATAAAAAGGATAATTCACCCGGAAGATATATAAATTACAATTAGATATGAGCCCAACACTAGAGCATCTAAATATATAAAACCTTGTCACGGGTGAGGGGAAGAATAGATAGCAATACCACAGTAGTAGGACACTTCAATACTCCATCTCCAATAATGAATAGAACACTGAGACAGAAAATCAATAAGGAAATAGTGGGAGTGAAAAGTACTGTGTCTCAAATGAACTGAACAGACATATACAGAACATTCTTTCAAACAGCAGCAGAATATACATTTTTCTCAATGGAACATTCCTATGAATAGATAACATGTTGAGCCACAAATCAAGTCTTAACAAATTTAAGATGATTAAAATCATACTAAGTATCGTCTATGACCACAGTGGAATGAAACTAGAAATCAATAGCAGAAGGAAAACTAGAAAAATTACAACTATGTGAAAATTAAAGAACATGCTCCTGAATAATCAATGGGCCAAAGAAGAAATCAAAATTGAAATTAGAAAATATCTTTAGAAAACTGCAAATTAATACATAACATACCAAAAACTATGAGATACAGCAAAAGCAGTACTAACAGGGAAGTTTATAGTGATAAATGCTTACATTAAAAAATAAGAAAGATCTTTAAGCAACTGAACTTTACACTCAAGGAACTAGAAAAAAAGAATAAACTAAGCCCAAAGTTAGTAGAAGGAAGAAAATTATAAGGATTAGAGAAGAAATAATTAAAGTAGAGAATAGAAAAATAATAGAAAAAATGAGCATAACTAAGAATTGGATTTTTGAAAAGATAAACAGAATTGAAAAAATTTAGCTAGGCTAAATTTAAAAAGGGAGAACACTCAAGTAAAAATAGAAATTAAATAGGAGATGTTTTAACTGCTACAACAGAAACAAAAAGGATCATAAGTGACTACTATGAACAATTGTATAGCTCCATATTAGATAATCTAGAAGAAATGGATAAATTTCTAGAAACATACAGCCTACCAGACTGAATCAATGAGGAAATAAAATATCTGAACAGATAAAAAACAAGTAGATTTAATCGGTAATCATAAATCTCCCAAGAAGAAAAGTCCAGGAACAGATGGCTTCACTGGGGAATTCTACCGAGCATTTAAAGATGATTTAAAGATGAAGTAACACTACTCTTTCTCAAACTCCTTTAAAAAATTGAAGAGGAAGAAAAACTCACAAAGACTCTATGAGAAAAAAAAACACAGGCCAATATCACTGATTGATAAATATTGATGTTAAAATTCTGAACAAAATACTAACAAACCAAATCCAAGAGTACATTAAAACAACACACACTGGGGCCTATCAGAGGGTGGAAGGTGGGAGGAAGGAGAGGATCAGGAAAAATAACTAATGGATACTAAACTTAATATATCTGGGTGATTAAATCATCTGTACAACAAACCCATGATACATGTTTAACAAAGCTGCACATCCTGAACATGTATTCCTGAACTTAAAAGCTTCCAGTCATTTTTTTAAAAAAAGTATTATACACCATGATCAAGTGGGATTTATCCCTGGGTGGCAAGAATGGTTCAACATTAAAATCAGTTAAGGAGGCATACCACATCAACAGAATGAAGGATAAAAATCACATGATCATTTCAATAGATACAGAAAAACATTTGCAAAAATACAACACACTTTCATGATAAAAACTCTCAACAAACTAGGAGTAGAGGGAATTTCCTCACCATAATAAATGCCATTCATGAAAATCCTACAGCTTGCATCATACTCAATAGTAACAGAGAGAAAGATTTACCTTTAAGATCAGGAACAAGGCAAGGATGCCCATGCTTGCTACTTCTATTCACCACAGTACTGGAAGTCCTAGCCAGAGCAATTAGGTAAGAAAGAGAAATAAAAAACATGATAACTAGAAAAGAAGAAAAATTATTTGTTTGCATATGAAACGATCTTACCTGCAGAAAGCCTTAAAGACTCCAAAGAAAGAAAAAAAAAAACAGAACTAATAAACTAATTCAGCAAAGTTGCAGGATACAAAATCAACATGTAAAAATCAGTTGCATTGTGTTTGTATACATTATCTATGCATAATGTTTCTAAATATTAACAGTGAAGAATCTGGAAAGTAAGAAAAGTTCATTTGCATTAGTATCAAAAAGAATAAAATACTTGAAGATGAAAGACATACAATCAAAACTATTAAACACTGATAAAAAAATTAAAACACAAATAAATGGAAAGATATCCTGTGCTCATGGATAGGAAGAGTTGATAGTGTTAAAATGTCCATAGTATCCAAAGCTATCTATAAGTTCAATGCAGTTTCTATCAAAATTTTGATAGCATTTTTTTTACAGAAATAGAAAAAAGCAAATCTAAAATTCATATGGAACCACAGATGACTCAAATAGCCAAATCAGTCTTGAAAAAGAATAACAAAGCTGGAGATAACACATGTCCTGATTTCAAAATATACTATAAAGCTATAGTAATTAAAACAGTGTGGTACTGGCATAAATACAGATATATAGCTCAATGAAACAGAATAGAGCCCAGAAGCAAACCCATGTACATATGATTAAGTGATCTTTGCTAAGGGTGGTAAGAATACATAGTAGGAAAAATATTGTCTTTTTGACAAATGGTGCTGGGAAAACTGGATATGCACATGCAAAAGAATGAAATTGGAGACTTATGCCATACACAGACTCAACTAAAAATAGATTAAAGGCTTAAATGTAAGACCTAAAACTGTCAAACTCAGAAGAAAACATAGAAGAGCTTCATGACATTGGTCTCAGGAATGATTTCTTTGATATGGCACCCAAAGTAGAGGTAACAAAAGCAAAATAAACAAGGGGAACTACATTGAACTTAAAAGCTTCTGCAGAGTGAAGGAAACAACAGAGTGAAAAGGCAACCTATAAAATGGGAGAAAATATTTGCTAACCATACATCAGATAAATGGTTAATATTCAAAATATAGAAAGATCTTCTACAACACAACATGAAAAAAAGATTTAAAAATGGGCAAAGGGCTTGAATAAACATTTATTCAAATAATACATACATTTGCCCAAGTCATATGAAAAGATGTGCAAAATTGCTAATCATCAGGGAAATACAAATCAAAACCACAATGAGATATTATCTCACACCCGTTAAGATGGCTATTATAAAAACAAGCAAATAAACAAAAGATGACACATGCTGTTGGGGACGTGCAGAAAAGGGAACCCTTGCACAACCATAGGTACAAATGTAAAATGGTTCAACCACTATGAAAAAAACGTACGGAGGGTCCTCAAAAAATTAAAAATAGACCTCGCCATATGATCTAGCAATCCCACTTCTGGGAATATATATTCCAAAGAATTGAAATCCGGCTTTTGAAGAGATAATTACAATTTATGTTCACTGCAGTATTACAATAGCAAAGATGTAGAAAAAACCTAAATGCCCATTGATGATGAACAGATAATAAAATGAAGTATATACATAAAATATGAGAGGATGGCAAAAAAGTCATAAAAAATTGAATTAAAAGATGCAGGTATAAGCTTCATTATCCAACATAAGCTCCATCAAGTTTAACACACTTTTGTAATAATGATACCAGACATTTAGTCCATCCCTAAAGAACTTAGGGTCCTTGGAATTTAACCATATTATGCAGTCTTTTTTACATTATTAATTAAAGAAAAATGTGTGCCATTTAAATACTTTTTAAGATTAGGAAACAAAAAGAAGTAGAAAGAGCCAAATCAGGACTTCAAAATGGAGGATTAATAATTTCCCATCAAAACACTTGCAAAATTTCCCTTGTTTGATGACAAGAATGAGCAAAAGCATTGTCATGGTGGAGAAGGACTCTCTGGTGGAGCTTTCTTGGGTGTTTTTCTGCTAAACACTCTTACATTAAGCAGATGCCATCATTCATTGGCCCTCCAGAAAGTCAACAAGCAAAATGCCTTAAGCATCCCAAAAAACTATTACCATGACCTTTGCCCTTGACTGGTCTGCTTTTGCATTGACTGGACCACTTTCACCTCTTGGTAGACATTGCTTTAATTATGATTTGTCTTCAGAGTCATACTAGTAAAGCCATATTTCATCTCTTGTTCCAAATCTTTGAAGAAATGATTCAGGGTCTTAATCCCACTTGTGTAAAATTTCCATTGAAAGCTCTGCTCTTGTCTGCAGCTGATGTGGGTGCAATAGTTTTGGTATTTATTGAGTGGAAAGTTTGCTCAACTTTAATTTTTCAGTCAGAATTGTGTAAGCTCAAGCAAGTGAGATGTCTATGACGTTGGCTATTGTTTCTGCTGTTAATTGTTGGTCCTCTTCAAGTAAGAAAGGAACAATACTTTTTTTTCCCTTGCAAATGGATGCGGATGGTCTGCTGCTGTGGGCTTCATCTTTGTTGTCTCGTCCTTTTTTAACATGCATTATCTATTTGCAAACTGCTAATTTACTTGAAGCATTGCCCCATAAACTTTTTGTAAAGCATAAATGAATTCACCATTTTCCACCCAAGCTTCTACATAAATTTAATGTTTGTGCTTGCTTTAATTTTAGCAGAATTTATGTTGCTCTGAGAGGGGCACTTTTCAAACTAATGTCTTTTTTTTTTTTTTTTATGCTTTAAGTTTTAAGGTACATGTGCACATTGTGCAGGTTAGTTACATACGTATACATGTGCCATGCTGGTGTGCTGCACCCACTAACTCATCATCTAGCATTAGGTATATCTCCCAATGCTATCCCTCCCCCCTCCCCCCACCCCACAACAGTCCCCAGAGTGTGATGTTCCCCTTCCTGTGTCCATGTGATCTCATTGTTCAATTCCCACCTATGAGTGAGAATATGCGGTGTTTGGTTTTTTGTTCTTGCGATAGTTTACTGAGAATGATGGTTTCCAATTTCATCCATGTCCCTACAAAGGACATGAACTCATCCTTTTTTATGGCTGCATAGTATTCCATGGTGTATATGTGCCACATTTTCTTAATCCAGTCTATCATTGTTGGACATTTGGGTTGGTTCCAAGTCTTTGCTATTGTGAATAATGCCGCAAACACCAAAAGCAATGGCAACAAAAGCCAAAATTGACAAATGCGATCTAATTAAACTAAAGAGCTTCTGCACAGGAAAAGAAACTACCATCAGAGTGAACAGGCAACCTACAAAATGGGAGAAAATTTTCGCAACCTACTCATCTGACAAAGGGCTAATATCCAGAATCTATAATGAACTCAAACAAATTTACAAGAAAAAAACAAACAACCCCATCAAAAAGTGGGCGAAGGACATGAACAGACACTTCTCAAAAGAAGACATTTATGCAGCCAAAAAACACATGAAAAAATGCTCACCATCACTGGCCATCAGAGAAATGCAAATCAAAACCACAATGAGATACCATCTCACACCAGTTAGAATGGCAATCATTAAAAAGTCAGGAAACAACAGGTGCTGGAGAGGATGTGGAGAAATAGGAACACTTTTACACTGTTGGTGGGACTGTAAACTAGTTCAACCATTGTGGAAGTCAGTGTGGCGATTCCTCAGGAATCTAGAACTAGAAATACCATTTGACCCGGCCATCCCATTACTGGGTATAAACTAATGTCTTATGCTACTTAGTACCTCAAGCTAGATCCTGTTTAGATGTGTTGTAACAAGTTAATATGAATTTATTTAGGTGTAAAAAATGTTTCTAAATCCATGCATAATTGTTTCCATAAAATGTATTTTCCATGAACTTTTTGAAGACCCCTCAGCATCTTATTCAGCCTTAAAAAGAGAAGGAAATTCTACCATTTGCAACAACATGGATGAACCTTGAGAATATTATGCTAAGCAAAATTCGCCAATTATAGAAGGACAAATCCTGTATGATTCCACTAATATGAGGTGTCAAAAATTGCCAAACTCATAGAAGTAGAGAATAGAATGGTGGTCGCCAGGGCTGAGGAGACAGGGTAATCGAGAGTTGCTATTTAGCAAGTACAAGTTTCAGTTAGGCAAGATGAGTAAGTTCTGGAAATGTGCTGTAAAACATTGTGCCTATAATTAACAATTTTTAAGTATTATACACTTAAAAGTTTGTTAAAAGGATAGATCTCATGTTAAATATCTTACAACAATAAAAATAAAAGATTCATTTTTACTAAAACTTTTGAAAAATTACAAGTATTTTTCTTTAATTGTACATGTTATTCTATACCTATTAAAATATCTTTAAAAATGAAGGTAAAATGGAGACATTTTTAGGTACAAATCTGAAAGAATTAATCAGCAGCAGATCTGGACTATAACAAATGTTAATTGAAGGTTTTTTTGGCAGAAGGAAGATAGTAACAAATAGAAATATAAATCCACACGTCTCCCAGCGTAGTAAGGATTAAATGATATAAAACACGTAAGCTACTCAGACATTGCTTGGCACATTGGCAGTCCTTAATATTATCCATATTAATAATAGCAATTATTATTATTTAAGGGAATACAAACTAACCAGAGAGAAAGGCCAAGGAATAAAACTGGTCATGTAAGGAGGTGAAGTACTCCTAGTAAAAATCTCATGGATAGTGCTAATGGAAACTTACGAAGAAAGATAGTGGCAATAATCCAGTTCTCTTTCTGTTTGGTCCTAAGTTTGGGGAGGGACAATAGTGGGGAATTAGACATGATCCTAAAAAATGATTTGGTTATCTATAACAATGAAAAAGAGGCCCAATTCATATAGTGAAAAAATAGACATATTACAACTGGCACAGTGAAGCATAGAATTCTTATATTTATTATATAGCATATAAAGCCTATCTTATTTCACTGTATATTCAAATAGAAGGAAAGCATTTTAAGGAAAAGAACACTTCAAAATTATGGTACTTCAAAAGATATAATGTGTTATATTAATATTGGTTATTAAATGTTCCAAGTATATGTCCAAAATAAAATCATAGGCTGATTGTTTAATATTTCAATATATTAATACAAAGCATTTCAAACATTCAAAAATATCAAAAGACTTGTAGAGTGAACACTCATATTTCTACCACTCAGAATCTATAATTTACATTTTACTATCAGGTTTTATCACACATCTTTCCCTCTATTTATCCTTCTGCATACCCATACTTAATCTTATAATTTGAATCCTTTCAAGGTATGTGGCAGACATTGGTCCATTCTCCCCTAAACGCTTCAGTCTGCATATATTTAATTAGATTTCAATGCTTTACTTTTTGTTATTTTTTTTCCTTTTTAAGGTGAAGTGCTATTCTATAGCATGCATTGGCAAATGCATACAAGTATGTATTAAAATTTTGTTCTAGATACAGAGCATTACTATAATCCCTTAAATTTTCCTCTTGCACTTTTCCATTCTAACCATGCCCTGAACCCTACCAGAGGCAGTATTGTACTGACTTTTTTTGTTGTTCACTCTATATTTGATTTACCTTACTTCAGCTATCACTTAAATGAAATTATACATTTCAATTTTTTTGTATAGCTTCTTTCATTTAGCATAATGTTTTTGGAAATTAACTCTGTTTTTGCACACATTCATTTTTTGTCCCTTTTCATTGCTGAGCAGTATTTCTTTGTGCAGCTATACCGTACTGTGCTTATTCACTCTCATGTTGATAGCAACATGACTTACAATTGCGAATTGTTTAGGGAGCACTCTATAAAGTATTTTTCACCTCCATATTTTTTGTTTCCATCATATAGCAAAATTTGCCATGCAATGGTCAATTTAGATTTGCTGTTTTCTCACCATGATAGGGAAGGAAGCATGGGAGTTTTTGAGCTGCCCAGTTGAAATGTGTAGGATAGCCAACCTCTACAATGGCTTATCTAGCCAAAAATAAATTCTTTCAAGTTTTCCTGTCAGCAGAAAAATGTTTATGTTGTGGGAAAATGTCTCTATACAATTTGAATAGTAGTATTCTATTATTGAATTTATCATTACAAATGAAGTTTTTCTAGCTTAGTTGAACAAAAAATAGGACACCACTAAAACAGAATGAAGGAGAAAAAGCATATTTGAATATAAAGATAATGTATCAGAATTTAAGGGGTGTTATGTTTGAAATGTCTGTGGAATCTTAAAATAAGTCCTAAACATAGGTATGATATAGAATGATACTATTGTGCTTAGATCATTGGTGACATTAAGACATTGTTTTTTTGTAGAGTTTGGGGGTTCAGGAAGTGTGGACCACTTTCTGAAGACATTTGTGGTGATGAAACAAGGAGAGAAATAGTAGTAGCTTGACGGATACCTTAGGTTAAAAGAGAATTTTACAAAAATAAAATGGGGTCTTTGATCATGATTGTAGACTAAGGAGAAGAATCTCCTGGGGGCTACAAGGAATATAATCACGAGAACAATGTGAATATTTAGCCTCTGAAAGAAAGATGGACCTCTTTTTTTTTTTTTTTTTTTTGGAAAAAGGAAAGAATGTGGCCGTTTGCTTTTTACCTTATGTTTGTGTGAGATGATGATATTCGTTGTTGTTTATCAACCATTGACAATTGACAATTACCCTTCACCTTTGCTATTTTATGTAGACAAATCAGCCCTCTATAGTGTTCCATCAGATTAATTAAACTAGAAAAAAAATCAACACACACATACACACACAAATACAGAAGATGGAAGAGAAGGAGTAGAGTTAAAAGTGTATTTGTGAGGCTTCCTTTATCTTACTGGATCTAGAGCACTTATATTAAACAAAACTGTGTGCTAATATGCTAGGTGCTAAGGATATATTGATGAATCAAATATGGTACCACATAATAACTATTGTTATACGAGTGCCTAGGAAGATTTTTGGGATTGTATTAATCATGATTCTGCAGAGAAACAACTAGTAGGAGATCTATCTATCTATCTATCTATGCTCATAATCAGATGAGCCAATATCTTATAATAAGTATCTTTATATATATGCTATTTTAAAATAAAGATAGTTATTCTAAAGTATTTATATAGTATATCTTTATACATTTACTATACATATGAAAATAGTTATAACTATATATAAAGTTTGTATATATATAAAGAGTATATATAAAGTTCATAAACTATATATATATACTAACTATATAGATAGTTTATATATAAACTTTATATGTGCTATCTTTATATATGAAGATAGTCATAACTTTATATATACAGTATAAAGATAGTTATTATAAGGTATTGGCTCATCTGATTATGGAGTCTGAAATGTCCCCCAATCTGCAATCTGTTGTCTGCAAGCTGGAGACCCAGGAAAGCCAGTGGTGTAATTTGAAGGCCTGAGCGCTGGACTGCCAATGGTATAGATTCCAGCCCAGGTCTAAAGGCCTGAGAATCAGGAGCGCTGAGGGCAGAAAAGCTATGTTTCGCCTGCAGTCGTCAGGCAGAGTTAATTTAACCTTCCTCTGCCTTTTTGTTCAATTCTGGCCCTCAACAGATTGGATGAAGCCTACCCACACTGGGAAGGGCATTCTGCTTAACTCTGTCCACCAATTCAAATGCTGATCTCTCCCAGAAATATCCCCACAGCCACACCCCAAAATAATCTTTAATCAGCTATCTAGGCATTCCATGGCCCAGTCAAGTTGACACACAAAATTAACCATTACAAAGAGCATAGCTAATAAATACTGAATTATCTGAGGCAGGTCAGTAAGGGCTTTATAGGGAAGGTGAAGTGCTTCTCTGTGTGTTTTTGTTGTTGTTGTTGTTGTTTTGAGTCAGGTACACCCTGGCTTCCAATAAAGCAGCAAGATTTTGCTAAACTGAAAACATATGATTGCTTCCTAATCTCCACAAAGCTCATTATAAAAGTTTTCCATCTCTAATTGTTTATTGCTTTAAATGTACTTAATTTTTCCTCCTTTGACACAAGAAGTTAACATACATTTTCCCTAAGGTGTAAGAGATTGATAGTAACTCCTGAGCTATTATCACAGACATTGTTCTTTAAAACATTCTCTCAAATAATGAAATTTATGAGGTTTATGTCCTGTTACTTATTTTTATCAGTTCTCTAATGTTTGCGTCTTTCATTTCTATAGTCATACACATCAATTTAGTGTCATTGCAATGGAATCATTGAAAGAAGGCTTTTAGATTAAAGTAGACAATATGTTTAAGGTTGGCATTGGCTTCATAATAAACAATGTCTGTCATAAAACAAGAAAATTATTATGTCCTAGCTGTTGCTAACATAGTCAGATTTTAGTCATTTAAATGGCATGAATGTGCTTTGGAGGAATTATTGATGCCTCACTACATTGTGCAACATATTGTAGTCCATTGAAGGTTATGACATGCTCTTGAATTGAACAAGCACTTTATTATGTTTATTCAATCAAAAATATTCCAATTCTAGAGGATCAGTGCAACATAAAGACTTCTGGAAATTTTGTTTTTTTAACTTTTATTTTAAGTTCAGGGGTACAAGTGCAGGTTCATTACATAGGTAAATTTGTGACATAGGTTTGTGGCACGGATTATTTTATCACACAGGTATTAAGCCTAATACCCATTAGTTATTTTTCCTGATCCTGTCCCTCCTCCCCTCTCCACCCTCTGAAAGGTCCCAGTGAGTGTTGTTCCCCTCTATGTGTCCATGTGTTCTCATCAGTTAGCTCCCACTTATAAATGAGAACATGCATTATTTGGTTTTCTGTTCCTGTGTTAGTTTGCTAAGGATAATGGCCTATGGAGTAAAAGGAACACTTATACACTGTTGGTGGGCTTATAAATTAGTTCAGTCATTGTGGCAATTCCTCCAAAACCTAAAGATGGAAATTATTGAATCACAATTTGAAGATCAACTAGAAAAAGGTCAAGAGGAGAAAATAGGGAGGAAAAGTCAATAAAGATAGATAGTAACGGGGATGATATTGTTCTTTTAAAAATGTAAATCCCTATTCTTTTGATTTTTTTTTTTTTCAGTTTTGGGGAGAGGTCACGTAACCTGACATAGAACACCTAGGCTAAGACAGAAGAGGCCATATTGTCAAAAAAACTCTTGATACTTTCATGAAATACAAAAATTTACTTCTGGAAGTAGCTTGTTAGACACTTCCTTTTAACTTCTTTATAATATTTCAGAAATTTGCGAAGGTCAAAAAATATTGCTCTCTCCTGACCTCATATTTATACTCATCATCAACCATTATGATAAATATATAAGAAAAATGTCTTCCTTGTTCTTAAAGCCTCAAAGCCTCAAATTGTTTTCTGATTACATCAATGCTTTTGAAAAAATTAGCATTGGATCATGGAGAGAGAGGCTGCAGTTCTGGTCCCAATGCCCCATTCCCTGGGTTAACTATGGTGCATCCCTCTGTTTCATTCTTAGGTCTACCTGGGAGACCTAAGAATTGTTTGGGCAGGGACATTTATTACATGTAAGTGATTTTGCTGGCTGTATATTTTCAAATTTTATTCAGGGACTCTGAATCTAAACCATATGAATGTATCATATGGTTGTTCCTTGAATTGAGAAAAGACTGATTTTTCCTTCTCCATTCCTCAGAAGGAAAGCCCACTGGTTTTCAAAAAAGCCTGAGATTAACAGAAAATTCTTGTTCAAAAATTCACATTGGCTTTTCAGATCACAAGTGTCTAAGACAAAGAATATTTAAGAATTTGATTTTCTGCGAAGAAGGCATAGATGTGTTAAAAAAAAAGAATTCGACTTTCAATAACTCAATTAAAAGGATATATATAAAACCTTAACTAATCAAAATGATGGGGGAAAGTGGCTATAAAAATGTTTACTTGCTGGGTGCGGTGGCTCATGCTGAGGCCAAGTCAGGTAGATCACTTGAACTCAGGATGTTCGAGACAAGCCTGAGTAACATGGTGAAACCCCATTTCTACAAAAAATGCACAAATTAGCTGGGCATGGTGGCATGTGCCTGTAGTCCCAGCTACTTGGGGAGCTGACATGAGAGGATCACTGGAGCGGGGGATGTTGAGGTTGCAGTAAGCCGAGATCAGGCCACTGCATTCCAGCCTGGGTGATAGAGCCAGATCCTGTCTCAAATAAATAAACAAACAAACAAACAAACAAACAAACAAACCCACCCACCAGCAAAAACTGTTTACTTTTTTTGCCCCAGCATAAGTTATTCCTTAATTTTCCCTTAGTCTACAAGCTTTTTAGAAAATCTCCTGAAATGTATGAAATCAAGTTTTTTTCTTAATTTAAAGTTTCTAAAAGTTGATATTTAATAGTGGTACATATTTTGGAGGTACATGTTTTATTTTGATACATGTATACAATGTGTAATGATCAAATCAGGGTAATTGAAATATCCATTACCTCAAACATTTATCTTTCTTTTGTGTTGGGAACATGACAATACTTCTCTTCTAGTTATTTAAAAATATACAATAAATTATTGTTAGCTATAATTTTCCTACTGTACTATCAAATACTAGAATGTATTCCTTCTATCTAACTGTATTTTTGTACCCATTAACCAACTTCTCTTCATCCCTCTTTTTTCTTCCCTTTACAGCCTGTGTGGTAATTACCATTCTACTCTATACCTCCATGAGATCCATTGTTTTTTAGTTCCACCTATGAGTGAGCACATACAATATTTGTCTTTCTCTGCCTGGCTTATTTCCCTTAACATAATGACCTCCAGTTCCATCCATGTTGCTACAGATGACATAATTTCATTATTTTTATGGCCAAATAGAATTCCATTGTGTGTGTGTGTGTGTGTGTGTGTGTGTGTGTGTATACACACAGTACATTCTCTTTATGCATTTATTCATTGATGGCCACTTAGATTGATTATATATTTTGGCTATTGTGAACAGTGCTGCAATAAACGTGGGAGTGCAGATATCTCATTTTTATACCTATTTCCTTTCTTTTGGATATATACTCAATAGTGGAATTGCTGGATCACATAGTAGTTACATTTTCAGTTTTTGGAGGAATCTTTATATTGTTTTTCATCATGGCTGTACTAATTTACATTCCCACCAACAGTGCCTAAGAGTTCCCCTTTCTCCACATCCTTGCCAGCACTTGTTACCTTTTGTCTTTTTGATAATAGCTATTTTAGCTGAGGAGACTGATATTTCACACTTGATCTTAGCCAAAAGGCCGAGAAGCAATGAGACTGATATTTCAATGTTGCCTTGATATACATTGCCCTAATGATAAATGATGGTGAGCATTTTTTCATGTACTTCTTGGCCATTTGTATATTTTCTTTTGAAAAATAACTGTTTGGTTTTTTTTTTTTTTTTGCCCATGTTCTAATTGGCTTACTTGAGGGTTTTTATTTTGCTATTGAGTTGTTTGAATTCCTTATATATTATAGTTATTAATCTCTTACCAAATGGATAGTTTGCAAAATTTTTATCCCATTCTATAGGTCGTTTCTCTACCTTGTTGGTTGTTTCATTTGCTGTGCAGAAGCTTTTTAGCTTGATGTAATCCCATTTGTCTATTTTTGCTTTTATTGCATTTAGACTGCATTTCAGTCAGATATTATATTGTAAGTATAGGCTTTTGAGGTCTTGGCCAAAACATTTTTGCCCAGACCCACGTTACGTAGCATTTCCCAGATGTTTTCTTCTAATAGTTTTATAATTTTAGGCCTTACATTTAAGTCTTTAGTCCATTTTGAGTTGACTTTTATATACGGTAAAACATGGGGATCTAGCTTCATTCTTACGTATATGAATATCCATTTTTCCCAGCATCATGTATTAAAGGGACTCTTCTTTCCTCAATGTATGTTCTTGGCACCTTTGTAAAAAATGAGTTGGCTGTAACTGATTAGATTTATTTCTGGGTTCTCTATTCTGTTCCACAGGTCTGAAATCATTTTTCCTGGGATCAATATTATTTATTTGATTCTTGAGGATATTGTACCATTCTGATAGTCTATGGTTATTGACTAGGACAGAAAACTAGAAAAGTGGTAGGTGTAGGATATGCCTCATACATAGTCTTAAAAATGTGCTTTTTGTAAATGATCAATGCAATTTCAAATATGAAACTGTCTTTTGATCTATGACATCTGCCTAACTGTGGAGGCAGCAAAACAAAAGCTGATCAGTAAGTTTAACAGTCGTGGTACTGAACATCTTTTTCAAAATAATTACATGATTTCTCTTGCTTTCCACTCGACAAACATCTCAACATTATCATTGCAACATAACATTCTGTTTGACCACAAAGGGGGGAAATCTTAACTGTCAGAAAGAAAATAGAAATTAATTATGTACATAGGTCCCTGTTCAATTTATTCTGCCATAGATTAAAAGAAAAAAAAATCCATTAGAATAAAATACTAAACCCAAATACAAATTATGACACCTTCTGCCACCTATTTTATATCCACTTAATGGTCTCTATTCCTGGTTGATGGAGAAATTTGGTGTTCTAATGAAGTAAGGGTTGTTTATGAATACAATTAAACCATGGCGGAGACATGAGTGTGCATTTTATTATATATATCATGCTGGATGGCTTTACCATAATGTTACAGCTACCGAGAATTAATTCCAAGAGAAATAAAAGTTCTACAGTGCTCACTAGAGTCTGAACTTAAGTTTCTCCATTCATGTTGCTACCACATCTGCTTCCTGACATCACAGAGAATCATGACATTGAGCCACTCAGCTGAGTGGAGATGTCCTGGAAGGACTTTAAAAAGTTGATATCCCCAAGGTGTATTATATTGAGTGGTTTGTGACTCAGCTATGACATTAAGGAAATCTCATTGTTTTTGTTCCCTCATCTGTAAAATGAGGAGAGAATTGGCTGGCCTCAAAAACATTTTAGGGAAATTAATTCATTAACTAAGGTGACGGAAAAAAGAAGAATTACACAGAAGTTAAATTTAGCACTGAAAATGGTACATTAACAGTGGTCCATAACCAGGTCTACTGATATGAGTTACATGAAGAAAGAGGTGCTATAAGGTTTGATTATTTTCCTAATCACCAGAACATAGTGTGATTCTTGCTGACATTTTAGACTGCATTTCAGTCAGATATCATGTTGAAAGAGAGGTAGGAAGAAATAGGGAGACATACTGCTTTCTTCATATGTCCCAAGTAGATTGACTCTGCAAGCTTTCAAATGAGAAGATTCAGTGAAATAACGCATATCAAGTGCCAAGCATAGAGCCTGACATAGAGTAATTGCTTAATAACTGCAAATTCCTTTTCTGGATCACAAAAGCAGTATCTTCTCTTCTCTGACAGCACCATTCTAAAAGGATCGTACTCACCCAAACTGGCATATCTCCATTTATCACACCACCTCCACAAGCACACTGCATCTCTTAATGTATTAGTAAGCTAATTTTACTTGTCTTCTTCCACATCTACCTTTTACAGATGAAGAAACTGCAGCACAGAGAGGTTAAGTGACTTGTCCAAAGTCACACGAGCCAGTTAGGGTGTTCATTCCAGTCATCAACTATGTGCCAGGTAGTGTGCTAGAATGTGGGGATAAAATGGTAAGGAAAATTGATACAGCTTTTGCCTTTATGAAACTTACAATCTGGTAGTGGAGAGAAAGAGTAATCAATCATCAAACACACAAAGAAATGTAAAGTCAAATCTCTGGTAGGTGCTATGAAGTAAAAGGTACATGTGCTATGAGAATATATAAAAGAATATATAACTGGCATGGTCTGAGGGGTCAGAGAGGGCTTATGTGAGGAAATTATATTTGAGATAATAAAAATGCTAAAGAGTTAAGTTAAAAATAGGGGTGAAGGTGCCACAGAGGACTGATTTAGTCAGAAGAATATGGAAAAATCTTTATTGTAGGGATGTTAGCCTAGAAAATCCACACATACATACACACAAGGTTAGTGTGATTGGAGCACAGAAACTGCAGGGGAGCTTGGTGCAAAGATGATATTGCAGGTGTGGGCATGAAGGAGCCTAAGCTGTGCCTACAGGCTATATTAAGAAAATTTATTTTTGTGCTAGAGCAATGAGAAGTAAATGAAAGATGTTAAGTATGGCAGAGGCTGGGAAAGGGTAGAGGCATGACATTACATAATTTCTGTTTTTAAAGGCCAATCTTGTGGAAGTATAGAGAATAGATAGGAAGGGGGTGGAGGGGAGATCAGGAGGTAAACTTAGAGGCCATGGCACTAGTCTAGACAAGAGGTGGTGCTGGCTCAGACAAAGGTCATGGCAATGGAGATGCTGAGAAGTAAATTGTCTTAAGACACACAAAAGGGGTAAAATAAATAGAACATGATGACTGACGGAATATAGAAGTGAATAAAGGAGATGAGTGAACTTTGGCAGCAAATGAAAAAAAGTAATTCCTTAACAAAATGGTTTGCATTAATGCTATAAACTTTGCTGGCATAAAAATGAAATTTGTGAATTTCTTTTTCCCTTAGCTCCAACCCTTCCCTTGCCCCCTTCCTGCTATATGTAAGGTGATGCAATCAGCCTCTAGCTTCCAGCTACTGAACTCAAGGTTCTTGGCCAGAGTGTAGCTCTGCACTTGCTTAGAAATGAATGCCTCAGGATGAGAAGTTAGGTTAAACAAGCTTCTTGGCATAAAACCTGAAGATAACAGATGGAACACTGCACCCTACCCCAATATAGGGTTCCAGAATCTTAGACCAAAGTGGTCTGAAAAGGAAATGAATCTCTATTCAGAGCCTGCTAAAGATAAAAGATGCCAACACCTATGAAAGCAGTTAGACAACTCCAAATGTTGCCCAGATAAAAGCTTTTAAAATTTATCCATTTTTGCTTGATTAAGGCAAGAGCTCTCTGCCACTGTTTTAGAGGCATTGTTTTTTATCAAGATGATGTGAGCATGGAAGAAAACAGAATTCACTTGAAATAAAACGAATGGTATATTTATGTGATGAATCACATTTATTGATTTGTGTCTGTTTAACTAACCTTGCATCCTGGGGATGAAGCCTACTTTATAGTGGTGGTTTAGCTTTTTGATGTGCTGCTGGGTTTGGGTTGTAAGTATTTTGTTGAGGATTTTTTCATCAATGTTCATCAGGGATATTGGCCTGAAGATTTTTTTTTTCTGGTTGTGTCTCTGCCAGGTTTTGCTATAGGGATGATGCTGGACTCTTAGAATGAGTTAAGGAGTAGTCCCTCCTCCTCAATATTTTGTAATAGTTTCAGTAGGAATTGTAACAGCTCTTCTTTGTACATTTGCTAGAATTTGGCTGCGAATCCATCTTCTCCTGGACTTTTTTTTGTTGTTGGTAGGCTATTTATTACTGATGCAATTTTGGAGCGCATTATTGGTCTGTTCAGGGCATCCATTTTCTTCCTGGTTCAGTCTTAGGAGGGTATATGTGTCCTGGATTTGTTGATTGTTTGCATATTTTTGTGTGTGTGTCTCAGTTTCCTTCAGTTCAGCTCTGATTTTGGTTATTTCTTGTCTTCTGCTAGCTTTGGGGTTCATTTGTTCTTTATTTTTTCTTTTCTTTTTTTTAAATTATACTTTAAGTTTTAGGGTACATGTGCACATTGTGCAGGTTAGTTACATATGTATACATGTGCCATGCTGGTGCGCTGCACCCACTAACTCGTCATCTAGCATTAGGTATATCTCCCAATGCTATCCCTCCCCCCTCCCCCCACCCCACAACAGTCCCCAGAGTGTGATATTCCCCTTCCTGTGTCCATGTGATCTCATTGTTCAATTCCCACCTATGAGTGAGAATATGCGGTGTTTGGTTTTTTGTTCTTGCGATAGTTTACTGAGAATGATGATTTCCAATTTCATCCATGTCCCTACAAAGGACATGAACTCATCATTTTTTATGGCTGCATAGTATTCCATGGTGTATATGTGCCACATTTTCTTAATCCAGTCTATCATTGTTGGACATTTGGGTTGGTTCCAAGTCTTTGCTATTGTGAATAATGCCGCAATAAACATACATGTGCATGTGTCTTTATAGCAGCATGATTTATAGTCCTTTGGGTATATACCCAGTAATGGGATGCTGGGTCAAATGGTATTTCCAGTTCTAGATCCCTGAGGAATCGCCACACCAACTTCCACAATGGTTGAACTAGTTTACAGTCCCACCAACAGTGTAAAAGTGTTCCTATTTCTCCACATCCTCTCCAGCACCTGTTGTTTCCTGACTTTTTAATGATCGCCATTCTAACTGGTGTGAGATGGTATCTCATTGTGGTTTTGATTTGCATTTCTCTGATGGCCAGTGATGATGAGCATTTTTTCATGTGTTTTTTGGCTGCATAAATGTCTCCTTTTGAGAAGTGTCTGTTCATGTCCTTCGCCCACTTGTTGATGGGGTTGTTTGTTTTTTTCTTGTAAATTTATTGGAGTTCATTGTAGATTCTGGATATTAGCCCTTTGTCAGATGAGTAGGTTGCAAAAATTTTCTCCCATTTTGTAGGTTGCCTGTTCACTCTGATGGTAGTTTCTTTTGCTGTGCAGAAGCTCTTTAGTTTAATTAGATCCCATTTGTCAATTTTGTCTTTTGTTGCAATTGCTTTTGGTGTTTTGGACATGAAGTCCTTGCCCATGCCTATGTCCTGAATGGTGATACCTAGGTTTTCTTCTAGGGTTTTTATGGTTTTAGGTCTAACATTTAAGTCTTTAATCCATCTTGAATTGATTTTTGTATAAGGTGTAAGGAAGGGATCCAGTTTCAGCTTTCTACATATGGCTAGCCAGTTTTCCCAGCACCATTTATTAAATAGGAAATCCTTTCCCCATTGCTTGTTTTTCTCAGGTTTGTCAAAGATCAGATAGTTGTAGATATGCGGTGTTATTTCTGAGTGCTCTGTTCTGTTCCATTGATCTATATCTCTGTTTTGGTACCAGTACCATGCTGTTTTGGTTACTGTAGCCTTGTAGTATAGTTTGAAGTCAGGTAGTGTGATGCCTCCCGCTTTGTTCTTTTGGCTTAGGATTGACTTGGCGATGCGGGCTCTTTTTTGATTCCATATGAACTTTAAAGTAGTTTTTTCCAATTCTGTGAAGAAAGTCATTGGTAGCTTGATGGGGATGGCATTAAATCTGTAAATTACCTTGGGCAGTATGGCCATTTTCACGATATTGATTCTTCCTACCCATGAGCATGGAATGTTCTTCCATTTGTTTGTATCCTCTTTTATTTCCTTGAGCAGTGGTTTGTAGTTCTCCTTGAAGAGGTCCTTCACATCCCTTGTAAGTTGGATTCCTAGGTATTTTATTCTCTTTGAAGCAATTGTGAATGGGAGTTCACTCATGATTTGGCTCTCTGTTTGTCTGTTGTTGGTGTATAAGAATGCTTGTGATTTTTGTACATTGATTTTGTATCCTGAGACTTTGCTGAAGTTGCTTATCACCTTAAGGACATTTTGGGCTGAGACAATGGGGTTTTCTAGATATACAATCATGTCGTCTGCAAACAGGGACAATTTGACTTCCTCTTTTCCTAATTGAATACCCTTTATTTCCTTCTCCTGCCTAATTGCCCTGGCCAGAACTTCCAACACTATGTTGAATAGGAGTGGTGAGAGAGGGCATCCCTGTCTTGTGCCAGTTTTCAAAGGGAATGCTTCCAGTTTTTGCCCATTCGGTATGATATTGGCTGTGGGTTTGTCATAGATAGCTCTTATTATTTTGAAATACGTCCCATCAATACCTAATTTATTGAGCGTTTTTAGCATGAAGGGTTGTTGAATTTTGTCAAAGGCTTTTTCTGCATCTATTGAGATAATCATGTGGTTTTTGTCTTTGGTTCTGTTTATATGCTGGATTACATTTATTGATTTGCATATATTGAACCAGCCTTGCATCCCAGGGATGAAGCCCACTTGATCATGGTGGATAAGCTTTTTGATGTGCTGCTGGATTCGTTTTGCCAGTATTTTATTGAGTATTTTTGCATCAATGTTCATCAAGGATATTGGTCTAAAATTCTCTTTTTTGGCTGTGTCTCTGCCCGGCTTTGGTATCAGAATGATGCTGGCCTCATAAAATGAGTTAGGGAGGATTCCCCCTTTTTCTATTGATTGGAATAGTTTCAGAAGGAATGGTACCAGTTCCTCCTTGTACCTCTGATAGAATTCGGCTGTGAATCCATCTGGTCCTGGACTCTTTTTGGTTGGTAAACTATTGATTATTGCCACAATTTCAGCTCCTGTTATTGGTCTATTCAGAGATTCAACTTCTTCCTGGTTTAGTCTTGGGAGAGTGTATGTGTCGAGGAATTTATCCATTTCTTCTAGATTTTCTAGTTTATTTGCGTAGAGGTGTTTTTAGTATTCTCTGATGGTACTTTGTATTTCTGTGGGATCGGTGGTGATATCCCCTTTATCATTTTTTATTGTGTCTATTTGATTCTTCTTTTTTTCTTTATTAGTCTTGCTAGCGGTCTATCAATTTTGTTGATCCTTTCAAAAAACCAGCTCCTGGATTCATTGATTTTTTGAAGGGTTTTTTGTGTCTCTATTTCCTTCAGTTCTGCTCTGATTTTAGTTATTTCTTGCCTTCTGCTAGCTTTTGAATGTGTTTGCTCTTGCTTTTCTAGTTCTTTTAATTGTGATGTTAGGGTGTCAATTTTGGATCTTTCCTGCTTTCTCTTGTGGGCATTTAGTGCTATAAATTTCCCTCTACACACTGCTTTGAAAATGTCCCAGAGATTCTGGCACGTTGTGTCTTTGTTCTCATTGGTTTCAAAGAAAATCTTTATTTCTGCCTTCATTTCATTATGTATCCAGTAGTCATTCAGGAGCAGGTTGTTCAGTTTCCATGTAGTTGAGTGGTTTTGAGTGAGATTCTTAATCCTGAGTTCTAGTTTGATTGCACTGTGGTCTGAGAGATAGTTTGTTATAATTTCTGTTCTTTTACATTTGCTGAGGACAGCTTTACTTCCAACTATGTGGTCAATTTTGGAATAGGTATGGTGTGGTGCTGAAAAAAATGTATATTCTGTTGATTTGGGGTGGAGAGTTCTGTAGATGTCTATTAGGTCCAGTTGGTGCAGAGCTGAGTTCAATTCCTGGGTATCCTTGTTGACTTTCTGTCTCGTTGATCTGTCTAATGTTGACAGTGGGGTGTTAAAGTCTCCCATTATTATTGTGTGGGAGTCCAGGTCTCTTTGTAGGTCACTCAGGACTTGCTTTATGAATCTGGGTGCTCCTGTATTGGGTGCATATATATTTAGGATAGTTAGCTCTTCTTGTTGAATTGATCCCTTTACCATTATGTAATGGTCTTCTTTGTCTCTTTTGATCTTTGTTGGTTTAAAGTCTGTTTTATCAGAGACTAGGATTGCAACCCCTGCCTTTTTTTGTTTTCCATTTGCTTGGTAGATCTTCCTCCATCCTTTTATTTTGAGCCTATGTGTGTCTCTGCACGTGAGATGGGTTTCCTGAATACAGCACACTGATGGGTCTTGACTCTTTATCCAATTTGCCAGTCTGTGTCTTTTAATTGGAGCATTTAGTCCATTTACATTTACAGTTAATATTGTTATGTGTGAATTTGATCCTGTCATTATGATGTTAGCTGGTGATTTTGCTCGTTAGTTGATGCAGTTTCTTCCTAGTCTCGATGGTCTTTACATTTTGGCATGATTTTGCAGTGGCTGGTACTGGTTGTTCCTTTCCATGTTTAGTGCTTCCTTCAGGAGCTCTTTTAGGGCAGGCCTGGTGGTGACAAAACCTCTCAGCATTTGCTTGTCTGTAAAGTATTTTATTTCTCCTTCACTTATGAAGCTTAGTTTGGCTGGATATGAAATTCTGGGTTGAAAATTCTTTTCTTTAAGAATGTTGAATATTGGCCCCCACTCTCTTCTGGCTTGTAGGGTTTCTGCTGAGAGATCCACTGTTAGTCTTATGGGCTTCCCTTTGTGGGTAACCCAACCTTTCTCTCTGGCTGCCCTTAACATTTTTTCCTTCATTTCAACTTTGGTGAATCTGACAATTATGTGTCTTGGAGTTGCTCTTCTCAAGGAGTATCTTTGTGGCGTTCTCTGTATTTCCTGAATCTGAACGTTGGCCTGCCTTGCTAGATTGGGGAAGTTCTCCTGGATAATATCCTGCAGAGTGTTTTCCAACTTGGTTCCATTCTCCCCATCACTTTCAGGTACACCAATCAGACATAGATTTGGTCTTTTCACATAGTCCCATATTTCTTGGAGGCTTTGCTCATTTCTTTTTATTCTTTTTTCTCTAAACTTCCCTTCTCGCTTCATTTCATTCATTTCATCTTCCATCGCTGATACCCTTTCTTCCAGTTGATCGCATCGGCTCCTGAGGCTTCTGCATTCTTCACATAGTTCTCGAGCCTTGGTTTTCAGCTCCATCAGCTCCTTTAAGCACTTCTCTGTATTGGTTATTCTAGTTATACATTCTTCTAAATTTTTTTCAAAGTTTTCAACTTCTTTGCCTTTGGTTTGAATGTCCTCCCGTAGCTCAGAGTAATTTGATCGTCTGAAGCCTTCTTCTCTCAGCTCGTCAAAGTCATTCTCCATCCAGCTTTGTTCTGTTGCTGGTGAGGAACTGCGTTCCTTTGGAGGAGGAGAGGCGCTCTGCGTTGTAGAGTTTCCAGTTTTTCTGTTCTGTTTTTTCCCCATCTTTGTGGTTTTATCTACTTTTGGTCTTTGATGATGGTGATGTACAGATGGGTTTTTGGTGTGGATGTCCTTTCTGTTTGTTAGTTTTCCTTCTAACAGACAGGACCCTCAGCTGCAGGTCTGTTGGAATACCCTGCCGTGTGAGGTGTCATTGTGCCCCTGCTGGGGGGTGCCTCCCAGTTAGGCTGCTCGGGGGCCAGGGGTCAGGGGTCAGGGACCCACTTGAGGAGGCAGTCTGCCCGTTCTCAGATCTCCAGCTGCGTGCTGGGAGAACCACTGCTCTCTTCAAAGCTGTCAGACAGGGACATTTAAGTCTGCAGAGGTTACTGCTGTCTTTTTGTCTGTGCCCTGCCCCCAGAGGTGGAGCCTACAGAGGCAGGCAGGCCTCCTTGAGCTGTGGTGGGCTCCACCCAGTTCGAGTTTCCTGGCTGCTTTGTTTACCTAAGCAAGCCTGGGCAATGGCGGGCGCCCCTCCCCCAGCCTTGCTGCCGCCTTGCAGTTTGATCTCAGACTGCTGTGCTAGCAATCAGCGAGACTCCCTGGGCATAGGACCCTCCGAGCCAGGTGCGGGATATAATCTCGTGGTGCGCCGTTTTTTAAGCCGGTCGGAAAAGCGCAGTATTCGGGTGGGAGTGACCCGATTTTCCAGGTGCGTCCGTCACCCCTTTCTTTGACTCGGAAAGGGAACTCCCTGACCCCTTGCGCTTCCCAAGTGAGGCAATGCCTCGCCCTGCTTCGGCTCGCGCACGGTGTGCGCACCCACTGACCTGCGCCCACTGTCTGGCACTCCCTAGTGAGATGAACCCGGTACCTCAGACGGAAATGCAGAAATCACCCATCTTCTGCGTCGCTCACGCTGGGAGCTGTAGACCAGAGCTGTTCCTATTTGGCCATCTTGGCTCCTCCCCTCCCATTTGTTCTTGTTTCTGTAGTGTTTTCAGTTGTGATGTTAGGTTGTTAATTTGAGATCCAGCTTTTTGATGTAGATATTTAGTGCTATGAATTTCCCTCTTAACATTCCCTTAGCTGTGTCTCAGAAATTCTGGTATGTTGTATGTTTGTTCTCATTACTTTCAAAGCACTTCTTGACTTTTGTCTTAATTTCACTGTTTTCTCAAAAGTCATGTAGGAACATGTTTAATTTTCAGGTAATTATGTGGTTTTGAGTGATTTTCTTAGTCTTGACTTTTATTTTCTCAGTCTTTCTTCTATTACATTGTGGTTTGAGTGTGTGTTTGGTATGATTTTGGTTATTTTGTATTTGTTGAGGATTGTTGTATGCCCAATTGTGTGGCTGATTTTAGAGTACATGCCATGTGGGCATGAAAAGAATTATATTCTGCTGGTTTTGGATGGAGAGTTCTTGTAGAGGTCTATCAAATCCATTTGGTCCAATGTTGAGTTCAGGGTGTGAATATCATGTTAATTTTCTGCCTTGATAATCTGTCTAATACTGTCAGTGGAGTGTTGAAGTCTCCCACCATTTTTGTGTGGGAATCTATGTATCTTTTGTGGGTCTCTAAGAACTTGCTTTATGAATCTGGGTGCTCCTGTGTTGGGTGCATATGTATTTAGAATAGTTGGGTCTTTCTGTTGAACCAAACCATTTACCATTATGTAATCCTCTTTTTTGTCTGGTTTGATCTTTGCTGGTTTGGAGTCTGTTTTGTCTGAAATTAGGATTACAATGCCACTTTTTTCTGTTTTTCATTTGCTTGGTAGATTTTCCTCCATCCCTTTATTTTGAGCCTATGGGCGTCCTTACATGTAAGATGGGACTCTTGAAGTCAATGTACTATTGGGTCTTACTTCTTTATCCAGCTTGCCATTCTGTGCCTTTTAAGTGGGGCATTTAGCCCATTTACATTCAAGGTTAGTGTGGATATGTGTGGATTTCATCCTGTCATTGTCTTGCTAGCTGGTTATTATGCTGGCTTGTTTGTGTGGTTGCTTAATGGTGTCCCTGATCTGCATATTTAAGCATGTTTTTGTATTAGCTAGTAGTGGTCTTTCTTTTCTATATCTAGTGTTCTTTTCAATATCTCTTGTAAGGCAGGTCTGGTGGTAACAAAGTCCCTCAACATTTGTTTATCTGAAAAGGATATTATTTCTCCTTATCTTAGGAAGCTTAGCTTGGCTGGATATGAAATCCTTGGTCGAAGGTTTTTTCTTTAAGAATGTTGAATATAGGTCTCCAATCCCTCTGGCTTGCAGGGTTTCAACTGAGAGGTCCACTGTTAGCCTGATGGAGTTTTCATTGTATGTGACCTGCCCTTTCTCTCTACCTACCTTAACATTCTTTCTTTCATTTCTACCTTAGAAGATCTGACTATTTTGTGAAATTCTTGTATTGTGTTATTCAGCTCTGTTAGATCCATTAGGTTCTTCTTATACCATCTATTTTCTTCTTCAGCTCCTGTATCGTTTTATTGTGGTTCCTAGTTTCCTTGGATTGGGTTTTTTTATTCTCTTTAATCTCAATGAGCTTCACTCCTGTTCCTATTCTGAATTCTATTTATGTCATTTCAACCAGCTCAGCCTGGTTAAAACCTCTTGTTGGAGAATTGGTGTGGTAGTTTGGAGGATATATGATACTTTGGCCATTTGAGTTACTGGAGTTCTTGTGTTGGTTCTTTCTCATCTCTGTGTGTGGGCGTTCTTTTAACTGCAGTGTAGATTGTGTACAGTCAACAGACTTCTTTTCTGGATGTTTTCACCAGGTCGAGGCTTTGTGCAGGGTCATAATTTGAAGCTGACTCCTTGTCTTTGGTTTCAGAGGGGGGTACGTTAGTGAGGTGTTTTTGGTGTTGAAGCTTTGAGGTGCGATCCAGTAGGTGGCACTTAGGCATATTGGTCAGTTGGTAGACTCTTGCTTGGTTGTGTGGCTCCCCTGTGCTTTCTTACAGTTGCAGCTGTGTTCCCTCTCAATGTTCTGACAACGTGAGTTCTTCTCCCCCTTGAGTGCTGGGTGTAGGTCGTGACTTGGCACTCCTGGGCTGCCCACAGCAGTTATCAGGTGATCTCTGTGTTTATGTTTCTTCCTCAATCTGGAGGCAGCAGAGGAAAGGACCTTAGTAGTGGTTGTGGCCAAGGGTCTTTTGCTTGTCTTCTGGGGTCTCCAACCTGAAGAGATTCGGGTCAGCAATTGCTCAGTGCAAACAGCCTAGGATGGTGGGTCTGTGCTGTAGACCCAAATTGGGGGTTCCCTGTCTGGTGATGAGCAGGGGGTCATGGGTTGGACCCATGGCAGATGAACTGGCCTCCTCTTTTTGGGGTGACTGCAGCTTGTTGGAGGTGTAGATAAGGCACTTAGAGTCTTTGCTCCTGTTCTTGTAGGTATCAATAATGAAGGCTGCAAGAGAGCAAAGAGGGATCTGCCCCTCTCTCTGGGAGCTCTGTCTCAGGGAGGTTTTAAATCTCTATTGGCCAAAAAACACTGGTAGGGATGGCTGGACACCCCAGTAAGGAAATCCCACCCTGTGAGAAGGAATGGGATCATAGACCTATTTTCAAAAGCAATCTGACCACATTTTCATATAGCCGCTGTGCTTTGTTGGGGGACTGCTTCTGCCCCCAGTCAGCTTGAACTCTCCAAAGCCTGAAGGTTGGAACAGCTATGTTGCACAAACAGCAAAGATGGCAGCCCACCCCTCCCTCTGGGAGCTCCATCCCAGGTAGGTTCCAAATCTCCGTCTGTCAGAAAACATTGGTGGGGGTTGCTGGAGACCCTGTTTGGGAGGTACTGCCCAGTGAGTAGGAACAGGATCAGGGATCTGTTTAAAAAAGCAGCCTGGCCATGTTTTTGTAGCACAGCTGTGCTGTGCTGGGTGACCATTTCTGTCCCCAGTTGGCTTGGACTCTCCAAAGCCCGAAGGCTGGAACAGCTAAGTTGGCCAAACAGCAAAGATGGCAGCCTGCCTCTCCCTCTGGGAGCCCCTTCTTAGGGAGGTGCAATGCTGCTACCAGTGGCTGGCTGGAATTCTAAACCAGTGGGTCTTATCTTGTGAGGTGTCATGAAAATGGGGCCTGCACACAGTCAATGCTCAGGCCCCTGGATTCATCCACTTTCTTTTTTTTTTTTTTTTTTTTAAGAACCATGGAACTTTAATTATATAAATAACCACATTAAACCCTTTAGACCTACATTAATATGAATACAAATTAAGGTATCATTCAATAAAAACTAATAATATGAATAAATATATACATACATAATCAAATCAGCTTCACAAAGTAGAATGTATTTCAATCAGAAAGTCAGCAAATAGGTCAATATACTTAAAAATATGAACTACTGCTTTAAAAAAATTTCATTAACATGCTATAATCCTGAAGGCTACAGATGCCACTGGTCAGACTGCTCCACGTACCATCAAGTCTTTCCCCTTTGGATATAAAAATATCCATTGTCTGCTGACTCAATTAGGAAGGTAAGGTATCTGGTTCTCTTAACAGTGCTGGCCTTGGGATAGTGTTGAGTTTAGAAACATCTGCAGTCATTTGGCTCTACAGATTGAAGGATAGCAGTTTGACAGAGACTTGAATGCTGCCCACCAGTGTTTGAAGACAATAGTCAAGAAGCTGATTCAGTCACTTGCTAATTTTCCTTCAGATGCCCACATGGTAGCCTGTGCTTCCTTGAGACAGATCTTACAGAATCTCCCAGACATATGAGTGTTAAAGGCATCGGGAGTAAAACCACATCCACTTTCTTAGTGGTATGCATGGGGGTCTAACCTCCCGCTTTGCCAGAGTTGCAGCTACTTTTGCTGGGAAGCCTAGAAAGTGTGAGTATCTAAGGCTTGCAAATCTCCACGTGTGCCTGAGTGGCGGCTCTACCAAGACTCCACATAGCTGTGTGTTAGACTGAAGGCCCTAGTGGAGTGGGCTCATAAAGGGATCTCCTGATGTGAGGGTTGCAAAGATCCATGGGAAAAGTATGGGTTCCGGGGGTCACATATTCACTCCCTGCTTTCCTGGGTGTGGGAGGTACCTGTGGCTCTATGTTGCTCCTGGGTGGGCCATCATCCTGCCTTACTTTTCTTCATTCTCCATGGGTAGAATTGTTTCCTTTGTTAGCTCTAATGTAAGTACCTGCCATCTTTTTATTATGTATTTCTTTATTCAGGTTTTCCTCTACCAAAGTTGGGATAACTGAAATTTCCTTCTGTTTTACAGGTACATTAATCTCAAAGTAATGCTAAGCTATTGGTGAATTATTTTGTCTTTTGCAAGTGTTCCTTAATTCTTCCAGCATTTCAATGGCCCTATTGATGGTAATGAAAGTGAACATTTTTCTCATTTGCAAACCATGAAGTAATGGTCAAAAAAGAAATTGCCTATGGGATTTTCCAGCTTTCCAAATAGATTTTAATAACAGCTTTTAAGATTTCCTTACTAGTGACTTGGGTTGAGGATAATGTGGTAGGTGGAAGAAATAGCCAAATGGCACACTCTCTTCTAGCCACCTTTCCTATGGCATATTGTTTCTCCCTCTCTCTATTTTTTTATATTTTCAAATTATGGTGTTCTTGCTCTACTTTTTAATATTTTATCAAAATGCTACTGTAAAGAATATGTGTTAGATTTATGGCCATATTGATATTTACCATGTAGATAAACATAAAGTTCCAATCACGTAACTTTAAACAGAAATCTATGACTATATTTATTTATTTATTTTCTGTTCAGGAAAGATTGCCTTGATAATGAATGTACTCTTCCCTTACAACCAATCCGAATGGCTTTGGTGTTTAGTTAATTTATTTAGAATAGATTGCCTTTTGTGTACATGTGGCTTAATTTTATCTACAAAGCTAGCAACTTTTATCAACTCAAAATCCATTTTTATTGGTTCTTAAAATGCTACTCTACCTATAAAAATGACTAGCACACAAATTACGGTCTATGATAGCTTATTCTACAATTATTTTAATATAGAACATGCACATTGCTATACTCAGGACCATTACTTCTGTTTTGCACTTCTTTTGTTCTCATCTACCCATTTAGGAAAAGGAACTTGGGTCCATCTTACTGAGTCACTAGGACTAGGCTGATTATGTCTTAGAAATAAACAAAGATTAGAAGCTCAAAGAAAATCATTAAACCAAATGAATAATTACTATTTTGAAATCAGATTACTGAATTGGGGTTAAGTAGATGTAGATCAGGGTCGGACATAAAGCATCCGTCCATTTCTTGATCACTTATCATGTATTACATACTGTACTAAGCACTGGGGATACAAAGATAAATAGCACCTAACCTCAAGTAGTTCACAGTTTGATCAGGAAGTTTGGTTGTCAAGGCAAAGTCATAAAGGTTGGAGATTAGATGAGCTGTGTTTGAATATATTTTAATTAGGTATATCCTGTGTGCTCAGCACATAGTATATGTGCTAAGGACTGTAATGATGTTTGTGTTGAATGTATCTATGTATATAATGCACTGGATTCACTATTTATTTGGATATTTTCAAAACCTGGCCAGAGAGAAGAGAGGGGTTAGATACACCAAACTCCCCTGGACACTGCTGGCCTCTGTTAGATGAGCATGGCTTCAATTAAGCTACATGTACACAAAACTCAACTGGACAAGTTGAACTTAGAAAGGTTGTCATTTAAAGTGTGACTTTCTCACTGGGCATGGCAGTTCACGCATGTAATCCTAGCACATTGGGAGGCCGAGGCAGGTGGATCACCATAAGTCAGGAGTTTGAGACCATCCTGGCCAACATGGCAAAACCCCATCTCTACTGGAAAAAAAAACAAAAACAAAAATTAGCTGGGCGTGGTGGTAGATGTCTATAATCCCAGCTACTCTGGAAGCTGAGGCAGGAGAATTGTTTGAACCCGGGGCGGGGGGGTGAGTTGGGGAGGGGAGGTTGCAGTAAGCCCAGATGGCACCACTTCACTCCAGCCTGGGTGAAAGAGTGAAACTCCATCTCAAAATAAATAAATAAATAAAGCATGACATTCTCTATTAAGTAATCTCTGTATCCCATAAATACAGGAGTTTACTGAAACATTCACTAAATCCATGTTAAAAATCCATTTTACTAAAACATGTCTCCCTTTATATTAGCTGGTCATTCAGGTTTTGCTAACCCCTGTGTTTCCATGTGAGTAGTACAACATTCATTTGCTGTATGATGTAATTGAGCACTCACACTCATTTTCAAATAGAAACTGAATGATTTTTTTAGAGAAATCTGTGTTCGTGTCCCATAAAACCCAAATGCAACTTCTCTGTAGTCTCAGTAAATTAGCATGTAAACAATGTTGTTAAACTGTAATTCATGCTTTTTATAATCTACCAGATATGCTGCTTTTTTGTTGAAATTATTATTTTCATTTTGCAAATGTAGGGGTTTTTTTTTTGGTCTTGCAACTGAGCAGCTGTAAAAGGCTCTTTGTTTTAAGAATACACTGCCACACTTTATTTTTTTTTGTTTTGTTCCCAGGAAAATCATACACATAGATTGTATTGAAGACACCAGCAGGCTGTGTGAGATGACTTTTGTCCAGGTTCTGAATTCAGAATTCAGATGATTGTCAATCACTTGAAAACTGTCACCCACAGCCCAGTATATGAAAGAAGGAAAGTTCTTCACTATATGACTTGAAAATATTGAGTTCAACTGTTCATAAAAAATGCAAAAGTTTCGGTTTTACAGATATCAAAATCAAAATTCCAGTGTTCTTTTCTAAATTAGATATAATTTGCATTGTTCTTTCATAAACTTTCAAGTACTCAAAATATTTTTCCCTGAGATGCAGCTATCTTGTTTTTCTAAATGCAAGATGCCTTTAGAAATCCATGATTGAGCTTAATGAGAAATTTGTATGGTGAATCAGCCACAAAAAACAGCTGCAAAAATCCATATAGTATGAGGCTGATGGAGAGAATTAAAACATATTTTTAAAGCTGAAAAACAATTATATGAAGTAACTAAAGGCATTTAAAGTCTATAATGTATGCTATGATGTAAAACACTTGTCTCTAGTTGGTATTAGAAGATATCTAGGAATGGTAATTAGGTCAAGACACAGACAGGGCACCACTAATTAGAGTGCAGTTTTATATAAATAATCAAATCTAAGGTATTTTTCTAATGCTTTATTGATGGAGCCATTTGATAGGATCTCAACAGAAGAATGGGAGGAACTCTTGATATAGTTTTTGCTACTGAAACTTGTGGACTTAATACAATAGGAACAATAAAAATTTCTGAAGAGCTCTTTTCATCATCATGGTTGACAGAGATCATGCCTCAGGCAATTGGCCTTGATGTCTTTTTCTTTGCCAGGTGTAAATGTATTTGTGGTATGCTTCTTGAAAGATCATCCTGAATACTAGTTCAAGTATTTTCTGCCTAACCTCCATTTATGAGGTCTCAGTATTAGCTAATGTGTGATATAAGGACACAGGGAGTCAGTGGGGTCAAGTAGTCATAGTGCGGCCTAAGAATACTGCTAGGCTTTCTGGGTGGTTTATTGATTTTCTTCTGAGAAAACCAGAGATGACTTGGTGGTCAAGCCAGTGTCTACATAAGAGCAGAGTCATGAGGACAGATTCAGGAACTTAGATGCAGAGAAAAGTCAGATCACTGTGGGCTGCCATACCTGTTCATGGCAACAACCTCAGCACTACTTGTTCTGTGAGGCAAGGCTAAGCGTCCAATGACAGTGATGTAATTTTACTTATCACTTGTGTGCTTAGTTCATTCACAAGTGCAGTACTAAGTGCCGTATAATAATGATTGTGCATAGACTGAGTTTCTGTCTTCTGGTTGCTTTCAACTACACCCAGAAAGTGTTTCCTATTGGCTCAAGTACTCCAGTCTCTTAATCAAATTACTGTAATTCCCACAAATTACACGACTCACTGCTTTTTTCTTTTTTTGGGTATTCACTCTTGTGTAGTTCTGTCTCACAATAATATATTTGTCTAATGAGATTGTTATCTTCTTGAAAGTATGGATCTTATAGTTATTTTGTACCTTTCATAGTGCACAAAATAACAATGACCTGACTTAGATCCACTGTTCCAAGCATGTAGCACATTCAGTAATTGTCCCAAATTTTCATTTTCAATGAAATATCATCATTAATGATTGTATGAAAATTAGTAATGATGGGTTTGGTACCTCCACTTTGTATCTCCAGCTTCTACCATGACCTCATCAAGTAATGTGTGAGGTGCACTTACGATATGCAGAGTTCTCACTTTTTTTTTTTTAAAGACAGGATCTCGCTCTGTCCCCCAGGCTAGAGTGCAGTGGCACCATCACAGCTCACTGCCACCTCGATCCTCCAGGCTCAAGTGATCCTCCTACCTCAGCCTCCTGAGTAGCTAGGACTACAGGCACATGCCACCGTGCCTGGCTAAATTTTAAAAAATTTTTGTAGAAACAAGGTCTTTCTATGTTGCCCAGGCTGGTCGCAAACTCCTGGCCTCAAGCCATTCTCCCGCCTCAGCATCCAAAAATGCTGGGATTACAGGCATGAGCCACCATTCCCAGCCAGAGTTCTCGCTTTAATGTCTGGTTAAATTGGCAAGATGGCCAGGTAGAGACTAGCTCTTTGTTCATCCCAACCCTTTCCATATCCACCATAGCTGATGCCTCCCTTTCAAAAACAACACGCAAGGGCCCTCACTGGAAAAGCAAAATGTGCTCAGAAAGGAGCAGCTATGGACAGATAAATTGTTCCAGTCTTCAGTGGTGATGAGAGAAGAATTCACTGTTTCTTTTTCTACCAGCCATTTTAGGTAGCTGGGAGTTGCTCTGTGGCCAGGATCCCAAACTCAAAAGATGGATGGAGATGTCACATTGCCAGTCAGTGAGATGCATAGAAATAATAGCTTAGATGTATGTGAAATATTTACAGGAAATAAAAGCTGAATGGTCCTGCTATGGAGAATATAGAAAGAAGTCTGGTTATTCTTCCTACAATGAGTTTGTTAATTCCTGTATACTGAAAGCCTACAAATGATACAGAAGGGAAATGCTGGGTAGAGGAGGGCATGGTCCCTTTAAATGATATGGAAGTGGGGAAGGGAAGTGCTTGGTGGAGGAGGGCAGGGTCCCTGGTTAGGGCTCCACCCCACTGGGCCTGTGCCCATGTACCTGAGGACAGGCATTTTTGTTTTCCTGCCCAAATGTGGCATTTCCCAAGACTTCCCCTGGTCTGCCATAGCCCCATCCTGTGCCTATAAAAACCCCGAGACCCTAGCAGGCATACACACAAGCTGCTGGACCTCAAGAGGAGAAGATTGGCGGAAGAAGACACAGGTGGCTGGATGTCCAGAGGTGCACATCAGCGGAGGAACACACAGGTGGCTGGACGTGGAGAGGGGCACATTAGTAGGCCCTGACAGGCTGGCAGGCCACCGACAGGCAGAACAACGTGGAATCTGGCTGGGGCAGTCGGAGGAGAGCCCAGGCTACTGAGTGGCCTGACTCCGGGGGAAAACCATCCCCCTTCTGGCTCCCCCAACTGCTGAGAGCTCCCTCCAGTCAATAAAACCTTGCACTCATTTTCCAAGCCCACGTGTGATCTGATTCTTCCAGTACACCAAGGCCAGAACCTCGGGATACCGAAAGCCTTCTGTCATTGTGATAAGGAAGGGAGTCTAATTGAGCTAACACAAGCCACCTATGGGCGGCTAAACTAAAAGAACATCTGTAACACATGCCCACTGGGGCTTCAGGAGCTGTAAACACTCACCCCTAGACACTGTCGTGGAGTCGGAGCCCCACAGCCTGCACATCTGTATGCTCCCCTAGAGGTTTGAGCAGCGGGGCACTGAAGAAGCGAGCCACAACGCCATCTCACATCCTGCAAGGAGGACTAGAAAACTTTTCCCATTTCACAAAGATGTATACAATTTATCATTTGCAACACTTGTTATACATGGAAGAGGTATAAATTCTGCCCATTTTAGCAGCAGCCTTATGCATTCCAGAGGTATGTGGTATATGTTCTATTAACACCGAGGAAGGAAAGAATAATTGCACCAGGAATGGCAGGGCATTTCAATTTGAAAAAGACTTCACAGAGAGGATGCTGTTGATCCAATTCTTGAAGGACAAATATTAGTTTAACAAGTGGACTAGAGGGCTAGATACATGTAGATACGAAATAAAATGATGTGTTACGAGAATTGAGTTATTTCATCATCTTGCAGCATGGGATGTTTGTAGAAAACTTCAGGAGATGAGGCTTGAAAGGTCAAGCAGTGATTAAACAGCTATGTCAAATTCAGGAATTTGGCGCCATTTAAATACTTCATGCAAGGGAATAATATGATCATATTTTAGATAGATCTCTGGCAGCAGTATAGAAAATATATTAAAATGAGAGTCTGAAGGTATAGATTTCAATTAAAGGTTTGTACAATTCCAAGTAATGTTGAAGGCCTGAATTAGAATTGTAACAATAGGTACGGAGAGGAGTGAATAAATCTGAGAGATAGTTAGGAAGTAAAATCTACCAAAATAGATGACCTACTCATTTTAGGGTAAAGCAAAGAGAAAAATTAAAAATGACACTGAAGTTGATAGCCTGAATAATAGGGCAGGTGGTAAAGTTTTCAAGTGAAACACAGAGCTCAAACAAGGGAGCAGTTTAGGAGAGATATGGAGAAATTTTATGAAATTTGTTCCTGGGCCTTTGAGATTTAGGTGTCAGTGGGCCATCCAGCAGAGCTGTGTTGTCTGTCATTGAAAATGTCAGTTCAATGTACTAGAGGGTACCCTGGGAGGTGGCAGAATAAGAAGAGATGTGGACTACACATGGATTCCTGAGGACTACTAAAATTTAAGGGCATGGTGGAAGAGAAAATGTTATTATCATATTCTAAGAAGAAAAGAAATATATGATTCCTTCTTATTTCTCCTGATCTGCTGAAGTACGGGTGTTTCAGTGAGAGATAGTCTGGTTAGTGACCAGATAGTCCCTACATTTAGACAAAATTTAGCTATTTCTAGTACACACAATCTTCAATTAAGGCTTTTAATAGAAATTTCAAACTAAAAGAGAATTGAGCTTAATTTGAGCAAGCCATGGATAAATTATAAACATATTTACTAAGTAGATGTGAGTTTATCATTTCAACTCTTTATTTTCATAAAGGTGTTTTCTTAAATCACTATGGGAATTAGTTCTGTGGGTGAGGTTGACTACATAAGGATCATAGATCTATTCTTGTCTCATCTTCTGTCTTCATTTCCCTTTTCTTTATATACACATTTCTGTGTGTGTGTGTTTCAGTGGCTTTTAAATTTCCCTTGCAATTTAATCAATATCACTTTCTGTTATTAGCATTATTATATAATGACATATTATCTTATTAGCCTTTATGTAAAGCTTAATAAAGACAATTTTATTTTTTTCAACACTCTTGCACTGCCGTATATTTTTCTATCTCTTCTTTTTTAAAGAGATGGAGTTTTACTCTATCACCCAGGCTGGAGTGCAATGACGTGACCATAGCTCACTGCAGCCTTGAATTCCTGGGCTCAAGCAATCCTCCTGCCTCAGCCTCCCACATAGCTAGGATTACAGGCATGTACCAATATGCCTGGCTATTAAAAAATAAATCTAAATACTGGGTCTCGCTTTGTTGCCCATGCTGGAGTGCAGTGGTGGATCATAGCTCACTGTAACCTTGAATTCCTGGACTGAAGTGATCCTCCTGCTTCAACCTCCCAGGTAGCTGGAACTACAGGCACATACCACTATGCCTGGCCACTGACATATATTTCTGTGTATCTTTCCCTTTCAGCAGAACACAGTTATTGCTCTGCAGTAAAATCATGTTGTTTTTCATTTACCACAACCATCTGCCACTTTTCTTTGGTCTACACTTGCTAGTACCTCATCTCCTGTGCTGTTCCTGCTATACTCTGAGCTTACCCTATCCCTCTGTGCTTGGTCACCCTCATTTTGTGCTGCCAGTATCCTCACGAAATGCTACAGAGCAGTTCTACTCTCTGCGGTTTTTTCTTGAATAATTCTGCACTGCTTATTTGGACAAAGAACTGGCTTCTTTGTAGATAACCATAGAATGACCACTTTTCAAGTGAAAAATTCACATGCATACATATAAACATGCTACACATATGCACACACACATACATACACATAACAATTTATGGCACTTTATGATATCCTCACATACCCAACGTGCAAAAATATCATCTTGGTGCTTTTTAAGAGTTTATCTTTATACTGCCTCTTGTGAGTTGAATGAGCATTTTTTGGTGTGATACTGAGTATAAAAATAAATAAGGAAGGTTTAAAATTAGGAATATAAATCAAAATGCTTATAATTTTCAATATGTAATTAGAATAAATCTCACTTCATTAATCAGAATCATCAATGACATCTCATGCACTTAGAAATATGAACAAAGGAATGCTTTTAGAACAGGTACCAGAAGTCTTAAAATTAGAGCTATGAAAGAAGCATAAAAATGTAAATTTCCCTTTACTTTGTCAACATAGTGTGTCTTCTTTGCAAGAATTAATCATTCCTGTAATCCTATTTCAGTGCCCTGATATCCATGTGTCATTGAGTCTGAAAGGCTTTCATTTAGAAGGGCATATAAATTTTGGTACATAATGTTATATGGTATAAAGTTGTTACCAACTATATCTTTATATAATGCCAAACAAGTGGTCACTTTATTGGGAAATCAATCAATATGACTCTTTGAGTGTAGGTAAAAAATATCATTAATAACAATGGCTTACATATTTTATATGTAGCACTTCATTCTCTTTAAAGCCTTTTCAAAAATAATCTCTGATTTGCTTCTAATCAATCCTATGAAGGGGCAGGATAGGTAATACTATTATCAATTCAAAGATAAGAAAACAATTATGTCCATAGGTAACTTAACTGGATTTACACAAAGTTCAAAGTCAATGTTTTCTGACTTGTAACCTGATGATTATTATTTCAGATCCAGAGCCATAAACTGGGGCATGGAAGAATTCTGTTATATCACATTATTTTATAAATGAATTACATAAGGATATAGGTAAAGCTGAGAATTTTAACTAATAAAATTGCAGAATTGGAACCAAAGAAGGGTAAAATCTAAGAGGTTGATGTTTTCCCGGGAAAAAATGAAAGGTTTTATACTTGAAACCATAAAACGAAACAATATACAACTTTACCAGTATAGAACTTAAAAAAAAGCCAAAAAACCTTCCAATCATATTTACTAGTTTTAATGAAATGTAAGTTCCGTATGAGTCAAAAGAGGAATTAATGTGATCGGAAAACCTAATGTGATACAAAACTTCATCTGCAGAATTAAAAAACCTTAGGATGAGCAATATTATGTATTCATTCCATTCTGTCCTGATGGACACATATGGAAAACTCTTCATTTCTAGGCTCTATTCTTGAAGAGAAGGCACACCAGTATGTGTTCAGACAAAAAGCAAGGAGGATCTAAAATATTCATAGTATATTAAAGTAGTTGAAGTAACTAGAAAGTTCTTTACATATTTACAGATATGTAATGTGCAAGATGAATTAAAATGGTTCTGTTTTGCCCAGAGAATATAAATAGGTTCAATGATGGAAAAACTAAAATAGAAACGGATTTCAGCTCAACAAAGGAAACATTTTCAAAAAATTAAAGGTCTTCACAAATAGAATGAGTTGCATGTTGGAGTGTTCATGCCGAGGTACAGTGACCACTAGGCAGGAATACACAAGGGATATCAAACTATTTATTTGTGGGTTGGACTGGGAAAACTGATTTCTTCAATCTACAAAACATCATTCTCTCAGAGAATCTAAAGTATCTTACTTATTATTCTTAGAATGTGTCAAATTTTGTATCAAAGCAATCTCCAGTATAGGGCCCATTCATAAAAATCTATGCCAGCTCCTTGAGGTCAGCTCCCTGAGGTCATTAAATACTTTGTTAGATACCCTATGGCATGGGAAATTGTAAGTAATCCACAAATAATTTGGAGGTCTGTTATTCTAAGTGGAAAACAGTGATAGTGGAGCACCATTTCGCCCCACAAATCTAAATGAGACATCTCTCCCTGAGTTGAGTGTAATCAGCCCACTTTCTATCCTGACTAGGAGGCTGGGAGAATCGAGCTAATGGAGTAAATTTTTGTGTTGTGTTGTTTTTTACTTTTAATACATTTTTCTCTAGGGCCATGATTCATCATCAACACAAAAAACCAACAAGGAAGTCTTTGAATAGAGCTAAGTAATGATATTTAATTTTCACTTGCTCCGTTAAATATTCATATACTTTAAAACAATGGCTGAGAAAATAAAGATTTTTTTATTTTAATGATTTTTTAAAAACCCATTGGAGCAAGCCACTATATGACTATTATAGAGCACTTCCAGTGCTTTCAAAATATATTTCATTGTAATAATCTATTTACTTCTATTAGATTTAAATCAAGGTCGGTGAATCTTCTACAGATTGCTTCATGATTAAAGATCCTATGAGGATCAGTAATGATAATCTTTTACACTTCATTTATGTTCATTCAAAGAAATGATCTCATGCCAGAAAACGAAGTCATTGGCTCTGTGTTTTGGGCTAAAAAATGAATAGCCTGATTATACCATTAGTAGTATATATGCAATTTACATCAGACTGAATATTTCATGTAACATTTCAAAGCATTGAATATAGCCTTTAAAAATTGTTTATTTGATTTTACTAGCTTTTAATACTCATTTCCTTCATCAATATTTACTTGTATGTAAAATAATACATAAGATATTAGGAAACTTCTAAAACCCAGAGAAATACTGACAATTTCCATGCATACAAATTAGCTTCACAAAATTGGTTGAATTCCAAAAATCAAGTTAAAGCAACTTATTAATGTCAACCCACTAGTTATAAAAATTCTCTCTACCACTATACATATTCCTAAACATAGAAATGCAAATTTATGTAAATGTATATGCATATGCATGTGATATATATAACACAAAAATCCCTAAATCTGTTTCTTCAATTTTGTTGCTCATACTGCATGTAGACCATTGTGTGTCAGCTGTAGCTCAACTCCATGTACCATCTCATTCTGAAATCTAAGCTAAGGGAGATTACCCTGTGAGATATGCTGTTCTTGTAGCAGATTGCAAATGGTACAAGTCTTGATGCTTTTTTGTTCTAAAATGAACAGGTATGATTTTTGCAAACTGACAATGTAAACAAAGGGTTTTTTTTTTTTAAGAGAAGGCTAATTTTCTTTTTCCCAAGAGAACATGGCTAGAATGGAATGATGTAAAGATATTGTAATCTTAATGTGTGACAATCCAGGATTCAAATACAAGTAGGATTTGGAATGGAATCATTTATAAAAGGTGACAAAAGTGCCAAAATTAATCAGGGACCCTTTGGATATTCCAGTGAATATGGCACACTGACTAGCCCCCAGGATTGTTCCAGTCTCTTTTGCAAGAGTGTCAATATAGTGAGGAGAGGTTTCCATAGCTTGTCCAATTCTCCCATGTTAAAAAAAAACTAATAATATCTTGACTTTATATGGTATTTTTAGTAGACTTTTCATTCAAGTGTAATGTACAAGAAGAAAATTATACAAATTCTAAGTGTACAGCTTGTTGGATTATCACCAAATGAGCACACTTGTATAACCAATACCTTGTATAACCAATACTCAGATGAAAAAATAGAACATCACGAACATCTCAAAAGCTCCTTTTCTGCCACCTATCAAGAATTAACCATTTTCTTCTTCCCCAGAGGAAACTACAATCCACACTTTGCTGTCATAAATTAATTTTGTCTGTTTTTGAACCGTATAGAAATGAAATCATATAGTAAGTATTAACTTTCATCTGGATTCCATAGCTCAACATTATGGTTGTGAGATTCACTCATAGTTGTTTCATGTAGTAGTGATTTGTCTATTTTCATTGCTGTATAGTATTCTATTATATGGATATGCCACAATTTATCTGTTCTGCTATTGACAGATAGTGAATTGTTTCCAAATTTGGCTATCATGAATAACGCTATTATGATCATAGGCAAATATACCATGAAGATGATGAAGATTAAGCTTCAGGTCTCCTCACTTGTACACACCTCCTTAAGGGCTAGTGTTGCTACAATGCGTATGATATTCTGTATAGAAAGGAGAAGTCATAACCTATGAAATATGTCTATGAGAGCAGTTCTTTTTTGTGGCTACATAGGTGTATATATTTAGAGGGTACATGAACTATTTTAATACAGAAATGCAATGTGTAATAGTCATATTATGGGAAATGGTCTATCCAGCACTGCAAACATTTTATGCTTTATGTTACAAACAATTAAATTATACTCTTCTGGTTATTTAAAAATGTACAATCAAATTATTATTGACTGTAGTCACCCTGTTGTGGTATCAAATACTAAGTCTTATTCATTCCTTCTTTATTTTATTTTATTTTTATTTAAGTTCTGGGATACATGTGCAGAATGTGCAGGTTTGTTACATAGGTATATGTGTGCCATGGTGGTTTGCTGCACCTATTGTCCCATCCTCTAGGTTCCCTCCCCACGCACCTCACTCGTGAACAGGGCCTGGTGTGTGTTGTTCCCCTCCCTGTGTCCATGTGTTCTCACTGTTCAACTCCTACTTATGACTGACAACATGCGGTGTTTGGTTTTCTGTTCCTGTGTTAGTTTGCTGAGAATGATGGCTTCCAGCTTCATCCATGTCCCTGGAAAGGACATGATCTCATTCCTTTTTATGGTTGCATAGTATTCCATGTGTATATGTGCCACATTTTCTTTATCCAGTCTATCATTGATGGGCATTTGGGTTGGTTCCATGTTTTGCTATTGTAAGTAGTGCTGCAGTAAACATACGTGTGCATGTGTCTTTATAGTAGAATAATTTATATTCCTTTGGGTAAATACCCAATAAAGGGTCAAATGGTATTGCTGGTTCTAGATTCTTGAGGGGTTACCACACTGTCTTCCACAATGGTTGAAATAACTTACAATCCCACCAACAGTGTAAAAGCATTTCTATTTCTCCACAGCCTCCCTAGCATCTGTTGTTTCTTGACTTTTTAATAATCGCTATTCTGACTGTCATGCCATGGTATCTTATTGTGGTTTTGATTTGCATTTCTCTAACGATCAGTGATGTTGAGCTTTTTTTCATATGTTTGTTGTCCACATAAATGTCTTCTTTTGAGAAGTTTCTGTTCATATCCTTTGCCCACTTTTTAATGGAGTTGTTTGTTTTTTTCTTGTAAATTTGGTTAAGTCCCTTGTAGATTCCAAATATTATACCTTTGTCAGATGGGTAGATTGCAAAAATTTTCTCCCATTCTATAGGTTGTCTGTTCACTCTGATGATAGTTTCTTTTGCTGTGCAGAAGCTCTTTAGTTTAATTAGATCCCATTTGTCAATTTTGGCTTTTGTTGCAATTGCTTTTGGCGTTTTCGTCATGAAGTCTTTGCCCATGACTATGTCCTGAATGGTATTGCCTAGGTTTTCTTCTAGGGTTTTTATGGTTTTGGGTTTTACATTTAAGTCTTTAATTCATCTTGAGTTAATTTTTGTATAAGGTGTAAGGAAGGGGTCCAGTTTCCGTTTTCTGCATATGGCTAGCCAGTTTTCCCAGCACCATTTATTGAAAAGGAAACCCTATCCCTATCGCTTGTTTTTGTCAGGTTTGTCAGAGATCAGATGGTTGTAGATGTGTGGTGTTATTTATGAGGTCTCTGTTCTGTTTCATTGGTCTATATGTCTGTTTTGGTACCAGTACCATGCTGTTTTGGTTACTGTAGCTTTGCAGTATAGTCTGAAGTCAGGTAGTGTGATGCCTCCAGCTTTGTTCTTTTTGCTTAGGATTGTCTTAGCTATATATGTTCTTCTTTGGTTTCATATGAAATTTAAAGTAGTTTTTTCTAATTCTGTGAAGAATGTCAATGGTAGTTTGATGGGGATAGCATTGAATCTATAAATTACTTTGGGCAGTGTGGCCATTTTTACAATATTGATTCTTCCTATCCATGAGCATGGAATGTTTTTCCATTTGTTTGTCTCTTATTTCCTTTAGCAGAGGTTTGTAGTTCTCTTTGAAGAGGTCCTTCACATTCCTTGTTAGCTGTATTCCTAGGTATTTTATTCTCTTTGTAGCAATTTTGAATGGGAGTTCATTCATGATTTGGCTCTCTGCTTGTCTATTGTTGGTGTATAGGAATGCTTGTGATTTTTGCACATTGATTTTGTATCCTGAGATTTTGCTGAAGTTGCTTATCAGCTTAATGAGTTTGTGGGCTGAGATGGTGGGGTTTTCTAAATATATAATCATATCATCTGCAAACAGAGACAATTTGACTTCCTCTCTTCCTATTTAAAGTCCCTTTATTTCTTTTTCTTGCCTGATTGCCATGGGCAGAACTTTTAATACTATGTTGAATAGGAGTGGTGAGAGAGGGCATCCTTGCCTTGTGCCAGTTTTCAAAGGGAATGCTTCCTGCTTTTCCCCATTCAATATGATATTGGCTGTGGGTTTGTTATAAATAGCTCTTATAGAACTCTCCACCCCAAATCAACAGAATATACATTCTTCTCAGTGCCACATGGTACTTATTCTAAAATTGACCACATAATTGGAAGTAAAACACTCCTCAGCAAATGCAAAAGAACTGAAATCATAACAACAGTCTCACAGACCACAGTGCAATCAAATTAGAACTCAAGATTAAGAAACTCAGTCAAAAACCACAAAATTACATGGAAATTGAACAAACTGCTCCTGAATGACTCTTGGGTAAATAATGAAATTAAGGCAGAAATCAAGAAGTTCTTTGAAACCAATGAGAACAAAGAGAAAATGTACCACAATCTCTAGGACACAGCTAAAGCAGTGTTAAGAGGCAAATTTATAGCACTAAATGCCCACTACATATAAAGCTAGAAAGATCTCAGATTGACACCCTAATATCACAATTAAAAGAGCTAGAGAAGCAAGTGGAACAATTTCAAAAGCTAGCAGAAGACAAGAAATAACTAAGATCAGAGCAGAATTGAAGGAGATAGAGACAGAAAAAACCCTAATAGATATAAATATATCAATTAGGTCCATTTGGTCTATAGTGAAGATTAAGTCTGATCTTTGTTGATTTTCTGTGTGGAAGATGTGTCCAATGCTGAAAGTGGGGTGTTGAAATCTCCAGCTATTACTGTATTGGGGTCTATCTCTCACTGTAGCTCTAATAATATTTGCTTCATATATCTTTGTGCTCTAGTATTGGGTGCATATATATTTACAGTTGCTATATCCTCTTGCTGATGTGACCCTTTTATCATTATATAATGACCTTCTTTGTCTATTCTTACAGTTTTTGTCTTGAAATCTATTTTGTCTGATACAGAAATAGCTATTCTCACTCTTTTTTTTTTTTTTTTTTTTGGATTTCATTGGCATGGAATATCTTTTCCCATCCCTATATTTACAGTCTATGTGTATCTTTATAAGTAAAATGTTTTCCTTGCGGGCAACAGGTCATTGGGGCTTGCTTTTTTATCCATTCAGCCATCTACATCTTTTTATTGGAGAGTTTACTCCATTTATATGTACTGTTATTAGAAAAAGTAAGAACATACTTATGCCATTTTGTATTTGTTTTTCTTGTTGTTTTTTGGTCTTCTCTTCCCTCTTTCCTTATTTCTTGTCTTCCTTTTAGTAAAGGTGATTTTTATCTGGTGGTATTGTTAATTTCTTGCTTTTTATTTTTGTGTATTTGTTGTATGATTTTTGATTTGAGGTTACCATGAGGCTTACAAATACAATTTTATAGACCATCATTTTAAACTGATGACAACTTAACAATCAATGTATAACCACACAAACAAACAAGCAAAAAGAAAACTTATAAAACACTTGATATTTGTCACCCTGCTTTTTAACTTTTTATTGTTTCTCCTTATGTCTTACTATACTGTTTATGTCTTGAAAAGTTGTTGTAGTTTTTATTTTTGATGGCTTCATTGTTTGGTCTTACTACTTAAGATAAAAGTAGTTTATACACCATGCTTACAAAGTGATAATATTCTGTGTTTTTCTCTTTGCTATTACCAGTGAATTTTCTACCTTAATTTCTTATTGATCATTACGCTCATTAACATGTTTTTCTTTCAGATTGAAGAACTCCCTTTAGCATTTCTTGTAGGACAGGCCTTATGTTCATAAAATCCCTCAGATTTTGTTTGTCTGGGAAGACATGTTTCTCCTTCATGCTTGAAGGACATTTTTTCTGGATGTACTATTCTGGCATGAAAGTTTTTTTCCTTCAGCATTTGAAATACACCATGCCACTCTCTCCTGGCCCATAAGATTTCCACTGAAAAGTCGGCTGCTGGATGTATTGGAACTCTATTGTATGTTACGTGTTTCTTTTCTCTTGCTACTTTTAAGATCCTTTTCTTATCTGTGACCTCTGAGAGTTTGATTATTAAATGCCTTGAAGTAGTCTTCTTTGGGTTAAATCTGTTTGGTGTTCTATAACCTTCTTGTACTTGAATATTGATATCTTTCTCTAGGTTTGGGAAGTCCTCTGTTATTACTCCTTTGAATAAACTTTCTAATTCTCTTTCTCTCTACCTCCTCTTTAAGGCCAAAAATTCTTAAATTGCCCTTTTGAGGCTATTTCTAGATCTTGTAGGTGTGCTCCCTTATTTTTTCTCCTCTGACTGTGCAATTTCAAAAAGCTTTTTTTTCAAGCTCACTAATTCTTTCTTTTGCTTAATCAATTCTGCTGTTAATGGACTATGATGCATTCTTCAATATGCCAATTGCATTTTTCAGCTCCTGAATTTCTGCTTCTTTTCAATTATTTCATTCTCTTTGTTAAATTTATCTGAGGGAATTCTGAATACATTCCCTGTGTTCTCTTGAATTTCTTTTAGTTTCCTCAACACAGCTATTTTGAATTCTCTGTCTGAAAGGTCACATATCTCTCTTTCTCCAGGATTGGTCCCTGGTGCCTTATTTAGTTCATTTGGTAGTGTCATGTTTTCCTGAATGATTTTGATACTTTTAGATGTGTTTCAGTGTCTGGATATTGAAGAGTTAGATGTTTATTTCAGTCTTTGCAGTGTGGGCTTATTTGTGCCTACCCTTTCTGGGATGGCTTTCCAGGTATTCAAAGTTTGAATTTGGGCCCCAAACTCAATAAGACTTTGGTTATTGCAGGCTCATAGAGGTACTTCCATGTTGGTCTTGAATAAGATCTAGAAGAATTCTCTGGATTACCAGGAAGAGACTCTTGTTCTTCTCCCTTATCATCTCCCAAACAAATGGAGTCTCTGTCTCTGTCCCTAGCCATCTGCAACTGGAGATTCAGGGACACAAACACCTCTGTGACCACATAAACACCACTGAAACTGCCCCGATTTAGACCTGAAGCCAACACAGCACTGGGTCTTGTCCAAGGCCCATTGTAACTATTACCTGACTACCACTTATGTTCACTCATGGTCCTAGTGCTTTACAGTCAGCAGGTGGTGAAGCCAGCCAGTTTGAGTCCCTCTGTTAGAGGTGGTGACTTTTCCCAGGCCCTGGGTGTGTCCAGAGATGCTGTCTGGGAGCCAGGGATTGGAGTAAAAAAAACTATTAGAAATTTACTCTATGTCCTATTCTACTGTGACTAAGGTGGCACTCAAACAACAAGACAAAGTCCTTCCCGCACTTCCCTCCCCTTTCTGCCAGGACACAGCTGATGTTCTCTTAAGGCCGAAGGGCTCTTTAATCAGTTTTTGCTGCCAGGCCTGAGACTCACCTTTCAGGGCAGGGCCCCCACCCTCTGGCCTAAGGCAGTTTCATAGATTCTGACCAAGAGTGTAGACATAGACTCAGGGACTCCAAGAATCTGCTTGGTGCTCTACTCCATTGTTGCCAAGCTGGTACCTAAAGTGCAAGACAAAGTCCCCCTTACTTTTCCCCCTGATTTTCTCAAACAGAAGTAGTCTTTCACCATAGCCAACATAGGTGGGAATATGCTGGGTCACACCTGAAGCCAGCACATTTCAGAGCCCAAGGCCCATGGCATATTACCTGCATATAACTGTTGGTTATTTGGCACCCAAGAATTCCTTAGTCAGCACTGATACATGCTGCCAGGACTGGGTATTTCCCTTTTGGGCAGCAGGTTCCCTTTTGGCCAAGGCTGTGTCTAGAAATGTCATCCATGAGCTATGGCCTCAAGTGGGAGCCTGATTACTCCACCCAGTGCCCTATCCTACTGTGGCTGAGCTGGTAAGACAAAGTCCTCTTTACACTTTGCTCTCCTCTCTTCAAGCAGGTTAAGAGTCACTTTTGTTGCTTCCAGTTGCACTGACTAGGGTTGGAGCAGAGGTGATGCAAGCACTCCCTTAGCCATACCAACTGATGTCTCCCTAGATCATGTGCCACCCTAGTCCACTGGTACTAAGCCCAGCCCAGCACTAGGTATTGCTTAGGAATTGCAATCCCTGTGCCTTAGACTGCCCTTCAAGTTTACCTAGTACTGTGGAGCACTTTGGCTTGTCATGGCAAAGCCTGCTGACAAACTCAAGCTCTAAACACTGGGATAGGCAATTCCCCTCTGGCTAGCTCTGGTGCAGATTCTCTTCCATGTACGGGTACTGGCTGAGCCCAGCACAGCTTTTCTGTCTACTATAACAGGACAGCACTGAGTTCATTGTAAAGTCTTACAATTGCTGTGCTCTCCATCTCCCAAGCATACCGATTTCTCTGGTGCTCTTCTCCCAAGCATACAGATTTTTATGCACCATGTGGGTGCTGCCAGGGGAAGGGGAGAGGTGGCACAATCACTCCCTTAGCCACCACAGCTGATGTCTTAGTAGGTCACATGCCCCACTAGTCCACTGGATCTGAGCCCAACTCAGGATTAGGACTTGCCTAAGACTTGCTGTCCATGTGGCCTAGACTGTCCATCTAGTTCACTTAGTGCCCCATAGCACTTTAGCCCTTGGCGATGAGGCTTGCTGAAACTCAGACTCTGACTACCAGGATAGGCAATTCCCCTCTGGCTAGGGCCAGTCAAAGTGCCTCAGTGGGCAGGCATTATCTGGGTACAGTCCAATTCTGCTCTCTGCTGTGATAGGGCAGCACTGAGTTCAATGTAAAGTCTCCCTGTCAGTGCACTTTCCCTCCTGTGCATGGTGTACAGATTCTCTGCACCATGCAGCCACTTCAGGGGAATGGGGGAGGTGAGGTATCAGCAATTTAAGACTGTCTCTCCTACCCACTTAGAGTGCCACTTTCAGTGATATAAAGTTAACACTAGGTCGTGTGATTGCTCACCTAATTTTTTGGTTCTTGTGATGGTGCTTTTTGTGTGTAGTTAGTTGTTAACTTTTGCTGTTCCAACAGGGGGACTGAATAGGGTAGGCTTCTATTCAGCCATCTTGTTCTGCCCCAGGAATACATTTCTGGTCAAATGCCTAAAGAAGTTGCAGAAGAAACAGGCCTGAATCCCAAAGCCTCCTGCAATTTTGGTGATTTTAAAAAATTATCCTAGTTACATACTTATTATTTCTGTATCTAATCTTACATTCAAAATTTTGTGTTTTTTTTTTTAATCAGAGTCCACCACCCCCAAGTTATATAACCTTCCCATTCCATGTAGCATGTATTCACCTCTGAGTATGGGAATTTTTGTACATGGTTTTAATATATATTCTGTAGAGAATACACTTTAGGAGCATTGTAGCTGGATTATATGGTATACTCATTTCAGCTTTAGTAGATACTACCAAATAGAGTTCCAAATTGGTCGTACTCCTTTACAACCTCATGGGTCATGTTTGAGAGTTCTTTTTGCTTACATGCTGGCCAATAATTGGTATTTTGGTGAGCTTTAGTGTTATCACATCATGGTTTTAATTTCTATTTCCTTGATAAAGGAGTTGAGTTGAGCACTTTTTCAATATGCTTATTACCCATTTGGATATAATCCTTTGTGAAATGTCTGTGCATGTCTTTTATCCATTTTCATTGAGTTGTTTGTCTTTTTCTTATTGATTATTAGGAGTTCTTATATACTCTGGTTACAAGAACTGAATTGGTTACAAACATATTTTTCTACTTGGTGCCTTGCCTTTTTACATTTTTAATGGGCCCTTTATTTCATACAATTTTCTAATTTTAATGTAGTCTGATTTATCAATCTTTTCTTAATGTACTTCTTGTACATTAATTACTCTAAATAGTACTTCTTGTATTCCATTGAAGAAATCTTTGTCTGCCTTAAAGTTATGAGGATATTCTCTTATGTAATCATCAATGAGTTTTATTGCTTTATCCTTAACATTTAGATCTATAATCGAGATAAATTATTTTTTGTAAATGGCATAAATCAGAGGTCAAATTACAAATTTTTTTCCTAGGGGCCTTGCATATTTCTTGCTAGATTTATCACAAGGTATTTAATATTTTAAGTGACAATTTTATATTTTATAAATTGTGTTTTCTAAATTTTTACAGAATACAATTCATTTCTGCATACTGACTTTAATAGCAGCAACCTTGCTATATTCATTATTTATTCTAGCAATATTTCTGAGATGTCTTTTAATTTTCTACATTAAAAATAATTTGTATATGAATAAAAATACATTTCTTTTTTCCTAATATTTATAATTTTATTTATTTTTATATTGTTATAGTGACTAGGAACTCCAGTACAATGGTGCACAAAAGAGATAAGACGAGAATCATTGTCTGGCTTCCAATCTCAGGATTAAATCTTTTAGTGTTTTACCATTTTCATGACTCAAATGTCATCTTGTCTAAGATTACTTCCCTAATCACACTGGTCACTCTCCCACGCCTCTCTGTTAAATTTTTATTCATAGAAACTTTCATTCTCTGAAATTATATTCTAAATTGTTTATGTGTTTATTATCAGGTCTCACTAGAAAGTAAGCTCTGTTAAGATAGTGCATTTAGTGATATAGCCCTAGAATTTTTAATAGTGAGTGGAAAAAAGTAGATGCTAAATAAACATTTATTGAATAAATGAATGTACAGTCCAATTCTGTACATTCATCGTACAGAATGTACAGAATTGGACTGTACATTGTAATGCTCATGACAGTCCTGTGAGGTAAAAAAGAGTAGGACAGGTGATGACCTAATTATCCCCATCTCCTCATTTTATGAAGAAAGAAACTGAGGTTGGAATGAATAAGTGATTTGCTCAAAGTCAAGCAGCTTGTAAGTGACGGAGTTTTAGCAGAATCAAACCCTTTGGATTTTCTTTGTTTGCTCGTTTGTTTTTCTAATCCCTGTAGCAGCTGAACACAAAAGGAAGGCTTAGCCTTGCAGATAGGAGGAAAGGAGCAGCAAGATGAAGACAGTGATTTTAAAGGAGGCAAATTGAGGGAATTATTACTTATTTATTTATTTTTGTTTATTTATTTATTTTTTGAGGTGGAGTCTCTGTCGCCCAGGGCTGGAGTGCAGTGGTGCGATCTCGGCTCGGCTCACTGCAAGCTCCAAAATTGAGGGAATTCTTATCAAGGAGGAAGAGAATTTATGTGAGGAGCCTAGAAAGCAAAATAATGGGAATAATTTTGAAAGAATGAGAAAGGTGAACAATAGGACAAGGCACAGCTATAAAAACTAAAGCTGTTGAGGAGTTGTAATTTGAGTAGCTTAAATATATGTTGTTAAAAATGGAGAAATGACTACTCAATGAGGGAGGAACCATCTATGGTTTGGAGCATAGAGAGAATGATGGTCTTGCCATCGGAAGACAATTTCATGCATTTTAGCATGAAGTGAGGTGGTAGTAGTTCTAGAAACAGAAGTATAAGTAAAGAAATAATGCTAAAGATGAATAAGAAATTGGTGACTGATAGAATATCCAGAGGGAATGAATACCGGTTCTGAGCCTGGGGGTCCAAGAATCATAAATTGTTTATTCTTTGAAGGCAAGGAAGTTAAAAGTAGCTACTGAAAGGTGAAAGTTCCCTTATCCCCCTCACAGGACGTGTGACACAGGTGTGCCCCACTGCTCTAGTGGGAGCATGCAGATGGGCAGGTGCAGAGGTTGTGGGAAGTGCTTTTGGGCTCTAGCCCCAAGGCAGAGTCTAGGGGTGGGTGTCTACAGCTCCCGAAGCCCAAGTGGGCGTGTATTACAGTGTGCTGTTTCAGCTTTGTCATCTGCAGGCGGCTTGTGTTAATCAGCTCAATAGACCCTCTGCCTTATCGCAAGGGCAGCGGGCCAGTGTGACAGCCTGAGTTCTTGCCCAGTGTACTGGAATAATCAGATCGCACGAGGGCTGGAAGGAATGCAAGGTTTTATTGAGTGGTGAAGGTGGTTCTCAGTGAGATGGATGGGGGGCCAGAAGTGGGGGGTGGAAGGTGGTCTTTCCCTTTTCCTTTTCTGACCAGTCCTGCCTGAACTCCCCTCGGTTTCCAGACATCTTTCCTCATCTCTTTCTCTGCCATGCTGCCCCGCCGCTCTCTGCTACTCGCTGCAACTCTGTTCCTCTGCTCCTCTCATTGTGATGTTCAGCTGCTTGTGTCTGTGCCTGCTAAAGTCTTGGGTTTATATGGGGGCAGGATGGAAGGGCGTGGTGGGGCCAAAAGGCAACTTTTGGGTGCGAAAACAGAAATGCCTGTCTTCATTTAGGGCCACGGGTACAGGCCCAAGGGTGGAGACTTCACCAGGGACCCCGCACTTCTCTAACCAACACTTCCCTGCCCGCCTCCTGTATCACTACTATATAAATGCATTTATTATTTATTATACTTCTGGGAAAAGTAGTGTGCTGAATACTAAATGCAATCATTAGATAATATTCTTAATTTTATACCACATAAAATACAAACACTAAGTTGAAGAGCATTAGGTATGGATATACTTTTTGGACCATTACATCAGAATAATTTTGTGTCTTCACTTTGTTTAGAAGGAAGTGTTAGAGTTATAAATTTCAGTTCCGTTAACTCAACTTGATTCCTGACACAGTGAATTTCAAACAGAAAACAAGATAGCAATTCATACATCATATTCACTAATGAACTTAAATTCACCTAATTAAAAGATAACAAAATATTTGACAATGGGAAATTATCTTTCAAGCAAAGACTTTGATTATCTCTTTTTCTGAAAATAGTTAATAGCAAACAGACTCATACACACACAAATCCTGATAAAATTATATATATATTTTAGAACAATATAATAAGCTTCCAGAAAAAAATCATTTGCATTTATATAATTTAAAATGACTTATTGTGAATTTTTTTCCAAAGTAGTCTGCAAATGGAAGAGTTTATATGTTTGATATTGATATTAATAAATAAAAGAAAGGTGACTACACATTGTGTCTTGGGCTTATTTATACTTAACTGCTGGGTCTTATTATTTATAGCATTCATTACAGGAAGGAGAAGTGACATATTCTGGGAAAAGGAGGATAGTAACCAATATATTCAGTCAAAAATGCTTAAACCTATCAGGGATGTCGCATTTTGTTACAAACCAAAATGCAGGCAGGATTTTAAAATTTGCAAAAGACTGACCTAGAGCTAACAAGTGAGCAGCTATAGAAGAAAAGTGAGTCTTTTCTATATGCCAAGGCAGCTGAGCAAACTAAGTGGGAGGTGACTGTATATTTGGCACTAGATAGAACAAATAACTGGCTGAAAGCATTATTGGCATATGATATGGGAGTTGCAGATAAAATCTGAAGCAAGTGAGGTGTCTCTTCTTTCATCTTTATATTAGGGTCTAATCAACATACAGAATTGGAAATTTCACAAAATGGACACATCTGAGTAATCAGTACCCAGATCAACACATTGAACATTACCGGGACTACAGAAGCCCTCTTCATAATCCCTTCTCATCACAACCTCCATGCCCCTACAAATGGTAAACTCCACACTGACTTTTAAAAGCTCACACATTTTTGTACTTTATTTACATGGAATTATATATCATGAACTATTTTTCTAGATTCTTTCACTCAAATTGTTGTATATGAGATTCATACAGATTGTTATATGTAGTTGTAGATAGTTTATTCTCATTGCTGTATAGCATTCATCATCTCTCCATACAGCATTCATTGCATGACTATACAACATTCTACTGCTGATGGACGTTTAGGTTGTTTACAGTCTGGGGTTATTATGAGTAGAGTAACTATGAACATTTTAGTACATGTCTTTTGGTGAATATATGTGCTTTTTCTGTTGGGTGTATACCAGGAAGTGTAATTGCTACTTGGAGTATGCAGCATCATTCAACTTTAGGAATTACTGACAAAGAGTTTCCTAAAGTGGTTTTATCAGTTTTACTATTGCCAGCAGTATGAGCATCCTAAATACTTGGTGTTAACATTCTCTGTCAAGTTTATGATTCTGGTGAATGCCTATTGATAGTTCATTGACTACCATAGTTGAGTTTCTTGTTATATGTTTATCATTAACTTGCATGTCTTCTTGGGTAAATTGCCTATTCTAGTCTTTCTTCTCTTGGCTTGTCTGTCTTTTTTGTAATTGATATCTTACAAATATTATGGATGGTAGTCTTTTATTGGATATAAGTATTGTAAATATTTACCCTACTCTAAGAATTCTTTTTTACTCCTTTAAGGGTGATTTTTTAAATAGGACACCACACATATACAACCATTTAATCTTTGACAAACCTGACAAAAACAAGCAATGAGAAAAGGATTCCCTATTTAATAAATGGTGCTGGGAAAACTGGCTAGCCATATGCAGAAAACTGAAACTGGACCCCTTCCTTACACCTTATATAAAAACTAACCCAAGATGGATTAAAAACTTAAATGTAAGACCTAACAAACACCATAAAAACCCTAGAAGAAAACCTAGGCAATACCATTCAGGACATAGGCATGAGCAAAGACTTCATGACTAAAACACCAAAAGCAACGACAACAAAAGCCAAAATTCACAAATGAGATCTAATTAAACTAAAGAGCTTCTGCACAGCAAAAGAAACTCATCAGAGTGAACAGGCAACCTACAGAATGGGAGAAAATTTTTGCAATCTATCCATCTGACAAAGGGCTAATATCCAGAATCTACAAAAAACCTAAATAAATTTACAAGAAAAAAGCAAACAACCCCATCAACAAGTGGGCGAAGGATATGAACAGACACTTCTCAAAAGAAGACGTTTATGTGGCCAACAAACATGAAAAAAAGCTCATGATCACTGGTCATTAGAGAATTTCAAATCAAAACCACAATGAGATACCATCTCATGCCAGTTAGAATGGCGATTATTAAAAAGTCAGGAAACAATAGATGCTGGAGAGGATGTGGAGAAATAGGAATGCTTTTACACTGTTGGTGGAAGTGTAAATTAGTTCAACCATTGTGGAAGACAGTGTGGTGATTCCTCAAGGATTTATAACTAGAAATATCATTTGACCCAGCAATCCCATTACTGAGTATATACCCAAAGGATTATAAATCACTCTACTATAAAGACACATGCACACGTATGCTTATTGCAGCACTGTTCACAATAGCAAAGACTTGGAACCAACCCAAATGCCCATCAATGATAAACTCGATAAACAGAATGTGGCACATATATACCATGGAATACTATGCAGCCATGAAAAAGGAATGAGTTCATGTCCTTTGCAGGGACAAGGATGAAGCTGGAAACCATCATTCTCAGCAGACTAACACAAGAACATAAAACCAAACACCGCATGTTCTCAGTCATAAGTGGGAGTTGAACAATGAGAACACATGGGCACAGGGAGGGGAACATCACACAACTGGGGCCTGTCAGGGGTGGGGGCCTGGGGGAGGGATAGCATTAGGAGAAATACCTAATATAGATGACAGGTTGATGGGTGCAGCAAACCACCATGGCACGTGTATACCTATGTAACAAGCCTGCACATTCTGCACATGTATCCCAGAACTTAAAGTATAATAATAAAAAATAAATAAATAAATAGGTGCTCTTAAGTTTAATAGAATCTAAATTATTATTGTTTTATGATGAATGCTGTTTGGTTTCCTTTTCAAAAAGTGTTGGCTAATCTAAGTCCACTAAGATAGACTTATTTTATATTTCAAGTACAATATATTTGGAATTGATTTTTATGTTTAATATGAGGTAGGGATCAAAATATTTTTTCTTATATGAATATCCAATTGACCCAGTACTATTTATTGAAAAGTTCTTCATTTGCTCACTGTGTTCTAGTGGAATTTTTGCATAAATCAGATGACTATAGATGTGGGACTGTTGCTGTACTCTATTTTCCTTTTTTTTCTTTTTTTTTTTTTTTTTTTTTTTTTTTTGAGATGGAATTTCACTCTTGTTGCCCAGGTTGGAGTGCAGTGGCACGATCTCAGCTCACTGCAACTGCCGCCTCCCAGATTCAAGAGATTCTCCTGCCTCAGCCTCCCAGTAGCTGGGATTCCCCGCCACCGGCTAATTTTTTTGTATTTTTAGTAGAGACGGGGTTTCTCCATGTTGGTCAGGCTGGTCTCGAACTCCCAACCTCAGGTGATCCACCCGCCTTGGCCTCCCAAAGTGCTGGGGTTACAGGTGTGAGCCACCATGCCTGGACTTTATTTTATTCAATTGGTTAGCTTATATATTCTTTTGCCAGTATCACATTATCTTATAGCTTTATAATTGACCTTGAGATCTGAAAATGTAAGTCCTCCAACTTTGCTCTGGTTTTTTGTTTATGACCATCAACAGAGACTACAAGAGTGATCTTTACCTGTCAGACACATCATAACATGTCTTCTCCAAACTATTACTAATGTATATTCAAATACTGTGATGATTTTGACTAAAAACGCTCAAATTTGAAGGTTGGCTTTGAGCTATCAACTTCAAATAAAGTTTAATTTCTTTTTAATGCAGAGTAGAATGTACAGAATACTATTAGAAGAAATGAAAAATATTAGGCAACACCAAACAAATATACCTGTCAGACTTACTAAAAATATTTTGGGGAAAAAAAGTCTATTCTCCTTGAATGGTAATAGTTGGGCCAAAGGAGGAGGCTAGGGGTCCAGGATCCAAGACTAATACACTCAGATTCCATATAGTGTTTTTCCATTGGTTCAATCTTCTCCAATTCTTTTGCAGAAGGTGAGCAGTTTTTCTTAAGTGTGGACAATAGAGTACCTGCATCAGAATCATATACTGAATTAGAATTACTGGGTGTGGGCCTTGAGAATATACATTTGAACAGGCCTTTTAATTGATTCTTATGCACATTATACTTTGAAAAACATTCATGTAGAGCAGTGGTTCTCAACCACTGGTAATTTTGGCCCTGAAGGGATATTTGGTATTTTGATTGTTACACTGACATGGAAGACATGCTGCCAGCATCATGTTACAATTCACTGTACAGTCTTCTACAACAAAGAATTATCAATTTCAAAATTTCAATAGTGCCACTGTTGAGAAACCCTGATCTAGAGATAATGAGGGAACTAAAGGAACCTGGTTGAAACCAGCAAGCATTTTTATACTAGAAGAAATAGCTACACAAAATGACTTAAATCAGTGCCCAGCCTCCAAAAACAGCAGAAGCCTTCAGTCATTTTTCAGCATTAACTTTTGCCAAGACATGTCCTGGCTGCTATGACCATTAGTTCCAAGGAATTTTGCTGCCATTAAGCTTCAGCCTTCACTCCTTACAATGTAGATTCTTTAGGGCCTGCCTCAGTCATTCAGAGTAACAAGAAAAAAATTTAATTCAAGTGTTCACTCCATTGAAGGGAATTTTCAGGCATTTTTCATATGCGATTCCAAGTTATTTTCACAACAACATTGTGAAACAGACAGTATCATATATTTTTAAGTGTTAGGACATTTTAGATAAGTGAAATGGAGCTCAGAGGAAATAATTAATTTCCTTTGAATACAGGTTATGATTGAAACTTCTGTCATAAATAGCTCACAGTGCATTAGTAAGTAGTATTTGTATTAGCTTGTTTTCATGCTGCTGATAAAACATACCTGAGACTGGGCAATTTATAAAAGAAAGAGGTTTAATTGGACTTACAGTTCCATGTGGCTGGGGAAGCCTCATAATCATGGTGGAAGGCAAGGAGGAGCAAGTCACATCTTACATGGATGGCAGCAGGCAGAGAGAGAGAGAGCTTGTGCAGGGAAACTCCCCCTTATAAAACCAACAGATCTCATGAGACTTATTCACTATCATGAGAACAGCATGGGAAAGACCTGCCCTCATGATTCAATTACCTCCCACCAGGTCCTTCCCACAACACATGAGAATTCAAGATGAGATTTGTGTGGGGACATAGCCAAACCATATCAGTATTGTATATAATGTATGGAGTATAATGAAAGTAATTAATATTTATAAGCCTTGCACTTAACACACGTAATAATATTTTGTTACATCTTAATGTCATATCATATATAGAAAACAAAGGTCAGAGAGGTGAAATTAGTTGTACAAGGACACATAACTAGTAAGTGATGCTCTGTTAGATTCCTAAGTGCTGTAACTACTACACTGCTATATTAACTGATATATGCATGTTAATGTAACTTATAAACCAGGAAGAGATACAAATATTAAATGCTATTCCAAAAGTCAAACTGGATGCAATTTAAATAAATTATGTTCCTGGCATTGTAGATAACAGGAAGAGAAAAATATTTTAGTATTTAATATTTTGTTTCTTACAGGCAGAAACTATATAAACATCTGTGGGATTTGCTTTTTGATAATGTAAAGTTTTAAAAGCAATCCTCTAGTCTGAAGTTCTGAAATCTATTTGACCGAAAGCTTTCATTGTCATAATTACTTTTATTAGCTAATCAACTTGAATTGTGCAAAATTACTTCAAATAACATTTGAGTAATTTTTCCCAGTCATTTAACTTTATTTCTCAAAATAGAATCAGTAAGGAACAACCTGTCTTTGGAGATTAGAACTGTCAATATCTTCTCCAGGCTTGAACTGTTTAGAGCAACAACAGCTTTCAAGGGTGGATTACTTGCATTTGACAGTAATTGTTCCTGTTTGAGCTAAATTCTTTTGGAGATTTTTGGAAATTGCTTCTCTGATCTATAGGTAAGTCAAAATTTTCTTTTAGCAGTGTTTTTGAGATATACAAGTTCTGTGCATAATTTTACAAGGAAGAAAAATGTCAAATTTTACCAAGGTTTCAAGCACTACACTGTAAGAGGATTATCTATTGTAGAGTACAAAAATTATCATTCTTTGCATTTTAATATAGCATTGATTTATGCTGCATACTGAACACAGGACAACAGATTTTCATACTTGCTTTAAAAAGTATAATATTCCATATTACAAATACAAATCTTATTTATATATAAACATTTTACAGTATTTTTTCATATATATACAATGTGATTTTAAAGTCTAATTTACCCACTATAAACTTCATACATTGTAAATACTCTGTTCAATGATTTTGAAAAAATTTACAAAGTTGCTCAACACATCACTACAATTCATTTTAAAATATGTCTACCACCCCACTTAATAGTCAGTTCCCTCCGCCACTACCAGAAAAGCACTGATCTTGTTCCCGCCTCTCTATATTTATCCTTTCTGGACATTTCATACAAATAAAATCATGTAACATGTGGTATTTTGTGTCTGAATTATTGCACTTACATGTTTTTAAGGTTCATGTTGTAGCATGTATCATTACTTTGTCACTTTTTATTGATAGATAATATTCCATTGTACAGACATAGCACATTTTATTGATTCATCCTCAGTTGATGAACACTTAGATTTTTCCCCATGTTTTGGCTATAAATAATGATGCTATGAAAATTCATGTATAAGTCTTGATACAGATACATATTTTCATTCCTTTTGGGTAAATAACTAAAAGAAATGGAAGTGGTACCATTTGACCCAGCAATCCCATTACTGGGTATATACCCAAAGGATTATAAATCATTCTACTATAAAGACACATGCACGTGTATGTTTACTATAGCACTATTTATAATAGCAAAGACTTGGAACCAGCCTAAATGCCCATCAATGATAGACTGGATAAAGAAAATGTGGCACATATACACCATGGAATACTACGCAGCCTTTAAAAAGAATGAGTTCATGTCCTTTGCAGGGACATGGATGAAGCTGGAAACCATCATTCTCAGCAAACTAACACAGGAATAGAAAACCAAACACCACATGCTCTCACTCATAAGTGGGAGCTGAACAATGAGAACACGTGGACACAGGGTGGGGAACATCACCCCTCAGGGCCTATCAGGTGGTGGGGGGCAAGGGGAGGGAGAGCATTAGGACAAATACCTAATGCATGCGGGGCTTAAAACCTAGATGACGGGTTGATGGGTGCAGCAAACTACCTTGGCACATGTATACCTACGTAACAAACCTGCACATTCTACATATGTATCCCAGAGCTTAAAGTATAATTTTTAAAAATGCAAAAAAAAAAAAAAAAAAAGAAATGGAAGTGGAAGTGGAATGGCTAGGTCATATGGTAAATCAATGTTTAATATTTTGGGGGAACTGTCAGACTGTTTTTCAAGACACAGGCATCATTTTACATTTCACCAGTGATATGTGAGGGTTCTGGTTTCTTCACATTCTTACCAACACTTGTTATCATCGGACTTTAAAAATTATAGTCATCCTTATGGGCATTAAGTGGTATGTTATTGGTAGTTGGATTGCATTTCCCTAATGGCTAATGATGCTGGTTATCTTTTCATGTGCCACTTGTCTATAAACACATCATTTTTGGAGAAACGGCTATTCAGATAAGTTTTCCATTTTTTGAATTGAGTTGTTTGTATTCTTATTATTGAATTGTAAGGGATTTTTTATATATTCTTGATACATGTCCCTTATTAGATATAGGATTTGCAAATATTTTCTAACCTCAGATTGTGTGTAAAATGGGGAAATGGGTGACCTTTGCTCTGTGGGCTTGACCTGCCATTTTGTCATTAGCCATTTTGGATCCCTATGTCCACATCTGAAAAAGAAGTGTTCAAAATTCATGCTACATGGTGGTATCTTATGGGTACTTGTGGCAAAAGTTAAATATACCACATATTCTGGAGGCAGCCATTTTACTAAAACAATTCAGGCAGATAACATTCTATCAAAATAATATTTTGGTTTTACAAATTAGCATTGATCCTCACACCTTTCCCCTAAAAAATTTTTGCATTTATTTGTGTATGTGTATGTGTCTATCTATATGTGCTTTTAAGCATGCTTTGGTTGAACAGTTTATGAATCATTGGAAGTTCTTAATAACATTTGATGTTCTATGACATATAATAGGGATATGACAAATATCTCCTACTCTTTCACCCTCAAATATCTCTGACTTCTAAGCAAGCTCTGATGGAACCCCTTATATTCTGGCCTCTGCGATGTATAATACGTGTAAATATTTACAATATGTGTAAATATTGAACTGTATCAGAGGAGATCATGTTTAAGTTAACCCAGAAGTAAACTTTTGTTAACGTGAAAATTGTATGTAAACAATGTCTCCCTAATTTATCTCCTTTGTAAATTTAATTTGTATCTTGTTATGCTTTCTTAAAGCAGGATAAACTATCTTACATTTTTTGTTTTTAATTTTCTTGAAATCATGGAAACATTATGGTTAGAGAAACTCAGAATCAGATAGTCTGTATTATTCAAGGTCACTCAGCTAGTTAACAACTAATTCATAATAAAGAAAGTCCATATAGCTGGTTATTATTGATTGCTATATTCTTTTACATTATTGACAACTCAAGGCAGAGATAACATTACACTAGTATGAATAAGCCTGCTTGAAATTTATTTCCTATAAAGGACATTTAAATTTGATTTTATATAAAACATTGTACCCTAGATAAATCCTGAATTTTTATTTCCTTTCTGTAGAAACCTTTGGTAATTCATGGGGCACTTACAGTCTGAATATTATAAATTACAGTAGATCAGAATGTTTACCTTGAATACCTGAATTTGCATGCCATCTTTCAAAATCTAGTCCATTTTTTATTTCTTTGCCAAATATGTGTGATTTTGGAAAATTTATGAGTGAGAATAAAAGGTAAGAGCATATAAAGAAATATAAATGAAACTATAAATAAATATGTTTTTCTCCATTTGCTTATTGTTAGCAGAATGTTATGGCTTGAGTTTTTTTCACATTTGCAGATTATTTATAAACAAACTTCAATATGACTTTTTAAAAATATGCATAAAATTTTTTAATCCAGTATAATAAAATGGCTGAAATTGAAAAATAAATCTAACCATATGTAAAACTTAAAGAACACTTTACTTATAGCTAAACACATTAAATAATGCACTTTTCAATTCCATGAACAATTAATTCCTTCAAAAAAGTCCATCATTTGTAAGATAATATGGGAATATTGCTTTAAAATTCTCTGAAATTGAAAAATTAAACATGGTGTTCAAACGCCATACCTATCATTAAAGGGACGCTGGATTTTATGAAATGCTTTTTCTGCATCTATTAAGATGGTCAAATGGTTTTTGTTTTTAAGTTTGTTTATGTGATGAATCAAATTTATTGACTTGTATATGTTGAACCATCCCTGCATCCCTGGAATGAAACCCATTCGATCATGGTGAAATTTTTTGGATGTACTGATGGATTCAGTTTGCAAGTATTTTGTTGAGGGCTTTTGCATCTATATTCATCAAGGATATTGGTCTGTAGTTTTCTTTTTTTGTTACATCTTTTCCTGGCTTTGTTATTAGGGTGTTACTGGCTTTGTAGAATGAGTTAGAGAGGATTCCCTCCTTCTCAATATTTTGGAATAGTTTCAGTAAAATTGGTACTAATTCTCCTTTGAATGTTTGATAGAATTCAGCTGTGAAACCGACCTGTGCTTTTTTTGGCTGGAAGTTTTTGTATTACTAATCCAGTCTCACTGCTTGTTTTTCGTCTGCTCAGGATTTCTATTTTTCCCTCATTCAAGCTGTTGGGGGGGAGTGGTTGCATTTTTCCAAAAATTTATCCATTTCCTCTAGATTTCTAGTTTGTGTGCATAGAGGTATTCATAGTAGTCTCAAAAGATCTTTTGTATTTCTGTGGTGTCAGTTGTAATGGCTCCATTTGCATCTCTAATTGAGATTAATTGAATTGTCTCTCTTCTTTTCTTGGCTAGCAAGTGGTCTATCAATTTTGTTTATCTTTTCAAAAAAGTCTTCAACAAACTAGGCATAAAAGGAACATACCTCAAAATTTAAAAAGCTATATACAACAAACCCACAGCCAACATCATACTGAATGGGAAAAAGTTGAAAGCACTCCCCCTAAGAACTAGAACCAGACAAGGATGCCTACTTTCACCATTTCTACTCAACATAGAGCTGGAAGTCCTAGCCAGAGCAATCAGGCAAAAGAAAGAAATAAAGGGCATCCAAATCAGAAAAGAGAAAGTCAAACTATCTCTTTTTGCCAATAGTATAAGCTTACATCTAGAAAACCCTAACAACTCCTCCAAAAGACTCTTAGATCTGGCAAATGAATTCAGCAAAGTCTCAGGTTACAAAATCAATGTGCACAAATTAGTAGCACTGCTATACACCACAATGACCAAGCTGAGAATCAAATTAAGAACTCAGTCGCTTTTATAATAGCTACAAAATAACATACCTAGGAACATACTGAACCTATAAAGTGAAAAGTCTCTACAAGGAGAACTACAAAGCACTGCTGAATGAAGCCATAGATGACACGAACAAATGGAAATACATCCCATGTGCATGGACTGGAATAATCAATATTGTGAAAATGACCATACTCCCCAAAGCAATCTACAGATTCAATGCAATTTCCATCAAAATACCAACATCATGTTTTACAGAATTAAAGAGAAAATAATCTTAAAATTCATATGGAATTCAAAAAGAGCCTGAATAGCCAAAGCAATTCTAAAGAAAAATAATAAATTTGGAGGCATCATATTACCCCACTTCCAATTATACTGCAAGGCTATAGTTACCAAAACCACATGGAACTGCTATAAAAGTAGATACAAAGACCAATGGAAAAGAATAGAGAGCACAGAAATAAAGCCAAATACTTACAACCAACTGATTTTTGACAAAGCATACAAACACAAATTGGAGAAAGGCTACCCTATTTAATAAATGGTGCTGGGAAAACTGGATAGCCTCATGTAGAAGAATAAAACTGGATCCCAATCTTTCACCACATAGGAAAATTAACTCAAGATTGATTAAAGACTTAAAGACCTGAAGCCATACAGATTGTAGAAGAAAACATAGAAAAAACTCTTCTGCACGTTGGCCTATGCAAAGAATTTATGACTAAGACCCCAAAAGCAATTGCAACAAAAACAAATATAAATACATAGGACCTAATTAAACTAAAAAGCTTCTGCATAGCAAAAGACATAATCCAGAGTAAACAGGCAACCTATAAAATGGGAGAAAATACTTGCAAATTATACATCTAAAAAAGGACTAATTTCAAGAATCTACGAGGAACTCAAAAAAGTCAGCAAGAAAAAACATAATTCATTAAAAAGTGGGAAAAGAACATGAATCGACATTTCTCAAAAGAAGATATACAAATGGCCAACAAACATATTTAAAAATGCTTAACATCACTAATCATCAGGGAAATGCAAATTAAAACCACAATGAGTTACCACCTTATGCCAGCCAGAATGGCCATTATTAAAAAGTCAAAAACCAATACATGTTACTATGGATGTGGTAAAAATGTAATGCTTATACACTGCTGGTGGATATGTAAATTAATACAACCTCTATGGAAAACAGTATGGAGATGTCACAAAGAACTAAATTGCAGCACAATTTACAATTGCAAAGATTTGAAATCAACTTAAGTGTCATCAGCTGATGAGTAGATGAAGAAAATGTGGCACATATATAGCAGGGAATACTACTCAGCCATAAAAAATAATGAAATAATGTATTTTGCAGCAACTTGGATGGACCTGGAGGCAATTATTCTAAGTGAAGTAACTTAGGAATGGAAAACCAAATATCACCTGTCCTCACTTATAAGTGAGACCTAAACACAAAAGCATACGGAAGGGTATAGTGAAAATGGGAGACTCGGAAGAGGGGAGAGTGGAAGGTGGGTGAGGGATGAAAAACTACTTATTGGGTACCATACTACTTGAGTGATGAGTACAATAAAATCCTAGACTTCACCACTATACAATTCATCCATGTAACTAAAATCCACTTGTACTCTAAAGGTATTGAAATAAAAAAATCAAAAACAAAACAAAACAAAAAAAAACAGAAAAAAACAAATGCCATAACTAAAATTTGTAACTGTTTTAACATTCTTAAAAGTTTGCCAAAAATAAGGACAGATAAATCTATTGTATTTATTGTTGTTATTTTTTCCAACCAAGCAGCATCATGTTGAGGCTGAGATTGGTTCATTTAGTTTAGAAGACAGTGTTTGGAAAAAATCTACTGCATATTTACTAAATCAGTCATCAAAATTTCACAGATAGATGAGTTAATTAGCTGAAGAAAAGGACTGATTTCCCACTTTTTATGAGAATAAATGTTTACATTCCAGCAACTCATAAGTACAGTTGGGAATAGAGCATATCTCTTATTCAGTGGAAAAAAAAGTGTCCATTGAAGTTTGCTTATACTTTTTTGTAAATTTAAAAGGGTGAGTTTAGGTAATAAAATTAATTAATTTTATTCCCCAAAACATCATCATATAAAAATGAATTTTCTTACACAGAGAATGAGCAGCCTTTGGAAGTTTGTGATCCATGCTGTAGGCAGAAATGCTTAAATGAAAGAGCAATTAAATCATCTTATGGGATAAAAATGCAAGGAAAAATGAAGATGTCTTCTTTTTTAATGTTACTCTGGAAACTGTGGTACTTTTTTTGCTTCTTTCATTGTTTTCACAAAAAACTAGCTCAGATAATATTGTAATGACAAAGAGTGTATTTTTCATGTTTTATTGCAGGACAAAAATTTCTATATTCATTTTGTACAAAATAGCTTCATAGTTTGGCTCAAAGATGGCTAAGAATACAAGAGATCATGTAGAATACTGTTATGGCACTTTAATTCATGAACATACAATTACTTCTACATAATACATCATAGTCCAACTGTGTCTACTGAATAGTAATCATTCAAAACCTGTAAAAATGTTTAAATCAATGTTAAGGGTAGTATTTATGACCATAGTGAATTATTTATCTTTGACCAAGTAAACTAATTCCATCTTCCAGCTTTCCAACAGTTATCATAATATATCACTTATAATTAAATAACTAGAACCATTTTATAGTTTTCTCTCTCTTGCTCATCTTACTCTGAGGATGACTGGTGGAGCTAATGGAGAAAGGGAGGCTGCAGAGGAGTATTTGGGGAGACTGCTTGGATTAATATTCTAGCTCAATTTTTTTTATGTCATGGGCCTTGTGGCACTTCACCATCTTGATATTATCAGTTCCCCCGCCCATGAAGTGAGAGTAGCAATAGTATCTTTCTCATTTTTTTGAAAGAATGAAATGAAATAATCTATTTAAAGCACTTACACAGAGCCTAATACCTGGTAGGCACTCAGTAAATGTTTGTTAGCTGTGATCCTTTTTCCAGAATTTCCAAACCTATTTGTGAGGAAAGCCAAGGAGTGCTTACAGATAACCTATATCAATGGTCTCAAACCTTCGTGTGCATCAGAATATGCTGGAAGGCTGTCAACACAGATTGCCGGACTGCACTGCCAGAGCTGCTGATTCATTAGATCTGGGATGGGGCCCAAGAGTTTGCATTCCAAAGAAATTCCCTGGTGATGCTGAAACTTAGTTGGACGAAATCATGAATTATGTGTCCAACACAACAATTGCAAGCACATGTCTGATTCACAGGCCTCTTAATTTAGAAAAAAAAATGTGTGCTCTACTAATGTTTATATTTACATTATCATAAAACATAGCTTTATGTTCAATATTGAAACTTTACTGATAACTCAACAAAATATTAGATATTTTATTTTCAAAATAAAGACTTCTCTAAAGCTTTACTTGCCATTTGTCCATTGGTTAAAAAAAAAACCCTGAAGATTATTGGAATAATCCGATTTTCTATTTGAAGCATTTGATCACACTACACTGATATAAAACTGGTATATTTTGCTGTTTATGAAGTTTTTCTGCTAATGAAGCCTGTGTAATCACAACTACCAAGCCACTTTTTATACATACATAATAATAGAAAATTAAAGCAATCAATTTAAAAAAAACCAATCATTCGATCTAAATAAGTCATATTTTATAGAATGGTATGTGAATATACCTACTTCACCAGTGCATATTATATTATTGTCTTCTATAATAACCTATTTTTTAACTTTTAGGTTTCGGGCACATGTGCAGTTTTTTTAATAAATGTAAATTGAGTGTCATGGGGGTTTGGGTGTACAGATTATTTCATCACCCAAATAATAAGCACAGTACCCAATAGGTAGTTCTGCGATCTTCATCCTGCTCCCTCTCTCCACTCTCGATTAGGCCCCATTGTTTGTTCTTCCCTTCTTTGTATCCATGTGTACTCACTGTTTAGCTCCCACTTATAAGTGAGAACATGTGGTATTTGGTTTTCTGTTTCTGTTAATTCATTTAGGATAATGGCCTCAAGCTCCATTCGTGTTGCTGCAAAGGACATAGTTTTGTTTTGTTTTTTTTTTAATGGCTGCATAGTATTCCATGGTGTGTACATACTGCATTTTCTTCATCCAGTCTGTCATTGATGGGCATGCAGATTGGTTCCATGTCTTTGCTATTGTGAATAGTGCTGCAATGAACATACACGTGCATGTGTCTTTATAATAGAATAATTTATATTCCTTTGGGTGTATACCCAGTAATGGGATTGCTGGGCTGAATGGTATTTCTCTCTTTAGGTCCTTCAGGAATCACCAAACTGTCCTCCACAATGGTTGAATGAATGTATACTCCCACCAACAATATAAAAATGTTCTTTTTTCTCCACAACCTCGCCAGCATCTGTTATTTTTTGGCTTTTTAATAATTGCCATTCTGACTGATATGAGATGGTATCTCACTGTGGTTTTGAATTTCATTTCTCTAATGATGAGTGATGTTGAGATTTTTTTCATATGTTTGCTGGCCACATGAATGTCTTCTTTTGAGAAGTGTCTCTTCATGTTCTTTGCCACTTTTTAATGGAGTTGTTTTTTTCTGGTAAATTTGTTTAAGTTCCTTATAGATGCTGGATATTAGCCATTTGTTAGATGCATAGTTTGGAAAAATCTTCTCCCATTCTGTATGTTGTCTGTTTACTTTGTTGATAGTTTCTTTTGCTGTGCAGAAATGCTTAAGTTGGATTAGATCCAATTTGTCAATTTTTGCTTTTGTTGCAATCGCTTTTGGCATCTTTGTCATGAAATCTTTGTTCCTCCCTATGTCCAGAATGGTATTGCATAGGTTGTCTTTCAGGGTTTTTATAGTTTGGGGTTTTACATTTAAGTCTTTAGTCCACCTTGAATTGATATTTATATATGGTATAAGGAAGGAGTCCAATTTCAATTTTCTGCACATGGCTAGCCAGTTATCCCAACACCCTTTATTGACTAGAGAGTCCTTTCCCCATTGCTTGTTCTAGTCAACTTTGTCAAAGATCAGATGGTTGTAGGTGTGTGGCATTATTTCTAGGCTCTCTGTTCTGTTCCATTGATCTATATGCCTGTTTTTGTACCAGTACCATACTGTTATAGTTGCTGTAGCCTTGTATTATAGTTTGAAGTCAGGAAATGTGATGCCTCCAGCTTTGTTCTTTTTGCTTAGGATTGGCTTGGCTACTCGAGCACTTTTGTGGTTCCATATGAATTTCAAAATAGTTTTTTTTCTAGTTCTGTAAAGAATGTCATTGGTGGTTTGATAGGAATAGCTTTGAATCTGTAAATTGCTTTAGGCAGCACGGCCATTTGAATGATATCAAGTTTTACAATCCATGAGCATGGCATGCTTTTCCATTTGTTTGTGTCATCTCTGATTCCTTTGAACAGTGTTTTCTAAATCTCATTGTACAGATGTTTGCCTTCCTGGTTAGCTGTATTCCTAGGTATTTTATTCTTTTTGTGACTATTATCAGTAAAATGGCTTCCTTGACTTGGCTCTCAGCTTGGATGTTGTTGAAGTATAGAAATGCTACCGATTTTTGTACACTGATTTTGTATCCTGAAACTTTGCTGCAGCTGTTTATCAGATCAAGGAGCTTTTGGGCTGAGACTATGGGGTTTTCTAGATATAGAATCATGTTATCTTCAAACAGCGGTAGTTTGACTTCCTATTTGAATGCCTTTAATTTCTTTCTCTTGCCTCATTGCTCCAGTCAGGACTTCCAGTACTATGTTGAATAGGAGTGGTGAAAGAGGATATCTTGTCTTGTTTTGATTGTCAAGGGAAATACCTCCTGCTTTTGCCCATCCAGTATGTTGCTGGCTGTGGGTTTGTCATAGATGGCTCTTATTATTTTGAAGTTTGTTCCTTTAATGCCCAGTTTGTTGAGTGTTTTTAACATTAAGGGATGTTTAATTTTATTGAAAGCCTTTTCTGCATCTATTGCAATAATCTTGTGGGTTTTGTCTCTAGGTCTGTTTATGTGATGAATCACATTTATTGATTTGTGTATGTTTAACCAACCTTGCATCCCAGTGATAAAGCCTACTTGATTGTGAAGGATTCGCTTTTTGATGTGCTGCGGGATTTGGTTTGCAAGTATTTTGTTGGTGATTTTTGCATCTATGTTCATCAAAAATATTGGCCTGGAGTTTTCTTTTCTGGTTATGTCTCTGCAAGGTTTTGGTATCAAGATGACACTGGCCTCATAGAATGAGTTAGGGAGGAGTTCCTCCTCAATTCTTTGGAATAGTTTCAGTAGGAATGTTACCAGCTCTTCTTTATACATCTGTTAGAATTCAGCTGTAAATTCATCTGGTTCTGGGCTTTATCTGGTTAGTAGGCTTTTCATTACTGATGCAATTTTGGAACTTGTTATTGGTCTGTTCTGGGATTCAATTACTTCCTGGTTCAATCTTGGGAGATTGTATGCTTCTGGGAATTTATTCATTGCTTTTAGGCTTTCATGCTTGTGTGCATAAAGTTGTTCATAGTAGACTCTAAGGGCTTTTTGTGTTTCTGTGGGGTAAGCCTTGATGTCCCCTTTGCCATTTCTGATTGTGTTTATTTGGATCTTCTCTCTCTTTTTTTATTAGTCTAGTTAGTGGTCTGTCTTATTTATTCTTTCACAGAACCAACTACTAGACTCATTGATCTTTTTTGTGTGTGTTTTGGGTTTTTTTTTTTGTTTTTGTTTTTGTTTTGCATCTCAATTTCCTTCAGTTCAGCTCTGATTTTGGTTATTTCTTGTCTTCTGCTAGCTTTGGGGTTCATTTACTCTTATTTCTATAGTTTCTCTAGATGCGATGTTAGGTGGTTAATTTAAGATCTTTCTGGCTTTTTGATGTGGGCCTTTAGCGTTACAAACTTCTCTCTGAACACTGTTTTAGCTGTGTCCCTGAGATTCTGATATGTTGTATCTTTATCCTCATTCGTTTCAAAGAATTTCTTGGTTTTTGTTTTAATTTCATTGTTTACCTAAAGGTCATTCAGGAGAAGGTTGTTTAGTTTCCATGTCATTGTATAGTTTTGAGCGATTTTTTAGTATTGATTTCTGTTTTTATTGCATGGGTATGATTTCAGTTTTTCTGAATTTGCTCAGAATTGTTTTATGTCCGACTGTGTGGTCAATTTTAGAGGATGTGCCATGTGCATAAGAGAAGAGTGTATATTCTCTTGTTTGGGGGAGAAGAGTTCTGTGGATGTCTATTAGGGCCATCTGGTCACTTGTTGAGTTCAGGTCCTGAATATCTTTGTTCGTTTTCTGCTTCAGTGATTTGTCTAATACTCTCCGTGGGATGTTGAAGTTTCCCACTATTACTGTGTAGAAAATCTAAGTCCTTTATAGTTCCTTAAGATCTTCCTTTATGAATCTTCCCTTAGGAATCTTCCTTATGATCTTCCTTTATGCTCCTGTGTTGGGTGCATATATATTTAGGGTTTTTAGGTCTTCTTGTTGAATTGAACCATTTACCAATATGTAATGCCCATCCTTGTCTTCTTTGATCTGTATTGGTTTAAAATCTGTTTTGTCCGAAATTAGGATAGCAACTCCTGTTTTTTCCTGTTTTCCATTTGCTTGGTAGATTTTTTTCTCCATCTCTTTACTTTCAGCCTATGGGTGTCACTGCATGTGAGATGAGTCTCTTGAAGACAGTATACCATTGGGTGTTGCTTCTTCATCAAGCTTGCCACTCTGTACCTTTTATTTGGGGCATTTAGCCAATTCACATTCAAGGTTAATATTGATATGTATGGATTTGATCTTGTCATTTTGTTGTTAGCTAGTTATGCAGACTTGTGTGTATGGTTGCTTTACAGTGTCAATGGTCTATGTACTGGCCAGTAACAGTCTTTCCTTTTCATATTTAGCTCTCCTTCAGGACCTCTTGTAAGGCAGGTCCGGTGATAACAAATTCCCTCAGTATTTGCTTGTCCAAAAAACATCTTATTTCTCCTTTGCTGATGAAGTTTAGTTTGACTGGACATTAAATTCTGGGTTGGATTCTTTTCTTTAAGAATGCTGAATATAGGCCCCAATCCCTTCTGGCTTGTAGGGTTTCTGCTGAAAGGTCCGCTGTTAGCCTGATGGGGTTCCCTTTGTAGGTGACCTGTCCCTTCTCTCTAGCTGCCTTTAACATTTTTTCTTCCTTTTCAACCTTGGTAAATCTGAAGACTATGTGTCTTGGGGATGGTCTTCCTGTGTAGTAACTTGCAGAGGTTCTCGGCATTTCCTGAATTTGAATATTGGCCTCTCCAAAGAGGTTGGGGAAATTTTCATAGATAACATCCTGGAATATGTTTTCCAAGTTGCTTGCTTTCTCCCCCTCTTTCAGGGATACCAATGAGTCATAGATTTGGTCCCTTTGCATAATCCCATATTTCTCAGAGGCTTTGTTCATTCTTTTTCATTCTTTTTTTTTTTTCTGAATGAGTTAGTTGGGAGAACCCGCCTTCTACCTCTGAGATTCTTCCCCAGCTTGGTGTATTCTGCAGTTAATACTTGTGATTGCATTATGACATTCTTGTAGTGTGTTTTTCAGCTCTATCTGATCAGTTTGGTTCTTTCTTATAATGGCCATTTTATCTATCAGCTGCTGTACCATTTTATTATACTCCTTAGATTCGTTGGATTGGGTATTGACTTTTTCCTGAAAATCAATGTTCTTCACTCCTATCCCTATTCTAAATTCTGTTTGTTATTTCAGACATTTCAGCCTGGTTAACAACCCTTGCTGGGGAATTAGTGTCACCGTTTGGAGGAAAGAAGACACTCTGGCTTTTTGAGCTGCCAGAGTTCTTGCACTGGTTCTTTCTCATCTTTGTGGGCTGATTTTCCTTTAACTGTGGTTTAATTTGAATACAGTCAGTTGACTTATTTTCTGGATGTTTTCAGAAAAGACTGAGCCTTAGCTCAGGGCCTTTATTTTTAGCTGAGTTCTTGTCCTTGGTTTCACAGGGTGGGTATATTAGCGAAGTATTTTTGATGTTGAAATTTGGGCTATGATCCAGTAGATGGCACTTAAGTATAATGGCCAGTAGGTAGGCTCTTGCTCAGCCACGTAGCTCCTCTGTATTTCCTCACATTTGCACCTGTGCTCCCTCCCAGTGTTCAGAAGGTGTGGGCTCCTCTCCCACTTGAGTGCTGGCTGCAGATATTGGCTTAACACACCTCGGCTGCACACTGTAGCCCTGGAGTGAGCTCAGGCTTTATGCTCCTTCCCCAGGTTGGAGGCAACAGGGGAAAGGACCTTGGCAGTGGCTATGGCAGAGGGCCTTTCACTTGTCTTTTGAGGCTCCACCCCAGAGAAATGCAGAGTCACTTCCAATCAGTGTGATCGACCCAGAATGGGGTGGCTGTGTTGTGGGCCCAATCCAATAAGCCCTGTCTGGTGACGAGCAGGAGGTGCTGGAAACTCCTGGGGAAGACTGAGTGGTCTCTTCTCCTTAGAGCAGCTATGGTTTGCTAGAGGTGTGGTTAAAGCACTCAGGGTCTTTCCTCCTTCTTCATTTCAAGGACGGCAAGGGAAGTACCACCGTAGTGGCAGTGGAAGAGGGGTTTTCGGTTGCCTCTGGGAGCTAAAATGCAGAGTCGCTGGTACTGGGAATGTTCAGCCACGGAGTGGGATGGCTGCACTGCTGGCCCAAGCTGGGAGACCTTCCTGGTAAAGGGTGAAAACTTTTCTCTATATGTCGACTGTGGCATGCTGGAAGCACAAGTGAAGCCCTCAGGCTCTTTATTTCTTCTCCATTTTGAGGGCAGCAGGAACAGAACCTCTGACATAGTGGCAGAAGGGCTGTCGTTTGCCTCTGGGAGCCCCTTTTTGGGGAAGCACAGAGATGCTAGCAGTGGGAATGCTCAGCTGGGTATAGGACAGCTGTTCCGTGTTCCCAAGACAGGGGCCCTGCCTGGTGAAAAGTGGAGGGTGGGGACTCACAGGGAAGAAAGACTGGATCCTCTCCATATGGTGACTGTGATGTGCTAGAGGTTCCAGCCCTTTGTTCCTTCCCCATCCTGAGGGCAGTAAGGGCAATACCACTGCAGCTGCAATGGCAGAGGGGCTGTAGGCTGTTTCTGGGATTTCCTCCTCAGAGAATCACAGAGCCGCCACTGACTGAAGTGTTTGGGTGGGGACAGGCTGGTTGTGCTGGAGGCCCGGGTCTAGAGGCACTGCCCAGTGAAGAACAGCAGAGGTGGAGACCTGTGTGGAAAACAGTCCCGCCACTTATAAGTATGGCTGAGGCGCTGTTCGGCACGAGGAGGGGGTCGGGGGTTGGGGCGGTCCTGTGTCACTCCCCAGCCGCTACGCTCTCTCCTGAGGGCAACAGGAGTCAGGAGTCATGGCTTTAGAGCAGTAAAATGGCGGCCTGCCCCTCCCTCTGGGCGCTCTGCCTCAGGGAAGTGCAGAGCTGCTACTGCCCTGAGAACCTAGGAGAGGAGTGGCTGGGGTGCCAGGTCGGGAGGCGCTGCCCAGTGATGAGTAGTGGGGTTGGGGACACACGTGGAAAAACTGGCTGCTTTTCCTTGAGATAGCTACACTGCTGAGCATCTGCATTAGTTCCTAATCACTGCACACCCTCCAGATCCTGAGGGCAACAGGAGAGAAGGTTGTGGAATAGCAAAAATGGCAGCCTGCCTCTCTCCCTGGGAGTTCCATCCCAGGGAACTGCAGAGCTGCTCTCGGCCAGAACTCAGGCTGGGATAGGGGGGCCTCACTAGCATCCCAGGCCGGTGGGCCTTATCCTGAAAGAGGCAGTGGAGGCAAGGCCTGCAGTCCATCACTGTTCAGCCCCTGGATTTGGCACCTTTCCTGGGGGCATGCTAGCCTCCTCTGTTGCCAGAGCTGCAGCCACTGGTGCCGAGGTGCCAGGGGATCCAATGCTCCCAGGACTCTGCATGTTCCTGAGCAGCAGCTTTGCCCAAACTCCACGTAGCCCTCTGTGCGGGTCTGGAGACCTCAGTAGAGGGAGTTCACGAGGGATCTCCTGAGCCCAGAGATGTAAAGGTCCATGGCAGTAGTGTGGGTCCCAGGGGACTCTGACTCATTCACCATTTCCCCGTGTTAGGGGACCTCCCCTGGCTCTGTGCCATCCTCAGGTGGGCAGTTGTCCTGTGTGGATATTTGTTTTCCATGAGTCGCATTGTTTCCTTGATAAATCTCAATGTGTCCACCTGGATGTTCCAGTTTAAGAGGTAATATTTACTCGCTGCTCTTTCTCCTCTCCTTGAGAGAGGTGCACATTAGCTGCTTCTAGTCAGCCATATTGGCCGTATGATAATAATCTTAAAATAACTACTGACTTGTGTGATAGAGGCTGATGTTTCTTCAGCAGATATGTGTCTCCTGGTTAACATGTGGTCAGTTATATTACTACCACTCCACTAACATTTTATGTAAGTTACATATTCTTTGTCAATGTTCTTGAGAAACAGAAACTCAGTATTTAATTTGCCATTAAGCATACACTTTCTTTTAATCATTGATGCTGAAAAGACTCATTGAAAAATTAAATGTGTTAATAGTAAGAAGATTAGTAAGCAGTTGAAATTTTACACCATGACAAAAAAAAAAAAAACCATGTAGCAAGAGTGTCAGAACACACACTCATCAGTACTCTACAGCAGGACTGCTTAAGATTTTGTAGCCAGGTGGCAAGATGTGTTCACAAATTTAGAGAAGGCTACTCTTCTGTCTCTTCCTGTCCTCGCACTGCTCTGTCACCTTGAAGATTTGTGGGATTAAGAACACCCTTAGTATTGTTGCTGGCATTCCTGTGTCAGAAATCTATCAGAAATGACAGATGTAAAGCTTCATGTAGCAGTTTTATAAATAAAAATAGCAAACAGTTTTTGAGTGTTTATTGTTTCAGGTAAAGTATATACTTTCTTTGACACTGATCTGTTAACTGAAAATAATAAAAACAGTTTCCCTACCTATAGTTTTACTACTAATAATAATAATAGTAATAATAATAAGCATATATTGAGTATGCATCAGACATTTTATGTGCATTAGTTTATTTAATTTCCTTTATTATTTTCATTTCCCTCTCTTCCTTCAGTTTCTGTTCCAACAACAGTAAATTTCCTCTTCCCCTTATAAAAACTTTCCACTGTGTATACAACACAATAAGCAGTTTACCTCCCTTTGTTCTGAAACAGATGGCATCTTTTCCCTGCACAGCCCCATTTAAAGATTTGGAACCTGAGGCGTAGGAAGATTAAATTACTTGTTTATGTGATGTGGTTAGGGAAGAGTAAGGATTATTTTACCCCAAGAGACAGGCTTCAGAGCCCACATGCTCAATTACTTAGCTAGACTCGTTCCTGACCTTAAGTGTCAATAATTGGAAGTTCCAATCAATGAAAATTGGAGTAAATAGGATAGGAAAATCAGTGGTGACCAAAGCTTCAAGACTGATTTTAAGCCTCCTGTGAGAACCATTTTGTGGGTTTTCAAAAATAATTGGAGGATACTTTGAGGAAATGTTGTTTCCTGATTGAGAAATCCTTTGTAATTTGAATATGAGTGTAAAGGGAATTTCATTTGTATCTACAGGTTGGAGAGGCTTGGGTTGGGTTGTATGGAAATTAATGGGTTTGGATAAGATGATTCCTAAATTTCCCATGTGAGCTAATTACTATTCTGTTTCTAAGACCTCTTAACATGGTACCACAAACATTGCATTTTAGTATTTCTGTTTGATTGATGCAAATAAAAGAACAGGTGATGTCCTAAAACCTGTATTCTATTTTGTTTCTAGTAGAAAATGACTTTCTAAAAGGTGCTTCATTTTTGATGATTCTGTTTTTGCATTCTGCATCTCCAGGCTGAGAAGAAGAGAATGTGTCACACAATATCATGTGGTGCATATTTAAACATAAAGCCAGGCTGTGGAGAATATGCCATGTGTTCCTGCTAATATGGGAAATTAGGTTCATCAGGAAAAAATCAAACGCCCACTGGGCATTCAGCACACTAACCAGGTTGTAACCTTTTGTTCCAGTTGATCCAGACAGCTGTGCTGGGAACCAACCAGGAACATTGGAGAAAGTACTGTTAAGATGCATTATACTCCTAATGATACAGGGCAGAGCTTTGCTAACCTAAGGCAATTTTAGGAGTTTGAGCAGGCTTTAACACTCTAAGCATTATGGGACAAAGAAAAACTGAATCACAATTTTTTAATAAGATACTATAATATAGAGAAAATGCACTACATGCCTATCAAAACCCAGCCCCTCCAAATGTGTTTGTTTAAGATCCTTTATCTTCATTTCTCAAAGATTTTGCTTTTCAATGATGCCCTCCCTCTCTGTGGCATTATCAACCTCTCACTTACTACTGGCTCATTCACGTAAGTGCACTGACATGCTCTATCAACTTAACAAAATAAGTACATTTCTCTTGACCCCACTTCTTCCTTCAGCTGTCATTCTATTATTTATCTGCTTTCTTTAATGACAAAATTTAATGACAAAATGGTATGTGTGGTTTCCATTTTCTCAGAATCAGTTTGCCTTGTTTTTTTATTATGAAATATTTTAGGTGCACAGAAACCTATAGGGAATAATATAGCATACATAACTATGCATCCACTCTGCAGCTTATCAAAGCTTAATATTGGACATTTGCTCCTTTTTAAAAGAGATAAAACCTAAGAGATGGATTTGAAGTCTGTGTATTAGTCTCTGATTCTATTCCATCCTTCATTTTAAAAAATCAAACAAAAATCAACAATTACTGTGGTTTAGTATAAGTATGCCCATGTTTTCCCCCTTATTTTTAGTACACATATATGTAGACAATGTGTGTGTGGGGATAGGTATGTGTATACAAACACACACACACACACACACACACACAATAATTAACCATTCTTGCGTGGTAGGAAAAATCTCCATACCTTATTTCCTTGTTTAAAATCATTTTGACATTCTTTTATTATTATTATTATTACTATTATTGTTTTTTCTCTAGTCTTTCAGATAGATTTTAGAATCAGCTTGCAAAGTTTCATCAAAAATCAGTTGGGATTTAGATGGAAAATACACCGCAATTACTGATTTACTTGGCAATAATTAGCATCATTAGCAACTGGAGTGTTTCTATTCATGAACATGACAGATTTCTATACATATTTGCATATCAATTTATGTCTTTTACTGAAGTTTTATAATTTATGCCGCAAATATATTGAATCTTTTAAAGGTATTTATTCCTAAGTATATTATAGCGTTTGTTGCAATAGTCAATTGCTTCTTGTAAAAAACTACATTTTATAATAATATTGGGGCTCAGAACACAATACTCTAAAGTATAGCACCTTGGTATGCTGAAAACTTTGAACTGAAGGGGATTGGAAGGGCCTCAGAAGTAAGGTCTCTCTAACCTTCTCCTCTCTGATCTTCTTCTGCCCTCCTGTCTCCTGATCCTTGTTTTTCTCCAAAGCTAGTCATAGTTATCAAAATTCCTCATCCCATGGCAGGTCATAGAAACTAGACCTCCTCTTCGCTAAAGCAAGCCCTAAAACCTAGAAGGTTACTCTCTTCCTTCTCCCTTAAAGACTCTAGTTCCAGAGACAGGGTTCTTGCCCCATACCTAGGAGGAACAAATTGTACACAGAGAGGCCAAGAAGAATCTCAACAGAGAAGCCTTGCTGGATCCGTTGCTCCTCTGTCTGTTACCATTAGATCATACCCTTTGTCCAATCACATTTCTGCATGGCTGTCTATTATTCATTGAACCTAAGTATAAAAATAGACAGTATTCCCTGGGTTTTGGGGTCTTCAATTCTGAAGGCTCCTGCATCACATAAAACTTTGTTAAATAAATTTGTTATGCTTTTCTCTTATTATCCTGTCTTTTGTTACAGGAAGGTTGTCAGTGACCCTCGTGATGGGTAATAGAAAAGGCATTATACCTTTTTCACCCCTAAAATTGTTTCTTAATGTTATTTAGGAATTCACTGATTTTTATTTTTAACTAAACTTTATACTTTGAGAAGTTTTAGTTTTATAGAAAAGTTGTGACTATAATATGGAGTTCCCATATATCCCACACAGTTTTCCCAATGTTGACATCTTACATTAGAATGGTACATTTGTTATAACTTGTGAAACTACATTGATATATTATTATTCACTAAAGTTCATACTTTATTCAAATCTCATTTACCTAATACCATTTTTTTCCATTTGAGGATCCAATTCAAGATACCACATTATATTTAGTCATCATGTCTCCTTGGCCTCCACTTAGCTATGACAGCTTCTTATACTTTCCTTGTTTTTGGTGGCCTTGGTAGCTTTGAGAATTACTGGTCAGGTATTTTGTAGAATGTCTCTGAATTAGGAGACATTATGTGAAGTTTTTCTCATGATTAGAATAGTGTTATGGGTTCTAGAAAGGAAGATCATAAAGGTAAAATGCCATTTACATTAAATAATATCAAGGGTATATACTATCAACCTCACTTATCACTGATGATGATGATGATATTGAACACCTGGCCAAGGCAGTGTTAGGTTTCTGTACTCTAATATTACATCACCCCCTCCCCGTACTTTCCATATTCTATTCTTTGAAAGGACGTTTCTATATGCAGATCTTCACTTAAGAAAAGTTATATTCTACTTCCTTAAAGGTGGAGTAGAACATAAATTATTTGGAATTCTACATATTGTCTCCTCTCATTTATTTATCTAATTATTTACTTATATCAGTATGAACTCATAGACATTGATTTTATTATTCAGTATATAATGAACACCACTGTATTTTACTGTTCAAATTTTTCCAGTTTTAACCATTGGAAGCTTTCTCAGCTGGTTCTTGTGTTCATGGGATGTACCCCCAACATTTTGGAATTTTTTTTATCACTTCCTTACTTTCTGATACTACAAGGTGCTCTAAGCTCATATATTTCTTGAACCAGCACTTCCATGGAAAACAACTTCCACTCATTTTCAAAGTTACATAAGTCAATAGTTGTTGTGAGGTTGTTTAATACATTTGGAATACAATAAGATTGTTTTGTCACATTCTGCATTCTATCCTGGTATCTCCTAGACCTCATACATAATTTTCAACATTTGTATACATTGAGGTTGACTCTGTTCTATAAAGCTTAATAAGTTTTGATAAATGCATATTGTCATGTGTTGACCATAACAGTATCATGCAGAATAATTTTACTACCTTGAAAAATTCCCCATGCTCCTACTATACAACACCTTTCCACACCTTCCCTGAGCTGGCAACCACTGTTGTTTTTACTGTCTCTATAATTTTGCGTTTCCCAGTATGTCATATAATTGGAATCATCCAGTTAATATCTTTTTCAGCTGGTTTCTTTCATGTAGCAATATTCATTTAAGATTCATGTATGTCTTTTTATGGCTTGATGGCTCATCTCTTTTTATTAGTATGTAACATTTCGTTGTATAAATGTAAAACAGTATGTTTATCCATTCATCTACTGAAGGACAACTTGCTTGCTTCTAGTTTTGGCGATTATGGATAAATCTGCTATAAACACTGACATTTTTGTGTGGACATGTTTTCAACTCATGATCATATGGCAAGGGTATGTTTAATTTTATAAGAAAGTGATAAACGGTTTTCTAAAGTGACTGTACCAATTTGGATTCCCATCAGCAATGAATGAGAGTTGTTGCTTCATATCTTTGTCAGCATTTGGTGTTATCGATGTGTTGGATTGTAACCGTTCTTTCTTTTTAAATTGATTTTGTGCACAGGAATTCTGTTTAACTCTTTTAATATTTGTGATAGTTTGCATTCCAATTTTTCTTTATTTCCTATATAAATAATTATATAACTGTATATAGACTGACAGTGGATGATGTTAGTTTTCTTTTTCCTTTTGGTCCTTATAAGTTTAATTTTTCTTTTATTATTGAACTTTCTAGTACTTCCATTTCAGTGGTAAATAGAAGTAGTGATAGTAAACATATTTTAAACTAAGGGTGTTTTTTAATGTTTAACAATTAGATATCATGTTTGTTGTGAGATCCTTATTGATACACTTTATTGGGTTAAAAAGTTTCCTTAATCTGTGGTTTGGTGAGTTATTTTAATCATGAAAAGATGTTTAATTTAATCAATTATTTGAATCTATTGGAACTGTAATATAATATTCTCCTTTAATCTGTTGATGTAGTAATTACAGGTAGTTTATTTTCTAATGGTAAACTATTCTTGAATGTCCAGTAGAAATTCAGTTTAACCATAAACCACTTTTTAAATACACTGCTGATCAGCTAATATCTTATTTAGAACTATTATTGCATCTATGTTTATAAAAGTGCTTGGCCTTAAATGTGCTTTTCTCTTACTACCCTTGTTAGATTTTGATGTAAACGATATATTGTCCTTACAAAAGTTTATTTGATGCTTTGCTATTTTGTCTATACTTCAAACTTTTGTAGAAGATTGATACTTTCTCTTATTTAAATATATAACACACCTATTAATATGTCTGGTAATAGTGGAGAAATATTTCTGGGCAGATTTTTAATTTATTGATTCAGTTTCTCTAATGCTTACTTGAATAGTTGGAATTTGAAAAAAATTAAAACTATTTTTGAAATTTATATTTTCTAGGAAATGTCCATTCAATCTAAATTTTCAAATTTAGTAACATAAAGGTTTTCATAATTCTCTATTATATGTAATCTGAAATCTATATATGCCTGTTCTTTTTATGTCTAGTATTTGTACACTAAATTTTGACAACACTTTGTCTATTTTATTATCTTTTCAAAGGATTAGCTTTTAGTTTTGTTAATTCTGTCGTCTCTTTTGTTTAATATTTTAAAAGTACCTGCAATATTTATCTTTATCTTTACTTTTACCAACTTTAGTTTCACTCTGTTGTTCTTTCTCTAACTTCTTGAGTTAGACACTGTAACAGAGAAAGCTAACTTTCCACCAAATATTTGAACTCTCATAGTGTGGACTTGCTGACATGTCCAACTAAGGACAACATTAACCTGTGACTCATATGCATAGTTTCCTCCAGTGGAATGTCAGAAGAATCGATGAGTTTAACTTTTGGTCCAAGTAGGTTAATTATCAGATACAGGGTCCACTATACACTTTCCTTTTGTGTGCTTTCCAATAGCAATTTTCTGACACCAACTGGCTGTTCTACAATTCAATTTAATTTTGACACTCAATAACCAGAGTTAGTGCAGATCACCCATGTTAAGGGGAAAGTCTTTCAACTCTGACACTAGCTACCCAGAGTTAGTGTAGATCCCACACGTTAAGGGGTCCCACAAGACTGTTTCCACTTCAGACTCCAGGTGCACGTTCCAGGTTCCCAGGTTACCTGCACTTCTGTCTGACTTGGCTAAAAATTCATTAGGTCCTACAACTCCCTTTCATGTTGTTTGATAATTTGCTAGAATGACTCACAGAACTCAGGAAAGTGCTACGTTTACAATTACTGGCTTATTATAAAGAATACAAACAAATGACTCAGTGAAGAGATCATAGGATGAGATACAGAAGAGTCCAGAACATAGGAGCTTCTGTTTCTGTGGAGTCTAGGTGTGTGCCCTCCCATTACATTGATATGTTCGCCAACGAGAAAACTCTTTGTGCCTCATTATTCAGAGTTTTCCTAGTCCCTCTCCCATACTCAAAGGTTGAGGGTGGAGCTGAAAGTTTCAGCCTTTTAATATCACATGGTTTTTTTTCCTCTGGCAGTCAGCTGCCATCCTGATGCCATCTAGTGCTCCCCAGCATGAGTCAGCTCATTAGCATTAACTTAGGTATAATCAAAAGGAACTTCTATGAATAACAATAGACCCTCTTATCCTTCAGGAAATTCCAAGGATTTTAGGAGTTCTATGTGAGGGACCTAGGACAAAAATCAAATACATTTTTGGAATACCTTACTTTGTCTACAGGCTGAATGAACATTGAAATTACTATGTTAACATTTCAAGGTGATGAAACCACAGGGTGGAATTAGCTGAGATCCAGAGTCATCTCCTTGAGGACAACTGTCTAAATTGATTATATGGTCATGTGAGTGAGAAATAAAAACTTAATTTTGTCAAGGAATTTTGATGTGAGCACTGTGACAGCACATTATTTTTTCTGCCTTTTTTGTCTGTCTAAAAGGAAAAATTTTGACTAAATTGAAGAATCTAAAGACAGAATTTGGGGTAAACATGTAACCATAATAGGTTCATTGACTGATGCATGTGGCAAGTCAATACGCTGAGACACTGGGTTATAGCATAGAAAAAGATTTAACCATAGGGTCACAGAACAAGGAGATGGGAGGGAACCTCAAATCAATCTCCCCAAGGAGTTTGGGGCTAGGGCTCTTAAAGGTTTTGAAATGGGTGCAAATGTGGATATCGTTGATTGGTCAAGAGTGCAGGTGAAGTCACGGGACAGGGAGATGAAGAAACTATATTAATTATTCCAATTCTGTTCCTTTGTAAGAGTCTTCTAGCTGGTTGGCATCAGCTGTTTCACTGATATTTGGAATCTGAAAAATAATTTAAATTCTTAAACAAAAGTATTGTGATTCTAATGTCAGAAATCCTGTCTATAGGAACAATGTAGGTGCAAATATTCAGTATCTATCTAGTGACTTTTGGTTATAAGGAAGTAGATTAAAGTGCAGCCTGATTAATGCTTAATTGTAACTATACTTCTGTCCAGAATTATTGTTTACCCTGTGAGGATGGCTTCAAATGCAGCAAAAAGAAAGCAAGGAGGGAAACCCAAGAAAATGGAGAGCCACAGAGGAAAAGGCCTACAGTTTGCATAAAATAAGCATTATAAATGTGTATGTTTCTAAAAACAGCCTCCAAATATACAAGGCACAATTGACAAAATTATTAGTTGGTGTGTGGTGGCATGCACCTGTAGTCCCAGCTACTCAGGAGGCTGAGGCAGGAGGATCTCTTGAATCCAGGAATTTGAGGCTGTGGTGAGTCGATTGTGCCAGTGCACTGTGGCCCAGGCAACAGAGCAAGACCCTATCCCCAGAGAAAAAAAAAAAATGACAAAATTAAAGGAGACATAGACAAATCTTCAAACTTTGTTGGATATTTAAAAACCTCTCTTTAGTTGACATGAGTAGTCCAAAGGTGAATAAAGTCATGGAAGAACTAAAAACACTATAAACTATCTTGACCTAATTAATATTTATACATTACACTCTAAAACTGAAAGACACATTCTTTACAAGTATGTATGGCATGTTCCCCAATATAGACAATATGACTGGTGTCAGGCCTCCGAGCCCAAGCTAAGCCATCGCATCCCCGGTGACTTGCACGTATATGCCCAGATGGCCTGAAGTAACTGAAGAATCACAAAAGAAGTGAAAATGCCCTGCTCTGCCTTAACTGATGACATTCCACCACAAAAGAAGTGAAAATGGCCGGTCCTTGCCTTAACTGATGACATTGTCTTGTGAAATTCCTTCTCCTGGCTCATCCTGGCTCAAAAGCTCTCCTACTGAGCACCTTGTGACCCACCACTCCTGCCTGCCAGAGAACAACCTCCCTTTGACTGTAATTTTCCTTTACCTACCCAAATCTTATAAAACAGCCCCACCCCTATCTCCCTTCACTGACTCTCTTTTCGGACTCAGCCCGCCTGCACCCAGGTGAAATAAACAGCCACGTTGCTCACACAAAGCCTGTTTGGTGGTCTTTTCACATGGACGCGAGTGAAAACTGGCTATTAAGCAAGTTGTAATACATTTTTAAGGTTTGACACCATACAGAATGTAATGTAGTTTAACATGATGGAATTACATTAGAAATTTATAACAATATGAAATCCAGAAAATCTCAAATGTTTGAAAATTAACTGATATACCTCTAAGCATTTCATGGGTCAAAGAATTGTTGTATATGTTCTTTCCATTTTAATTCAGTTATAAAGATTTCTAATATCTATTATCACATATTTTTGGGTCCTGGAGATGTTTAGAAGTAGTTTCTAAAACTTCCAAATAGGCAAGCTTAATTTTTTAGGTATCTTTTTGCCCTTGCGATATGGTTTGGCTGTGTGTCCCCACTCAAGTCTCATCTCAAATTGTAATCACCATAATCCCCATGTGTCGAGGGCGGGACCTGGTGGGAGGTGATTGCAGCATGTGGGCTGTTGCCCCCATGCTGTTCTTGTGATAGTGAGTGAGTTCTCACTATCTCATCTGACGGTTTTTTAAGCCTCTGGCATTTCCTCTGCTCACACGTCTCTCTCCTGCTGCCATGTGAATAAGGTTCTTGCTTCCACTTTGCCTTCTGCATGATTGTAAGTTTCCTGAGGCTTCCCCAGCCATGCAGAACTGTGAGTCAATTAAACCTCTTTTCTTTATAAATTACCCAGTTTCAGGCAGTTATTTATAGCAGTGTGAGAAAGGACTAATACAGTTAATTGGTACAGAGTTAGTGGGGCACTGCTATAAAGATACTTGAAAATGTGGAAGCAACTTTGGAACTGTGTAACAAACAGTCAGAGGTTGAAACAGTTTGGAGAGCTCAGAAGAAGAGAGGAAGATGTGGGAAAGTTTGGAACTTCCCAGAAAGTTGTTGAATAGTTTTGACCAAAATGCTGATAGTAATGTGGACAATGAAGTCCAGGCTGAGGTGGTCTCACATGAAGATGAGGAACTTATTGGTAACTGGAGCAAAGGTCACACTTGCTATGCTTTAGCAAAGAGACTGGTGGCATTTTGCTCCTGCCCTAGAGATCTGTGGAACTTTGAACTTGAGAGAGATGATTTAGGATATCCGGTGGAAGAAGTTTCTAAGAAACAAAGCATTCAAAACCTGACCTGGATTATTCTGAAAACATTCAGTTTTATGCATTCACAAAGAGATGGTTTGAAATTGGAACTTACATTTAAAAGGGAAGTAGTGCATAAAACTGGAAAATTTGCAGCCTGACAATGCAATAGATAAGAAAAACCTGTTTTCTGGGGAGAAATTTAAGCCAGCTGCAGAAATTTGCATAAGTAACAAGGAGCCAAATGTTAATGGGGAAAATGTCTCCAGGGCACATCAAAAATCTTGATGGCAGCCCCTCCCATCACAGGCCCAGAGGCTTAGGAGGAAAAATGTTTTCCTGGGCCAGGCCCAGGGACCCTGCTGTTCTGTGCAGCCTCAGGACATGGCACTTGCATCTCAGCCACTTCAACACCAGTGGTGGCTAAAAGGGGCCAAGGTACAGCTCAGGCCATTGCTTCAGAGGGTGCAAGCCCCTAGCCTTGGTGGCTTCCATGTGGTGTTCAGCCTGCGGGTGCACAGAAGTCAAGAATTGAGGTTTGGGAATGTCTGCCTAGATTTCAAAGGATGTATGGACATGCCTGTATGTCCAGGCAGAAATCTTCTACAGGGGCAGAGTCCTCATGGAGAATCTCTGCTAGTGCAGTGCAAAAGGGAAATATGAGGTTGGGGCCCCCACACAGAGTCCCTACTGGGGCACTGCCTAGTGGAGCTGTGAGAGGAAGGCCACCATTCTCCAGACCATAGAATGGTAGATCCACCGACAGCTTGCACCCTTGCCTGGGAAAGCTGCAGGCACTGCCAGCCCATGAAGGAGCTTCTTAAGGCCATGGGAGCCCACCCCTTGTGTCAGTGTTCCCTGAATGTGAAACATGGAGTCAAAGGGAATCATTTCGGAGCTTTAAGATTTAATGACTTCCTTGTTGGATTTTGGACTTGCATGGGGCCTATAGCCCCTTTGTTTTGACCAGTTTCTCCCATTTGGAATAGAATATTTATCCAATGCCTCTACCTCCATTGTATCTTGGATATAACTAAGTAGCTTTTGATCTTACAGGCTTCTAGGTGAAAGAGACTTGCCTTGTCTCAGATGAGACTTTGGACTTGGACTTTGGGTTAATGCTGAAATGAGTTAAGACATTGGGGGGCTGTTGGGAAAGCATTATTGGTTTTGAAATGTATAAAGGACATGACATTTGGGAGGGACTGGGGCAGAGTGATATGCTTTGGCTCTCTGTCTCCATCAAAATCTCATCTCAAATTGTAATCACCATAATCCCCAAGTAAGTGTCAAGGGTGGGATGATTATATCATGGGGAAGGTTTCCCCCAGGCTGCTCTCATGACAGTGAATGAGTTCTCACAAGATTTGATGGTTTCATAAGGGTCTGGCATTTCCCCTGCTTGTACTTCTCTCACCTGCTGCCATGCAAAGAACGTTCTTGCTTCCCCTTCACCTTCTGCCATGATTGTAAGTTTCCTGAGGCCTCCCCAGCCATGCAGCACTGTGTCAATTGAACCTCTTTTCTTTATAAATTACCCAGTCTCCGGCACTTCTTTATAGAAGTGTGAGAATGGACTAATATACCTTGGTTTATAATTATATTCTATGGGGCACAGAGAGTATGGTCTGTATCATATACTACTTTATACTATATGGGATATGCTTTATACTATATTAGGATATGCTTTTGCATCCCACACATGTTGAATTTTCACAAGTGTCCCCTATGTGCTTGAAAGAATGTGTCTTCATAAATTAAATTTGCCAAATTCTATGTACGGACAAGGAAATATTTTATGTATGTTTTTCTAATATTCTATATGCTTACTAAATGTGTGTTAATGTTAACTTTTCTTTCAATGTGGTACATATATAAATTTCTCCTATCTTGTTAACTTTTGCTTCATATTTTGGACTATACTATTGGATATGTATGAACTCAATGTTACTGTAGCTTCTAAAACTTTTATCTTTAATAATTCATAGTGTTCCAAGAATACAAACACATAAATTAGGGAAAGGACACCCTCTTCAATAAATGGTGCTGAGAAAACTGGCAAGCCGCATATAGAAGAATGAAACTGGATCCTCATCTCTCACCTTATGCAACAATCAACTCAAGATGGATAAAAGGCTTGAATATAAGACCCGAAACCATAAAAATTATAGAAGTTAACATCAGAAAAGCTCTTCTGGACACTGGGACACTGGCTTAGGCAAAGAATTCATGACTAAGACCCCAACAGCAAATGTAACAAAACAAAAATAAATAAATGGAACCTAATTAAACTATTATAAAAAGCTTCTGCACAGCAAAAGGAAGAATCAGCAGAGTAAACAGACAACCCACAGAGTGGAAGGAAGTATTCACAAACTATGCATCTAACAAAAGACTGGTATCCAGTATCTACAAGGAACTCAAATCAGCAAGAAAAAGAACAATCCCATCAAAAAGTGGGCAAAGGACATGAATAGACAATTCTCTAAAGAAGATATCGAAACAGCCAACAAATTTATGAAAAAATGCTCAATATCACTAATCATCAGGAAAATGCAAATTAAAATCACAATAAAATATCATCTTACTCCTCCAAGAATGGCCATAATTAAAAAGTCAAAAAATAGATCTTGGCGTGGATGTGGTGAAAAGGGAACACTAGTAACTAAACTGGTAAACTAGTTTTACTAGTACAACCACTGGGTTGTACTAGTTACTTCCAAGATACAATGGAGGTACAGGCCTTGGATAAATACTCTATTCCAAATGGGAGAAACTGTCCAAAGCAAAGGGGCTACAGGCCCCATACAAGTCTGAAATCCAACAAGGAAGTCATTAAATATTAAAGCTCCAAAATGATTCCCTTTGACTCCATGTTTCACATTCAGGGAACACTGATGCAAGGGGTGGGCTCTCATGGCCATGCAAAGTGGTTGTAAACCAGTACAACCACTATGGAAATGCCTTAAATAACTAAAAGCAGATCTACCATTTGATCCAGCAATCTGACTACTTGGTATCTACACAAAGGAAAAGAAGTCATTATATGAAAAAGAAAGACATATGCACACACATGTTTATAGCAGCACAATTTACAATTGCAAAAACATGGAACCACCCTAAGTTAAGTGCCCACTGACCAATGAGTGGATAAAGAAAATGTGATATGTAGACACCATAGAATACTATTCAGCAATATAAAGGAATGAAATAATGTCTTTGGAGGAACTTGGATGGAGCTGGAGGCCATTATTCTAAATGAAGTAACTCAGGAATGGAAAGCCAAATATCATATGTCTTCACTTAAGTGGTGGCTAAACTCTGAGGATGCAAAGGCATAAGAGTGATATAATAGACTTTGGGAACTTGATGGGGGAAGCTAGTAGTGGGGTGAGGGAAAGACTACAAATTGGGTACAGTGTACACTGCTCGGGTGATGGGTACACTAAGATCTCAGAAGTCTCCACTAAAGAACTCATTCATGTAACCAAAAACCACCTGTATCCCCCAAAACTATTGAAATAAAATAATAACAATAAATAATAATTTACAGTATGCCTAATGTAAATTCTAATAATGCCACCTCCTCTAAGGTTTATTTATTTGGTCTGATATTAATACAGACACATCACTATATTATTTGTTTACTATTTACTGGGCTTATCTTTTACATTTCTTTCAATCTTGCTCTCACCTATGTTTCAGGGTGTCTCTTACGGACAGCATTAAGCTAGATTCTTTTTAGACCGATCTGCCAATCTGTTAACTGGTGAATTAGGTCCATTTATATATGACTTGATTACCGATAAATTTTTATTCAGTTCTATATCTTCCTATAGACCTCGTATTTTTTTTTTTTGCCTCTCTTTCCCTGCTCTCTCTTGTATTAATCATGTTCTTCCTCTTTCCTTGTGTTTCCTACTGATTTGGAAGTTATACATTCTGTTTCTGATAGTGATATCAAGGGCACTCAACTACCTCTAAGTTTCCTCCCCAAAATAAAATATATGACAATAATCTCTCTCTTCTTACACGTTATTCTTAAATACTTTTTTCTCTACCTTATTTAATACCTACATATTTGTATCTATTATTTTTCAAATTATTGTTTTATATAGGGAATACTTATTTAGACATGTTTATGTGTGAAGTTTCTTATATGTCTTCCTTATAAAAAGCTTATACACAGCAAAAGGAATAATCAGCAGAGTAAATGCACAACACACGGAGTGGGAGAAAGTGTTCACAAACTATGCATCCAACAAAGGAATAGTATCCAGAATCTACAAGGAACTCAAATCAGCAAGAAAAAAAAAACAAGTAATCCCATTAAAAAGTGGGCAAAGGACACTTTCTGCCTTTCTGAAGTATACATTTTAACAATTTTTTTTAGTAAGAAAGAAAGAAATTATTGGTGATAAACCCTTCCAGACTTTTACTGGGATTGCATTTAATTCTTACACTAGACTGATAATTTAAATGAGTCTAGAATTATATATTAATATTCATTTATCACCATCAGCCCCATTGCCTTAGTTTTTCAGGTCTCTGTTCAAATTTCACCTTATCAGTGAGAGCTTCCCTAACCACTTTATTTAAACAGCATGTTTCCACCACACCCCACAGTGTTTTCAGTCTCCTAAATTAGGCCTTATTACCACCAGCATCTTTTGTATTTCTTAATTCTTTACTGTCTATCTTTTTCCCACTAGCATGTAATATTCTTGCAGAACTGTACTTTGTTTTGTTGACTCCTACATTCCTAAAAACCAAGAATAGTGCTGGGCACATAGTAGGAAATCTATACACAGTTGTTGAATGAACGACTGAGTTCTGCTTGTGCTATTGAGAAGTATACTGTCAGTCCAACTTTCATTCTTTTTCTTTCTGGTTGCTTTTTAAATCTCTGTCTTTGGTGCTTTGCATTTTAGTTATGACTTGCCTCTAACATATAGCTTTCCTATAACTCTTTACTCTCCTATAACTAACTTTCTTTTCTCTCTCTCTCTCTCTCCCTTCCCTCCCCTCCCCTCCTCTTTCCTTCCCTTCCCTTCCTCTTCTTTATTTCTTGGACTTTTATGACCCCTGAATATGAGCATACCTATCTTATTGAATTCTGGAAATATCTCACTATTATTTCTTCTAAATATCATTTTTTCCCATTCTTCATTTCTTCTTGAAATCCTATAAGATGAACACCAGATCTAATAATTCATTTCTTGGTGTCACTTAATGCCTTTTTAATACATTCTATTAACTTATCTCTGTAGTGAATTTTGGCAATTACCTAAGAATGGAATGTTTTCCATTCCCTGAATTCTCTGTGTCTAATTTGTTGCTTGCACAATCTATCTTTATTTGTGCGCTGATCATTGTGTACTTTTTCATTTTAGAAAATTTAATTTATTTAAAGATGTCCCACTTTTACATAGTGGTGTCTTTTTTATTACATTTTTATTTATATTTTCTTAATTCTTTAAAGAATACTGTTTTGTAATTTCTATAATATTGTTCTTGAGAGTCTGATTCTGCTGTTTGTTATGTCACGTGACTCTTCATGATGGATGATTTTCTTAATCGTTATATACTTTTTCATTCTAATCTCATATCTAGTAGGTAGTTTTCTGTGCTAACCCTTTGTTAAATGAATTGAGAGTGTGATCCCAGAGTGTTTTTGTTTGTGTGTCTTACAAGTGTCCTATAGTTATCATGGGGCATAGGTTGTACTAATATTCCAACTTAGGAATTCTTGTGTCATGTATATAATATATATTTTGACCTCCAAACCACATATGTAGGCCCATGTTCTCAAACTCTCAAAGACCAACAAGATTCCTTGTTGTTTTCTTCTGATATTGAGTGGATTTTCCCTATTTCAGCCTTTCACTGAGGTTATGACCTTTGATATTTACAATCAGAACCTCCTAAACTTTTTACATCATGTTGCACTTACTTAGAAAACTAAAACATTTCTAAGGTACACTAAGGTAAGTCCCACTACACTCTGGTTAAGAAACTCTGTTCTCAGTTCATACAGAGGTCTCTGTTCTAATTTATTACTTTTGAATGAACAAACCCTGTTTTTTTGTCATATGATGCCATTAAAACCCTCAAACTCTGGCCAGGTGCCGTGGCTCATGCCTGTAATCCCATCACTTTGGGAGGCTGAGGCAGGTGGATCATGAGGTTGAGAGCTCGAGACCATCCTGGCCAACATGGTGAAACCCTGTCTCTACTAAAAATACAAAAATTAGCTGGGTGTGGTGGTGCACACCTGTAGTTCCAACTACTCAGGAGGCTGAGGTGGAAGAATCACTTGAACTCAGGAGGCGGAGGTTGCAGTGAGCCGAGATTGCACCACTGCACTCCAGCCTGGCGACAGAGCAAGACTCTGTCTCAAACAAAACAAAACAAAACAAAAAACCCCTTCAAACTCTATTGGTATTGTAACCCACATTCCTCCTCCTCCCCACCCTCACCATCCAAGGGTGGCTGCTGTGTTACTTATGTGCTTAGATTCTGATTATCAATTCATTTTGTTTTGGCATTGTTATTGTTGTTCCTTGGTCCTTTCTGTTTCCTTTAAGCCCAATCATGTATGTAAAATAAGAATTTATTTGGCATTTCCATGTACTTGCAATGTGAACGTTTTGGGTTAATCTTATTTAAAATTGATGCTACAATAAAGTATTCCTTCTTCTTCAACCTGTTCTAATCTTGTCCCATCAATATCATTCCATTATAACTGCTTTTACAAAGTGTAACAATTGGTTAGACTAGGTTATGCTGCAGTAACAAACAATTCTGAAATTTTAGGGCTTGCCTACAACAAACATGTTTTTCTTTTCTTTTTTTTTTTTTGCACATTACATGTTGGTTGCATGACAGCTGAGATTCTGCATCATGTCCTCTTCATTCCAAGAATTAAGCTAAGTGAAACACCTATCTGGAATATGGTTATTCCTGTGGTAGAAGAAAAGGAGGAGGTATATGCTTCTGCTCACACCTATGACGTGAGAATATTTAATTCCCCACGCTATAGGGAAGAGACATAGAAGGTACTGTAATGAAAAACAAACAGCTAATATTTGGAACAACTTAATATCCCACACTCTAAAACACTAGATTATAAATGATCTCTGTTGTTAGTTCCCATAGATACACTTTAGACCTCCTTTTTCTCAGTTTATCACCATTATTTGATACAGGGCATGGCTCCCTATGTCTCAAAGCAGTTTATATACATGGCTTTGCTCGGTACCTACTTTTCTGTTTTTACTCTAGTAATCAAAGTATATGTGATATAACTGGTAGAATCTAACACTTTAAAGATGACCACATTTAAAAATTATTTTATATTAAACAAAACATAAACTTATCTTCATCATTCTAAGAAAACACATACATACTCAATTCTCTCTTTTAATGTTTGATCAATGAATTGAAAATAAGCAGCTGTCATGTTAATAATATCATTCTCACTAATGCCTGACTTTTTAAAAATGTATTTATTTTAGATAAATTTGGAAATGTATGTATTTAGAGACATTTATTTTAAAATGTATTTATTTATTTACCATGGGAACTGAAACTTTTCAAAGTGCTTAGCCCTATGTTAAAAGTGGTGTGAATCATCTCAATTCATCTCATTTATCCTTTTAATTTAATAACAGGCCTTATATTAATAGCGTATTTGAAACCATCACTTAAAATGTTTGTTTGCTTCTGCTTCTCCAGTAAGCATAAGCTCAAGGTGAGATTAAACCATTTCATTATTGTAATAAATACAGCTTTGGAAAAGTTGAAAGCACCAGGTTATGTACCTTATTTGACCAGGTATACAACATAGTTCTTTCAAAATGCATTTGTGTAAACTCATGCATTCAGGGTTTACAAGACTTATAAAATAGTATAATTTGGCATAGTTTAATCACATTAATACAAGTTGCCTTAGTCCATTTTATATTGTTATAAAGGAATAGTTGAGGCTGGGTAACTAATAAAGAGGTTTATTTAGCTCACAGTTCTGTAGGCTGTACAAGAGGCATGGCACCCATGTCTGCTTGGCTTCTGGTGAGAGCCTTTTTGCTGCTCAAAACATGGCAGAAAAGGTCAAAGGAGAAGCAGGCACATGTGAAGAGGACCCAAACCCGGATGTTTCCTGGCTTTATAACAACCCACTCTCAAAAGAACTATTTCATTCCCATAAGAACCAACCCCATCTTGTGAGAGCAAAAACTCAGTTACTACCAAGAGAATGGCACCAAACCATTCATGTGGGATTCACTCCCATTACCCTAACACCTCCCACTTATCCCTGCTTCTCAACACCACCACACTGGGTACGAAATTTCAACATGAAATTTGGTGGGGACAAACACACCATATCCAAACCATAGCATAACCTTAATTTTTTTAAGTTATGTTTTGTTAAATGAATAATTGATTGTTGAAGATTCTGACATCTCAGAGAACTTCTCTGGAATATCAACAACCACATACTCGTTGATATTTTAAGACTGAAAACATTACTTCTCAGAAAGATATGGGCTAGATACCCTTGAAATCAAATTATCACCATTACCAATTAGAACAAGTTTTATTCTCTTTCTTCTCTGTGTTCCATATCCCCAAAATAAAGGAGTTCGATTAGATGATCTTCAAAGCCTTTTCCAGAAGCTTCTGCTTTTACTTGCTATAAATGTCCAATGACATTTATCATTACTTTTGGAAAGCTAAGTCATAGTTGGTTATGAATGGAGCCATTGTCCTTCCCAAATGATATGTCCCAGATTTCCTTTCTTTCAGTCACTCCCTGGTGGTCAAACTCCATGGGAACAGTATTATCATTGTGGTCTGAAAATGCTTTTCAATTGCCTAATTTACAACCAGTAACTGGGCTTTGGAGAAGGAAGCACTCTCTTCCTAAATATGCTAGTTTTATACATTTAAAAAACTTAACCCATAATGCATATGAAACATAGAAGAGTATCATCAGATGGGTACTAAACTGAATGTCAGGGAGCCTAGTTCTAGTTCTGCCACTGAACTATGTAACTCAACCAAGGCAATAACTGCCATTAAATTGGTGGGGTACCTTATTTCAGAAGTCTTTATTTAGTTCTAAAATTTTACATAAAATATGTCACAATTTGCTCTCATCTTTATGTTGGCAAAGTCAAGAAAAAAAGTCGGAAAGGTTAAATTTAACGAAAGGTTAAATTTAATGAAAGGTTTGGACACTTTTAGGCTTCTATGGCACTTACTTACATTTCCGGCCTTCTGGGATTTTTGAGACCCTACATTTCATACATGCTTAGTTCACTTAACCCCCTGGGACTTTCAAACAAACATTTTATATGTTCACTAGGAAAGACTTTTCATTTCATTTTAGAGTTTTTGGTTGATTTACATTGACTTAGATCTTCTTTTATTTTTGTTTAGACTTTATAATAAACTGTTCAGATTGCTTTTGATTAGTATAATCCATAAATTTTATCTGAATCTTGTAAGCAAGTTTAGACCAGCTGGAAACTGATTGATTAGATTTTAACATTCTGCTTCTCTCACAGCTGCCTGTGACAGGGGCACAGCATTAATTATGATTAGTGATGAGATGAAGGTAGAGAATTGTTAGGAAAATGTCAGACATTGTGAGGATGCCTGATAGAGATATTTCTTGTTGAAGCTTGAAAATAAGAAATGTCAAGAAATGTAGTGATGAACAAATTAAGATATTATATGTATGTATATATTACATATAATGGCACCTTTAAGACCTAGATCATACTAACCACTCACATTGGATGAGAAGTTGCATATTCATATAGCAATACCTCTACTTGGTGCAACTTCCAGGAAAGCTGTTTTTGAAATTGACTATAAACTTTAGGAAATGATTACTAGTGGACGTCATTATTCTTATTGGCAATGAAGTTGTTAATGTTGCCATTCCTGTCTATATTTAAATTCCAGGAGGTTAAAATTTAGCTGGTATTTGTTGAATTATTATTTTCTTATTTCCAACTATTCCTAAGCTATGCAAAGGTTCTCTTTCAGTATTTGTAATATGCTCATATAAAAAAAGCTACAGAGGTAGAGTATGTATTTATGTAAACAAATAGGCTTGGCTGTCTTGCTATAGGGAAGTTTGAATGTTCATAAGCATTTGAATGTTCATAAGCATTTCACTTTTTTTTCCTTTTTTTTTTTTTTGAGACGGAGTCTCGCCCTGTTACCAGGCTGGAGTGCAGTGGCGTGATCTCGGCTCACTGCAACCTCTGCCTCCCAGGTTCAAGCAATTCTCCTGCCTCAGCCTCCCGAGTTGCTGGGACTACAGGTGCCCGCCATCACACCTGGCTAATTTTTGTATTTTTAAGAGAGACGGGGTTTCACCATATTGGCCAGGTTGGTCTCGAACTCCTGACCTTGTGATCCACCTGCCTCAGCCTCCCAAAGTGCTGGGATTACAGGTGCAAGCCACCGCGCCCGGCCAAGCATTTCACTTCTTTTTTTTTTTGAAACGGAGTCTGGCTCTGTCGCCCAGGCTGGAGTGCAGTGGTGCCATCTTGGCTCACTGCAAGCTCCGCCTCCCGGGTTCACACCATTCTCCTGCCTCAGCCTCCCGAGTAGCTGGGACTACAGGCGCCCGCCACCGTGCCAGGCTAATTTTTTGTATTTTTAGTAGAGAAGGGGTTTACCATGGTCTGGATCTCCTGACCTCGTGATCCACCCACCTCAGCCTCCCAAAGTGCTGGGATTACAGGTGTGAGCCACTGCGCCCGGTGCGTTTCACTTCTTAATAAAATCAGGAAGCAGTAGTGTATAGTAATGACTAGCTCTGATGTTGAAGTGCTTAGGTTCTAATCTTACTTTTGTTATATACTGGCTATGTGACCTTCACAAATTGTCAATTTTTTTTTCCTGATATCAGTTTTCCATTCTGCAAAATGAACACTCTAATGCAAGATTTACCGATTAGGGTCATTGGAAATAAATGAGTAAATGAGGCAAGATGGCAGAATGGAAGTTTCCACCAATTGTCCCCCCACAGGGAAACCAATTCAACAGGTATCGATACATAAAGGCACCCTCATAAGAACAAAAATCCCACTCTAGAATCTGAGGGTGGGAATTAAGAGCTTGAAAATCATATAGTCCAAATATCCATATGACATTTGAGTCTGTTCTGTGACATAACTGTCAAGTAGATTTGCCTGTGCAAATCACTCTAGTGATTGGGAAGTCCCTATTGACCCAGTCTATTCAGAGGATTTAGAATCGTACTAAAGCCAGGTGAACACTCACAGTACCTGGTTTAAACTTCATATCACTAAAAGTGGCATGGAAGAGGTAGCAAAACAAAGTATTGAATCAAAGATGCCACCCCTCCCCTATATGCCCTGGCAGCAGTAGCGTGGTGCAGATGGTGTTTTTGTGTGTTGTGGAGAGGGAGATCACATCATTTTTGAGGCAATGAACTCAGTGCTGCCCTAGTATAACAGAAAACAAAACCAGATCAAACTCAGCTGATGCCTGCCCACAGAGGGAGCATTTAAACCAGACCTAGCCGGAGGTAAATCACTGATCCCAGCAGTTCAAACTTGAGTTTTCACAAGCCTTGCCACTGAGGACTAAAGGGCTCAGGGGCACAAAATACACTTGAAAGGCAGTCTAGACCACAAGGACTGCAGCTCCTAGGTAAGTTCTAGTGCTGAAATGGGTCCAGAGACAGTGGACTGGAGGGGAGGGGCACATTACCTACTGGGACACTAGCTCGGGTGGTGAAGGGAGTGCTGGCATGACTTCTCCTCTAACCCCAGGCTTCACAGCTCATGGCTAAAAAAGAGTTCCCTTCCCTCTACTTGAGGAGAGGGAGGAAAGAGTGGGAGGACTTTGCCTTGCATCTTGGATACTGCTCAGCCACAGCAAAATAGGGCACTAGTCAGAGTTATGAGGCCCTATTTCCAGGTCCTAGCTCCAAGATAACATTTCTAGACACCCTTAGGCCAGAAGGGAACCCATTGCCTTGAAGAAAAGAACCTAGTCCTAGCAATATTCATCACCTGCTAACTGAAGAGACCTTGGGCCATGAATAACCAGCAGCAATATCCAGGTGTTGAGGGCCTTGGGTGAGACTCTGAGACTTGCTGGCTTCAGGTGAGACTCAGCACATTCCCAGCTGTGATGGCTAGGGGGTGATACTCCTTCCATTTGAGAAAATTGGAGGGAAAAGCAAAAAAGGTTTTGTCTTGCATCTTAGGTACCAGCTTGGCCACAGAGGGGTAGGGCACCAAGCAGGCACAGAGGGGTAGAGCCCCAATTCCATGATTTGGACAGCATTTCTGGACCTTCCCTGGGCCAAAGGAAAGCCCACTGCCCTGAAGGATGGATCCCAGGCCAGGCAGCATTCACCACAAAATGACTGAAGAGCCCTTGGGCCTTAAAGGAATATCAGTGATGGTCTGGCAGTACTCTTCATGGACCTCTGGTAGTGGTGGCCATGGGGTGAGGCACCTCTGCCTCTGGAAAATGGAGAGAAGAGTAAGAAGTACTCTACATTTTTTGACTCAAGTGCCAGCTCAGCTGCAGTGCAAAAGAATACAAGGTAGACTTCTAAGGATTTTTTTACTATAGTCCATGGCTCTGGACAGCACCTCTGGACATGCCCAGGGCCTAGGAGAACTCACCACCCTGAAGGGAAGGACATAGGCCTGCCTGGCTGCTTTGCCACCTGCTGTTTATAGAGCCCCAGGATTTGAGCGAACGTCGGCCATAGCCAGGGAATGGTTACAGCAGGCCTTGGGAGACACTCAGTGCTACACTAGCTTCAGGTCTGACCCAGCGCATTCCTAGTGGTAGTGGCCACAGGGGTACTTGTGTCACACTACTTTCAGTCCAGGTGGCTCAGAACAGAGAGATAGAGAGACTCTGTTCATTTGAAAGAACGTGAGAAAAGAAAACAAGAGTTTCTGCCTGGTAATCCTGAGAATTCTTCTGGATCCTGTCTAAGACCATCAAGGCGGTACCACTATGAAACTGCAAGAATCACAGGATTACTGAGCTCAGGGTGCTCCCTAAAGCAGATAGCTCTTAGATTTTTTACACCCCAATTTTTTGAATATCTGGAAAATCTTCCCAAGAAGGATGAGTACCAACAAGCCCATACTGAAAAGGCTGCAATAAATACCTAACTCTTCAATGCTTAGACACCAACAAGGATTGACAACTGTAAAGACCATCAAGGAAAACATGACCACACCAAATGAAGAAATTAAAGCACCAGAGACTACTCATGGAGAAACAGAGATATGTGACCTTTCAGACAGAGAATTCAAAATAACCGTGTTGAGAAAGCTCAAAGAAATTAAAGAGAACACAGAAGGAATTCAGAATTCTATCAGATAAATTTAACAAAGAGATTGAAATAACTAAAAAAGAATCAAGGAGAAAATCCAGAGATGAAAAATGCAATTGACATATTGAAGAATGCATCAGAGTTCTTTAATAGCAGAATTGATCAAGAAGATGAAAAAATTAGTGAGGTTGAGGACAGGCTACTTGAAAATACACAGTCAGAGGAGACAAAAAAGAAAAAAGAATAAAAAACAATAAAGCATGCTTACAGGGTCTAGAAGATAGCTTCAAAAGGGCAAATCTAAGAGTTATTCGCCTTAAAGAAGAGGTAGAGAAAAAGATAGAGGTAGAAGATTTATTCAAAGGGATAATAACAGAGAACTGCCCAAAACTAGAGAAAGATATCAATATGCAAGTACAAGAAGGTTATTGAACACCACGCAAATTTAATCCAAAGAAGACTACCGAAAGGCATTTAATAATCCAACTCACAAAGGTCAAGGATACAGAGAGAATTCTAAAAGCAGCAAAAAAAAATAGAAACAAATATCACACAATGGAGTTCCAATATGTCTGGCAGCAGACTTTTCAGTGGAGAAATTACAGGCCAGGAGAGAGTAGCATGACATATTTAAAGTGTTGAAGGAAAAATCTTTTACCCTAGAATAGCATATTCAGTGAAAATATCCTTCAAACATGAAAGAGAAATAAAGACTTTCCCAGACAAACAAAAGCTGAGGAATTTCATTCATACCTGTCCTGTCATACAAGAAATGATAAAGGGAGTACATCAATCAGAAACAAAAGAATGTTAATGAGCAAGAAGAAATCATCAGAAGGAACAAATCTCACTGGGAAGTAAACAGAGAAATACAGAATGTTATAACACTGTAACCATGCTGTATACACTACTCTTAAGTAGAAAGACTAAATGATGGACCAATCAAAAATAATAACTACAACATTTCAAGACATAAACGATACTAAAAGATAGAAAAAGAAACAACAAAAAGCTAAAAAGCGATGGGATGAAGATAAGGCATAGGGTCTTTTGAATTTATTTGTGCTTGTTTATGCAAACAGTGGCAAGTTATTATCAACATAAAATAACAGGTTATAAGATAGGATTTTTAAGCCTCATGGTAACCTCAAACTAAAAAACGTACAACTGATACACAAGAAATAATAATAATAATAAAAACTAAATCATATCACCAGAGAAAATCACCTTCACTAAAAGGAAGACAGGCAGGAAAGAACAAAGAAATAGAAAACCATAAAACAACCAGAAAACAAATAAGAAAATGGAAAGAGTAAGTCCTTACTTATTAATAAAACGTTGAATGTAAATGGACTAAACTCTCCAAATAAAGGACATAGAGCAACTGAATGGATAGAAAAACAAGACCCAGTGATCTACAGAAGAAACACATTTCATCTATAAAGACACACATAGTCTCAGAGTAAAGGAATGGAAAAAGATATTTCTTGTCAATGACAACCAAAAAAAGAGTGGGATCAACTATACTTATATCAGACAAAATAGATTTCAAGATAAGAACTGTAAGAAGAGACAAAGAAGGTAACAATATAATGATAAAGGGGTCAATTCAGCAAGACAATATAACAATTGTAGATATATATGGACCCAATTCTGGAGCACACAGATATATAAATCAAATATCATCAGAGTTATATATATAGAGAGAGACAGACCCCAATAAAATAATAGCTGGAGACTTCAACACCCCACTTTCAGCATTGGACAGATCTTCCAGATAGAAAATCAACAAAGAAACATCAGACTTAATCTGCACTATAGATCAAAGAGATCTAATAGATATTTGCAGAACATCTAAGCACTGCAGAACACACATTATTTTCCTCAGCATATGGATCATTCTTAAAGATAGGCCAAATGTTAGGTCACAAAATTAACCTTGAAACATTCAAAAAATTGAAATAATATCAAGCGTCTTCTCTGACCACAATGGAATAAAACTAGAAATCAATAACAAGAGGAATTGTGCAAACGATACAAAGACATGAAAATTAAACAATATGCTCCTGAATGACCAGTAGGTCAATGAAGAAATTAAGAAGAAAATTTAAAAATTACTTGAAACAAATTATAATGGAAACACAACATACCAAAACCTGTGAGACACAGTGAAAGATATACGAAGGGGAAAGTTTATAGCAACAAGCATCTACATCAAAAAAGTAGAACAACTTCAAATAAACAACATAATGATACATTTTAAAGAACTAGAAAAGCAAGAGCCAATGAAACCCAAAATTAGTACAAGAAAAGCAATAATAATGATCACAGCATAAATAAATAAAACTGAAATGAAGAAAATAATAAAAAATATCAATGACACAAAAAGTTGGTTTTTTGAAAAGTTAAACATAATTGCCAAACCTCTAGCCAGACTAAGAAAAAAAGAGAGAAGATACAAATAAATAAAATCAGAAATGAAAAATAAGACATTACAATGGATACCACAGAAATTCAAAGGATAATAAATTAGTGGCTACTATGAGCAACTGCATTCCAGTAAATTGGAAAAACGAGAAGAAATGGATAAATTGCTGGACACAACCTACAAAGACACATAAATTGCTAGACACATACAACTTTGTAGGTTGTTTGCGTCTAGTTTTAATTTTCTAAAACTATAAAACACTGATGAAAGAAATTGAAGAGGTTACCAGAAAAAATAAAAAAATACTCTATGTTCATGAATTGGAAGAATCAATATTGTTAAAATGTCCATACTACCCAAAGCAATCTACAGATTCAATGCAATATGTATCAAAATACCAATGACATTATTCACAAAATAAAAAAAAATCCTAAAATATATATGGAACCACAGAAGACCAGGATAGTCAATACTATCCTAAGCAAAAAGAACAAAACTGGAGGAATCATATTACCTGACTTCCAATTATACTACAGAGCTATAATAACCATAAGGGCATGATAGTGGCACTAAAAACAGACACATAGGCCAATGGAACAGAATAGAGAACCTAGAAAAAAATTCATACATCCATAGTGAACTAATTTTCTACAAAAGTGCCAAGAACACACACTGGGGAAAAGACAGTCTCCTCAATAAATAATGCTTGGAAAACTGGATATCCACATGCAGAAGAATGAAACTAGACCCCTATCTCTTTCCATGTACAAAAATCAAATCAAAATGGATTAAAGACTAAAATTTAAGACCTCAAAACATGAAAGTACTGCAAGAAAACTTCAGGGAAACTCTCCAGGACATTGGTCTAAGTAAAGATTTCTTTAGCAATACCTCATAAGCATAGGCAACCAAGTTAAACATGGACAAATGGGATCATATCAAGTCAAAAAGCTGCACAGCAAAGGAAACAATCAACAAAGTGAAGAGACAACCCACAGAATGGAAGAAAATATTATAAACTTCCCATCTGACAAGGGATTCATAACCAGAAAAATATAAGGAGCTCAAACTCTATAGGAAAAATTCTAATAATCTGATCCAAAAAGGATGAAAGATTTGAATAGACATTGCTTCAAAAAATACATACAAGTGACAAACAGGAATGTGAAAATTTGCTCAACATCAGTGAGGTTGCTCAACATCATCGATTATTCATATGCAAATCAAAACTACAATGAGGTATCTATTCACCCCAGTTCAAATGGTTTGTATCCAAAAGACAGGCAATAACAAGTGCTGAAGAGGATGTGGAGAAAAGGGAACTCTTGTACACTGTTAAAGGAAACGGAAATTAATACAACCACTATACAGAACAGTTTGAAGGTTCCTCAAAAAACTAAAAATTGAGCCACCATATGATCCAGCAATCCCACTGTTGGGCATATACACAAAAGATAGAAAATCAGTATATTGAAGAGATTATCTGCACTCCCATGCTTGTTGCAGCACTATTCACAACAGCCAAGATTAGGAAGCAATGTAAGTGTCCATCAACATATGAATGGATAAAGAAAATGTGGTACTTATGCACAATGGAGTAGTATTCAGTCATGAAAATAATGAGATCCTGTCATTTGCAACAGCATGAATGGAACTGGAGGTCATTATGCTAAGTGAAATAAGGTAGACACAGAAAGATATACATCACATGTTCTCACTAATTTGTGGGATCTATAAATCAAAACAATGAAACTGATGGATATAGACAGTAGAAGGATCGTTGTCAGAAGCTGGGAGGTTTAGTGGGAATAGGGGGAGGATTGGGGATGGTTAATGGGTTAAAAGAAATAGAAAGAATGAGTAAGAGCAAGTATTCGATAGCCCAGCAGGGTACAATAGTCAATAATAATTTTGCATTTAAAAAGAACTATATTTGGATTGTTTGTAACAAACAATTGTTTGTAACACAATGGATAAATTCTTGAGAGAAGGGATACTCTATTTTCCATGAGTTCATTATTACGTATTGCATGCCTGTTTCAAAACATCTCTTGTACCCCATAAACAAATGCACCTACTATTTACCCACAAAATTAAAAAAGAAGGCACTGTAAAAATGACTTTTCAGAATCTATCCTATTTAGCTATATGAATGCAGTGTTATTTTCTGAGACTGAGAACCCTTGGAGAGATGGCTTTGAGCAGAAAGCTCATGATTCGGCTTGGGAGATATTTTTATTATGAGATGCCTTGGAGACATCCAAGTAGAAATGTCAAGTAGATAGTTAGTTAGATGTGTGTGTTGGAACCTAGAGCACAGAATGGGGCTGGCAGATTCAAATTTGTGAGTCATCTTTTTCTCTTCAGTGATGTAAGTTAAGTGTGTGGGTGAAATACCCTGGGGAAAGATATAGAGTGAGAAGAAGAAGACCCAAGAGGAAAACTGAAGATTCAACATCTATTCCAACCCCACTCTTGGGTTCCTGCTTGCCAAGCAACCTTCAGATTCTGGAGTGATATGACTACAGTGAGAGCACACATCCTGAAGATATCAGGTGTATCAGATGTCCTCGTTCCTGTGCCAACCCTTTTACAAAGTGGATTCAGAAGGTTTTTCTGATAATGATGTAAATTCACATGTACAGGTGCACATGAAGGGAGAGTATGCAGATCTTGTGAATGAGACAGTTACATTTAGTGTTTTAAATGAATAGATGATTGATATTCTGCCACTGTCTCACTTTCATGCATTTCAGATATGGAGAGTCAGTCTCTCAGAACCACACAGGAGAGTCTCTGAATCTTTTTCACTTTCTCAGGGTCACGTCCAGCCTGGCTCTCCCTCCTACTCACACCACTTTTAGCTTTCATATCCTTTAATTACTTTCATATCCCAACGTTCAATCTCCATGAAACCAAAAGCAAGGTCCTGCTATCAAGAGATTCTGGAGAGACTGTGACTTTGAAAATGATGGAAATGATCAGAACTAGGCATTATGTGGCATTCTAAGGAATCAATATGGTGATATGGTTTGGCTCTGTGTCCCCACCCAAATCTCATCTCAAATTGTGATACCCATAATCCCCAAGTGTCAAGGGCAGGACCTGGCAGGAGGTGATTGAATCATGAGGGCAGTTTCCCCCATGCTGTCCTCATGAGTGAGTTCTATTGAGATCTGTTGGTTTTATAAGTGTTTGACAGTTCCTCCTATGCACGCTTTCTTCTCTCTCCGGCTGTCTTGTGAAGAAGGTTCTTGCTTCCCCTTCACCTTCTACCACCAGTGTAAGTTTCCCGAGGCATCCCCAGCCATGTGGAACTGTGAGTCAATTAAACTTTACTTCATAAATTACCCAGTCTCAGGTAGTATCTTTATAGCAGTGTGAGAACGGACTAATACACATGGTATGAGTTAATAATTGCCTGGCAGTAAAGACACAATTTAAGGTAGAGATTCTGAATTTGTAGAAAACAGGGACGGCACTGTTACATGACTTTGTTCCTCAAAACCAGTCAAGCCTTAATGTCTTATGCTTTCTTGACACTCTTTTTTAGAGAAAAGCAGTTCAGAGTTTAACACTTAACAGTGATTGATGTTTACAGTAGGAAAGCATAAAGAAAAAAATCTATTATATTTTGGTTCATACTTTTATTATCAAAGCCATTTTGTTTAAAAAGCTTCTTCCTTAATTTCGGTTGCTAGTAAATGAACACATGCTCATGTCTCCATAATTATGTTCATATTTGACACATTTTGCTTTTCAACCCTTTTGTTTTGCTGTCATGTAACCAAATTATGTCTTACAAATAAAAGCATAAATAAAAGCAAAAAATAAATGAGTTAATGTTTTAAAAGAACTTAGATAATATTGTGCTATGATGGGGCTCGGGCCACAGGACTCCAAAATATGGCTGTAGTAGACCAGAATATACCATACCAAAATATACTTCTTTGGTATATTTCAAGCTGGCTATTTTGAGAAACTGCAGACACAGGAGTAGCTCTAAGCAGCTGCCCTTATGTTAAAAATTTACATCTATAAAAGACATTTTCATTAGTAAAAGATGTCTTTAGCAGGAACAGAGCTGCTCCAGACAACTTTTAACACCTGAGAAACACTTATCTACATAACAAAGCAAACTTTATTAACCATATGTTTTCTCCCCTCACCCTCCCATAATTTGTCTCTACCACCTTCCAGAAACCCTAAGTCCCTATTCCTTTTTGTAGCTCAGGATGCTATGTAAGCTTCAGTCATCTGGTTCTTTTTTGAGTCTCATATTTTTGGGGACTCTCATGTGTATGCATGTAATTAAAACGGTTTTACTTCTGTTAATCTGTCTTATGTCAATTTAATTTGTAGCCCAGCCAAAGAATGTAGGATGGTGGAGGGAAGCTCTTTTCCCCTCCCCTACAGTTACAACAGACTTGAACCCATTGTTACCATTCTTTTTAGAACAAAATATTTTACAAGGCAGTACTACTCTTCTGCTTATTGATACATTATTTAATGCCAAAAAAATTCTATTAAGCAAAATAATTGAGGCAGACGCTACAAACAATCACTCCAATAATATTGTTGGGGCTCATAAAATGATACCCCAAAGAATGGTTCTTTGACATGCTCAGTACTTTAAACTGAAGAAGCTGCCTCAAAACAAAGGTCTCTCTCTCTGACCTTGCCCCCACCATCTCATGCCCCTCTTGTTCTTCCAAATCAGTTAGAGGGGCTTTCTCTGAAGTTCCCTTATCGGACTCAGAAAAGTTCCTCCAGAAGGAACGCAATTGTTCTTCCAACCCATTCATCTCCCCTAGAAACTCCCTTATTCTTGCTTTAAAATTACATACATCCCCCACTTCCTTTTTTCCTATGAAGAGGACATTTAGGCTTCAGTCATCTTGCCCTTCTTTGAGTGACTCTGGTGCACGTGCATGTTAATTAATTTGTATGCTTTTTCTTCTGTTAATCTATTTTCTTTTTGTTTTATAGACTCAGATTATTGAACTTTAAGGGGGTGGAAGAAAACTTTCTTTCACTGCTACAATATCAAATAAATACTTCTTCCGTGACTCCAAATAAAAATACAAGGCTTTACTGCAGCCTTATTATCTTTTTGGATGGAAAGGTTTGACATTAGGTTACTTTTTAAAATTAGTAATAGATATCCTCCTTCTGGTTACAGGGTGAGAGCAGGTAGATTTGAAAGTTGAGCTCTGAATACAAAAGAGGTGAAGGGAGACCATGAAGTAATACTCAGAGTAGGAGCAGGTGAGGAAGGCTGAATAAGTATAAAGTGAAATATTTAGGAAAATAACAATTTGGATGTTAAAAATTACTAAGAGGAAATCTGTTCTTGAGTTTTTTCACAGTCCTTCAAAAAGCAGTCGTAATAGTATTCGGATTGTGGGAATTAAAGTTTTGTGGGTATACACCAAGCTAGTTAATATAAATTTTATTTAATCACCACAACTTAAAATTATTTTATAATACATGAGATAAATATGTCTGGTTTATATTGATTGGCAGAGAATCCTTTCACATGTGTGCATGTTCTAAAAGTGCCTAGGTTAAATATGTATTGTGCAAATGGCAGCTCTGGCAGATAGGAGCAAAGATTTGAAACTGTAGCATTAAAGTGACTATGGAAAAAATGTCTCCTCTTGGTTGTTTTCATTTTTAGTTTGTGGAGCAAATAGATGTAATATTACCCCTTGATAACATTAAACACAATGTTGTGCCATAGAATTCCTGAAGATATGTAGACTTCTAATAGCCCCAGAGAGAGTAGAGACAGAGTAACCTTATTCTGATTCAATTTACCTTTTCAAATGCTGACCATTTTAGAAGTTTGATGTTTCCAGATTTTAAAATCATAAACTCATATTGCTAGTGTAGTGTTTTAAAGAAAGTAAATTTATGTTACATGCATGCACATGAAACCACTAATTCTTGAAGTATACAAGTATGTGGAGAAGTAATAGATTGTGTGCATTTTGGAAAATGGATAGCTGATAACCTTGTAAATGCATTAATTTACTGCATGTATTTTGACAAACTGAATGGTAGTCCAGAATTTTTCTTGTCATTTATTTTTATGAAACAATAGTTGAAAATGGCTTTCCTCAGAGAACATGTCTACTAAATTAGATCATTAGTGAAGCCATACCACCATTTTTCTCCCTAGCCCCAACTATTCCCCAGTAGTTGGCCACTGGATTATTTGGATTACAACTTTTAGACATACTACCACATTCCATCTGCCACAAGGTGTTATTTGGGGAATGATTATTTCAAATGTGTACTGTGTGTCTCTTGGCTATATAATTTTTTCACGTTAGCAGGTTGACCATAATTTGCCATCAGTTCAGTCAATATATTTTTGTTGGACAATCTCTGTGCTTTAAAATGTACTGAGTTGCAGATTGTGGAAAAAAAAAGTAGGGAAAGGAAAATAAATATCTGGTTTCATCTTTGCTCTTAAACATCTCACAACCCGAAGATACATATATGTAATACTCAGTGTGGTAGAAAGAATTCTAAATTGGCCCTCATGAGTTACTCCCCCTGGTGTGACTCCCATGATTATGTAACATGGCATAAGAGATTTTGTAGATTTAAGTAAAGTTACTAATCAGCTGACTATAAAGTAATTATATTATTGAGGTGAGTCTAACATGAGTCCTAATAACACGAGTCCTTTAAAAGCAGAACATTTTCTCTGAATAGTAGCAGAAAGAAAAGTCAGAGATTTAAAGCACATTGGAAATAAAGGCACTACAGCTCACTTGCAGATGGAAAGAATCACATGGAGAAGACCTGAGAGCAGCCTCTGGTTGCTGATTAACAGCCAGAAAGAAAAGAGGCACTTTAGTCCTACAACCACAAGGAATTTAATTATGGCAACCACTTGAATGAGCTTGGAAGAGGACCTTGAGCCAAATATGAGAATGCAGCCCCCACTGACACTTAGATTTCTGCCATGTGGCACTCTGAGCTAATAATACTGCCAAAAATAAAGCCAGTGTAGCTACAGTATGGTGGGCAAGGACAGAAAACTGGACAGGACCATGCAGAGACAGGTAGACCATGGTAAATCAAAGAAGGTTGTTGGAGTTTTGTTGTTGTTTTTATTGTTTTTTAAAGCAACAGAGTGACATCATCAAATTTACATTGCGAAATGGTGACTGAGATTGCTGATTGGTTGTGAGGGATGGTGAGTTGAAAAAGAGAAATTACTTCGGAGCTATTGCAGCAGACCAGGCAGGTGTTGATAGTGGCTTAGACCAGGGTGATGATAATATTAGACACCCATGGAAATGGTAAGATAATAAATGTGTATTGTTTTAAGCAGCTAAGTAGTAAAATATGCCTAGTGAGAAAAGTGTAAATAATGACATGTGAGATATTGTATTGTTTTAAGGTTTTGAGAGACAGGCTTTATATAGAAAGTTGCATTTGAAGTGGGCCTGCAAGAATTTGGACTTGATTTTAACAGGTAGGCTTATGGGGAAATAATACCAGGTCAGTAGTTCTCAAATTTGGCAGCATATAGATTACAGGTGTGCTTTAGAAATACTCATGGAAGAGGTTTTTATTTAATTGGCCTGGGTGCTACCTAGACACTGAGATTTTAAAAAATTTCTAATTATTTTCATCGTGTAAGTAGGGTTGAGAATCATTGTTTGAGGCAGAAGGAACAGCATGAACAAAGGCATGGAATAGAATGAGTTTATTGAAGAGTGAGTAATTCCATCTGGTGAAAACAAAGCAAATATGAGAAACTAGCAGATATAAGATCGTAAAGCGGGGGTTTCAAATTAGCATCATACAGGCACATTGCAGCTCTAGGCATATTTTTGACAAGAAAAGTAGTTTTTTTTTAAATTATTACCCATTTGAGTTTTTTATTCATTTAATTTGAATACACTCAGGCAAGCCCTCACTGTTCAGTTTGTCACAGGTCTCACCACTCACTGTTTTATATGTGGCATGGTTTAATTCATGAGATGAAAGAAATTTTTGGTTATTGTTCACATAAAGTCCCTGGGAATGGGCTTGAAAGGCTTCAAGCAGCAACTGGTATACCACATTCAATCAGGTTCAAGAGCAAATATTTGTTAAACATCTATATGTGCCAGACGCTGCGCTAGACTCTAAAAAATAATCAATGGCAAAATGATTTTTAATTTCATTTCATCTTGTCCTGATGAAGCCTGGAGTCTAAAAACTTATATAATTATTTATGTGTATATATATATATATATATATATATATATATATATATATACACACACACACACACACACATATATATACATATATAATTAACAAATAGATAAAGATATGATTATAAAGTGAGATTTTAAAAACATATGATAAAAACCACAGGGTGATATGGGAGAAAATAATGGGGAAAATCTGATGTACAGAGATAAAAGAAATATCTCTGTAAAGAAATGACATTTGAGGCCTCATGAAAGAGTGAGCCACATGCAGAGTGGGGGAAGTAGTGTAGTAAGGAAAAGGAGAGAAAGCAGCTTGTACAATTACTCTGAGACAAAGAAGGTCTTACCTTATAAAAGGCTAACATTGGTGTGGAACAGTGGACAAGGAGGACAGTGGTGAGAGAAAACTGGGCAGGATCATCCAGGGAACATATTTATTAAAAATTGCATTCAGATTACATTGGTAAGCCAAATAAGGTTGTTTATTTATTCTTTTTTAAAAACCAGGTAGTGGCTGGAAGCGGTGGCTCATGCCTGTAATCTCAGCACTTTGGGAGGCCGAGGTGGGCAGATCACCTGAGGTCAGGAGTTCGAGACCAGCCTGGCCAACATGGTGAAACCCCATCTCTACTAAAAATACAAAAATTTGCCAGGCATGGTGGCATGCGCCTGTCCTCCCAGCTACCCAGGAGGCTGATGCCACGTGGATAGGCCACGTTTACTAGTCACTTGCCTTTAGGATTCTTACTAGTGAATCAAGTTCAAGTTCCTGTATTGCTGGAATTATAGAAGATACTTCTCTGAGTGGATATCTTGAAGCTCTCTTTCACTTGAAGAGAAAAATGCCTCAGCACTACAACTCTTTAAAAAAATCTTCTCAGCCAACTCCTTTAACTAATTAATTCTTAATCTTGTTTAATGTAGCCTTTTTATTTTTCTGAGACAGAGTCTTGCTCTGTTTATCTAGGCTAGAGTACAGTAGTGTGATCACAGTTCACTGCAGCCTCAACCTCCCATGCTCAAACAATTCTCTCACCTGAGCCTTTCAGGTAGGTGGGATCACAGGTGCACACCATCACGTGGCTGATTTTTAATTCCTTTGTAGAGACAGGGTCTTGCTCTATTGTCCAGGCTGGTCTTGAACTCATGGGCTCAAGCCATCCTCCCACCTTGGCCATAGCAGATTCCTAACTACGGTGGCCACGGGGAGAGACTCCTTCTGCTTGAGAAAAGGAGAGAGAAGAGTAAAGGGGGTTTTGTGTTGCAGCTTGGGTACCAGCTTGGCCATAGTGGGGTAGAGCAAGTGGGTATCTGGGGTTCCCAATTCCAGGCCTTGGCTCATGGACAGCATCTCTGGACCCTTCCTGAGAGAGAGGAGAACCCACTGCCTTGAAGGGAGAGACCCAGTTCTCGCAGCATTCACTGAAAGTTGACTGAACAGCACTTGGGCCTTGAGTGAATATCTGCAGTAGCCTGTCAGTACTCGCTGTGGGGCCGCAATGATAGCCATGGGAAGAGAGGAGACTCATTCAGCTTGAGGAAAGGAGAGAGAAGACTGGGAAGGACTCTGTCTTGAAGCTTGGGTGCCAGTTCAGCTGCTGTAGAATAGAACACCAAGTAGATTCCTAAGGTTCCTGGCCCTGGCTCTTGGACGGCATTTCTGAACCTGCCCTGGGCCAGGGTGGGAGCTTGCTACCCTGAAGGAAAGGACAAAAGCCTGCCTGGATTCACCACCTGCAGACTAAATTGCCCTTGGGCCTTGAATAAACATTAGTGGTAGCCAAGTAGTGGTTGCACACAGGCCTTGGGCAAGATTCAGTGCTGTGCTGGATTCAGGTCTGACCCAACACTGGCTCAGTGGTGGTAGCCACAGGGGTGCTTGTGTCATCCTTCCCCCACCTCCAGGCAGCTCAGCACAGAAAGATTCCATTTGTTTGGGAAAGTGTAAGGAGAGATGACAAGAGTCTGGGCCTGGCAACTCAGGGAGTTCCCAAGAACACCAAGGCATTACCCATACGAGTCTTCAAGAGTCATAGCATTGCCCATATGAGTCTTCAAGAATCACAGCGTTACTGGACTTGGGGTTCCCCCTAATGCAGATACAATTGCAGTGATCAAAGACTTAGATCACAAAATTCAATTCCCTTTGAATATATAGAAAGACTTCCCAAGAAAGATGGGTACAAACAAGACCAGATTGCAAAGACTACAATGAATACCTAACTTTTCAGTGTCCAAGCATCAAAACCATCCAGAAAAATATGACCTTACCAAACAAACTAAATCAGGTACCAGAGATCAATTTTGAAGTGACAGAGATATGTGACCTTACAGATAAATCAAAATAGCTATTTTGAGGAAGCTCAATGAAATTAAAGATAATACAGAGAAGAAATTCAGAATTAGATAGGTTTAACAAACAGATAAATAATTTTTTTAAGTATCATGCAGAAATTCTGGAGCTGGAAAGTTCAGTAGGCATACCAAAAAAATGCATTAGAGTTTCTTAACAGCAGAATTGATCAAGCAAAAGAAATAATTAGTGAGCTTGAAGGACAGGCTATTTGAAAATACAGTCAGAGGAGAAAAGAAAGAATAAAAAGGAATGGGACATTTCTACAAGATCTAGAAAATAGCCTCAAAAGGGCCAATCTAAGAGTTATTGGCCTTAAAGAGGAGGTAGAGAGAGCTATCAGGGTAGAAAATGTTTTCAAAGGGATAGTAGTACAGTACTTTCCAAACCTAGAGAAAGATTAATATTCAAGTACAGGACAGTTATAGAACACCAAGCAGATTTAACTTAAATAAGACTACCACGGGACACTTAATAATTAAACTCTCAGAGGTCAAGGATTAAGAGAGAATCCTAAAAGCAGCAAGAGAAAATAAACGAATAACACATAATGGACATCCAGTACATTTAGCAGCAGACTTATCAGTGGAAACTTTACAGACCGAGAGAGTAGTATGACATATTTAAAGTGCTGAAGGAAAAGTTTTTTGAAAACGTTTACCCTAGAGTAGTATATTCTGTGAAAATATCCTTCAAACATGAAAGAGAAATAAAGACTTTTCCAGACAAACAAAAGGTGAAAGATTTTATCAACAGCAGACCTACAAGAACTTATAAAGAAGAGTTCTTCAGTTTGAAAGAAAAGGATGTTAATAAGCAATAAGAAATCATCTGAGGCTGGGCACGGTGGCTCATGCCTGTAATCCCAGCACTTAGGGAGGCCGAGGCAGGTGGATCACAAGGTCAGGAGTTCGAGACCAGCCTGGCTAACATAGTGAAATGGTGTCTCTACTAAAAAAAAAAAAAAAAAAAAAAAATTAGCCAGGCATGGTGGCACGGGTCTGTAGTCCCACCTACTTGGGAAGCTGAGGCAAGAGAATCACTTGAACCTGGGAGGCGGAGGTTGTGGTGAGCCGAGATTGCATCACTGCACTCCAGCCTGGGCAACAGAGCAAGACTCCATCTCACAAAAAAAAATTATCTGAGATACAAAACTCACTAGTAATAGTAAGTACACACACAAACACAGGATATTATAACACTGTAACTGTGGTATGTAAGTTATTAATATTTTTTAGTAGAAAGAATAAAAGATGAACCTTCCAAAAATTATAACAACAACTTTGTAAGATGTAGACAGTGTAATAAGATATACATAGAAACAACAAAATATTAAAAGTTGGGAGCATGAAGTTAAAGTGTAGTGTTTTCACATGCACGAGTATGTTTATTGCGGCACTATTCACAATAGCAAAGACTTGGAACCAACCCAAATGTCCATCAATGATAGACTGGATTAAGAAAATGTGGCACATATACATCATGGAATACTATGCAGCCATAAAAAAGGATGAGTTCATGTCCTTTGTAGCGACATGGATGAAGCTGGAAACCATCATTCTGAGCAAACTATTGCAAGGACAGAAAACCAAACACTGCATGTTCTCACTCATAGGTGGGAATTGAACAATGAGAACACTTGGACACAGGGTGGGGAACATCACACACCAGCGCTTGTCATGGGGTAGGGGGGAAGGGGGAGGGATAGCATTAGGAGAAATACCTAATGTAAATGACGAGTTAATGGGTGCAGCACACCAACATGACACATGTATACATATGTAGCAAACCTGCACGTTGTGCACATGTACCCTAGAACTTAAAGTATAATTTTAAAAAATAAAAATAAATAAATATATAAATAAAGTGTAGTGTTTTCATTAGTTTTCTCTTTTCTTGTTTGTTTACTTTTGTGATTAATGTTAATATCATCAGTTAAAAAATAATAGGCTATAAGATGTTATTTGCAAGCCTCATAGTAACCTCAAATCAAAATCTTACAAGAGATATACAAAAAAATAAAAAGAAAGAAATTAAAACATACCACTAGATGAAATAATAAAACAGGAAAGAAGGAAAAGACTACAAAACACCTAGAAAATAAATAACAAAATGTAGTGAGTCCTTACCGATCAACAATAAGATTGAATATAAATGGACTAAACTCTCTTGCCAAAGACATAAAATGGCTGAATGGATGAAAAACCAAGATCCAATGATCCATTGGCTACAAGAAGCACACTTTACCTATAAAGACACACATAGACTGAAAATAAGAGGATGGAAAAAGATATTCCATACCAATGGAAACCAAAAAAGACCAATAATCACTACACTTAGACAAATTAGATTTGAAGATAAAAACTAGTAAAAGATACAAAGAAGGCCATTGTATAATGATAAAGGGGTTAATTCAGCAAGAGGATAAATCGATTGTAAATATATATGCACCTGACACTGAAGCACCCAGATATAAAGCAAATATTATTAGAGCTACAGCAAAAGATAGACCACAATATAATAATAGCTGGAAACTTCAACACTCTAGATCATCCAGAAAGAAAATTGAAAAGAAACATCAGACTTAATCTGCACTGTAGATCAAATTGACCTAATATGTATTTACAGAATACTTTATTGAGTGGCTGTGGAATACACATTCTTCTCTTCAACGCATGAATCATTCTCAAGAATAGACCACATGTTAGGCCAAAAAACAAGTCTAAAAATTTCAGAAAATTGAAATGGCATCAAGTATCTTCTCTGACTATCATGGAATAAAACTAGAAATCAATAAAAAGAGAAATTTTGTAAACTACACAAACATATGGATTTAAAAATATGCTCCTGAATGACCAGTGGGTCAATGAAAGAATTAAGAAGGAAAATGAAAAATTGTTTGTAACAACTGATAATGGAAACACAACATAACAAAACCTGTAGGATATACTGAAAGAAATACTAAAGGGAAAGTAGGTAACAAGTGCCTACATCAAAAAAGTAGAACAACTTCAAATAAACAACCTTATTATACATTTTAAAGAACTAGGAAAGCAAGAGCAAACGAAACCCAAAATTATCAGAAGAAAAGAAATGATGAGAGCAGAAATAAATGAAATTGAAACGAAGAAAAGCAATACAAATATCAGCAAAGCAAAAACTTAGCTCTTTGAAAACAAACAAAATTGGCAAACCTTTAGCTAGACTGGAAAAAAGAGAAAAGACTCAAATGAATAAAATCAGAGATGAAAAAGAGACATTACAACCGACACCACAGAAATTCAAAAGATCATTAGAGAGTACTAAGAGCAAATATATTCCAATAAATTGGAAAATCTAGAGGAAATAGGTAAATTCCTAAACACATACAACCTACTAAGATTGAACCAGGAAGTAATCCAAAAACCTGAATAGAGCAATGACAAGTAACGATATCAAAGCTATAACAAAAAGTCTCCCATCAAAGAAAAACCAGGACCTGATGACTTTACTGCTAAATTTTACCAAATATTTAAAGAAGAACTAATACCAATCCTACTCCATACATATTCTATGAGGTCAATACTACCCTGATACAAAAACCAGACAAAGGCACATCAAAAAAAAAAAAAAAAACTACAGGCCAATATTCCTCAGGATTATTGATACAAAAATCCTCAATAAAATACTAACAAACTGAATTCAACAACACATGAAAAATATTATTCATCATGACCAAGTGGGATTTATTCGTGGGATGCAAAGACGCTTTAACATATGAAGATCAATCAGTGTGATACCTCATATCAACAAAATGAAAGATAAAAACTGTATGATCATTTCAATTGATGCTGAAAAAGCATTTGATAAAATTCAACATCCCTTCATAATTAAAAAATCTTAAAAAACTGGAGATAGAAAAAATACACTGCAACATAATAAAAGTCATATGTGACAGACTCACAGCTGGTATCATACTGAATGGGGAAAAACGGAGAGCCTTTCCTCTAAGGTCTGGAACATGACAAGGATGCACACTGTCATCACTGTTATTCAAAACAGTCCTGGAGGTCCTACTTAGAGTAATCAGACAAGAGAAAGATATAAAGGGCATCCAAACTGGAAAAGAGGAAGTCCAGTTATCCTTACTGGCAGATAAGATCTTATACTTGGAAAAACCTAAAGACTCCACCAAAAAACTATCAGAAATCATAAACAAATTCAGCAAAGTTGCAGGATACATAATCAACATACAAAAATCAGTAGCATTTTTATATACCAACAGTGAACAATTTGTAAAAAATTTGTAAAAAAAGTAATCTCATTTACAATACCTACAAAGAAAATTAAATACATAAGAATTAACCAAAGAAGTAAAAAATCTCTATAATAAAAACTGTAAAACACTGATCAAAGAAATTGAAGAGGACACCAAAAAATGGAAAATATTCCATGCTCGCTCATGAATTGGAAGAATTAATATCATTAAAATGTCCATACTACCGAAAGCAATCTACAGATTCAATGCAATCCCTATGAAAATACCAATGACATCGTTCACAGAAATAGAAAAAACGATCCTAAAATTTATGTGAAACCACAGAAGTCCCAGAATAGCTAAAGCTATCCTAAGCAAAAAGAAAAAAAAACTGGAGGAGGAAGAATCACATTACCTGACTTCAAATCATAGTACAGAGCTATAGTAATCAAAACAGCATGATACTGGCATAAAAAGAGACACGTACATCAACGGAACAAAATAGAGAACTCAGAAGCAAATCCACACACCTACAGTGTGGACACCTACATTTTGACAAAGGTGCCAAGAATATACACTGGGGAAGGGACAGTCTCTTCAATAAATGGTGCTTGGAAAACTGAATATCCTTTGCAATGGAATGAAACTAGACCCTTTTCTCTAATCATATTCAAAAATCAAATCAAAATGGGTTAAATACTTAAATCTAAAACCCCAAACTATGAAACTACCACATAAAAACATTGGGGAGAATCTCCAGGATATTAGAGTTGGTAAAAATTTCTTAAGCAATACCCCACAAGCACAGAAAACCAAAGCAAACATGGACAAATGGGATTACATCAAGTTAAAAACTTCTGCATAGCAAAGGATACAATCAACAAAGGGAAGAGACAACTCACAGAATAGCAGAAAATATTTGAAAACTATCCATCTGACAAGGGATTAACAACTAGAATATGTAAGGAGCTCAAACAACTCTATAGGAAAAACATTTAATAATCTGATCAAAAAATGGGCAAAAGATTTGAATAGACATTGCCCAAAAGAGGACATACAAATGGGAAAAAGGCATATGAAAAGTTACTCAACATCATTGATCACAAGAAACATGCAAATAAAACTACAATGAGATATCATCTCACCCCAGTTAAAAATGGCTTATATCCAAAAGACAGGCAGCAACAAATGCTGGGTGAGGATGTAAAGAAAAATGAACCCTCTTATACTTTTGTTGGGAATGTAAATGAGTACAATCACTATAGAGAACAGTTTGGAGGCTCCTCAAAAATACTGAAATTAGAGCTAATATAGAATCCAGCAATCCCACTCCTAGGTATATACTGAAAAGAAAGGAAATCAGGATATTGAGATATCTTCACTCCCATGTTTATTGTAGCACTATTCACAACAGCTAAGAATTGTAAACAACATAAGTGTTCATCAACAGATGAATGGATAAAGAAAATGTGATACATATGCACTATAGAGCAATATTTACCCCCCACAAAAGAATGAAATCCCTTCATTTGCAACAATGTGGATGGAACGGGAGGACGTTATGTTAAGTGAAATAAGCCAGGCACAGAAAGACAAACTTCACATGTTCTCACTCATTTGTTGGAGCTAAAAATTAAAACAATTGAACTCATGGGGATAGAGAGTAGAATGATGGTTACCGGAGGCTAGGAAAGGTAGTGGGGGTGGGAGAAGTGGAGATGGTTAATGTATTTAAAAATGTAGCTAGAGAGAATGAATAAGAGCTACCATTTGATATCACAATAGGGTGATTACAGTCAACAATAATTTATTGTACAATTTTTAATAACTAAAAGGGTATAAATAGATTGTTTGTAACACATAGAAGTGATAAATGCTTCAGGTGGTGGATATTCCATTTACCCTGATGTGATTATTATGCATTGTATGCCTGTATCAAAACATCTCATGTGCCCCATAAATATATACACCTACAAAATATATGTGCCCACATAAATTAAAAATTTTAAAAATCACTAGTAAACCTCTAAGAACAATAATTTCAGTTCTCTTCTCATCTTTACATATTATTTTTAGAACATGTTTATGTACGTGCATGGTTTTTAACAGATACATTGAAAAATTTTTCTGTAGTAGGCTAAATAGTGGTGCCCAATGATATTCAGTTCATGATCGTTGGAATCTGCATATATTAACTTATATGGTTGACTCTTTGCAGGTAATTAAGTTAAGGACTTGGATGGGAAAATTATTATAAAGTATTTGAAAGGACCTTAAGTGCAATCATAAGTGTCCTTATAAAAAGGAAGCAGAAGGAGACTTGATTGATGGAAGAAGAAAAGAAGATATAACCACTGAGAAAGAGATTGGAGTGATGCTACCACAAGCCAAGAAATGCCAGCAGCTACCAGAATTTGAAAGAAGCAAATAATTAATTTTTCCCTAGAGCCTAAGGAGATTGCAGCCCTGCCAACATATGACTTTAAACCAATGAAAATGATTTCTGATTTCTAGGCTCCAGAACAGTAAGAGAATAAACTCGTGTTGTTTTAAACCACCTAGTTTGTCACAACTTGTACAGCAGCAATAGGAAAGAATAAAAATTCACATACTACTGAATGGATTTATTTACAACGTATATGATGTTTAGCACATTTGCAGAATTGTGCATTCATCACCACAACCAATATATACACATATAATTTTTAGAGCAGTTTTAGGTTCACAGCAAAATTGAGTGAAGGTACAGAGATTTCCCATATATTCCATCCCCGTACATACAGCCTCCCACCCTATCAAAATTCTATACCATAATAGTACATTCATTACCATTGATGAACCTACATCGATATATCATTATCACCCAAAGTTCATACTTTTTTGCGGTTATATATTCTATGAATTTGGACAAATTTATAATGACATATTCACCATTATAGTATCAGACAGAGTATTTTCCCTGCCCTAAAATTCCTCTGTGCTCAGCCTATTCACCCCTTCCTCTGCACTAATCCCTGGAAGCCACTGATCCTTTTTCTGTTTCCATAGTTTTGCCCTTTTCAGGATGTCATACAGTTGAAATCATACATAGGGTGCGTATCCTTTTCAGATTGGCTACTTTCATTAGTAATATGCATATAAGGCTTCTCTATATCTTTTTATTGCTTAATAGCTCATTCCTTTTTAGCACTGAATATTATTCCATTGTCTGAATCCACTTAAAAAAAGGACATCTTCCTTGCCTTGAAGTTTGGGCAACTATGAGTAAAGCTACAGTCAATGTCTATGGGTAGGTTTTGTGTGGATATAAGGTTTCAGTTCCTTTGAGTAGATACCAAGGAGCACAATTGCTAGAACAAATGTTAAGAGTATGTTTAGTTTTGTAAGAAACTGTCAAACTGTCTTGTAAAGTTGTACCATTTTATATTTCCACCAACAATGAATGAGATTTCCTGTTGCTCCACAAGCCCACCAGCATTTGGTGTTGTCAGTATTCTGGATTTTGGCCATTCTAATGGGTGTAGTGGTATCTCATTGTTAATTTGTGGTTCTCTAATAACATGTGAGCATCTTTTAATATGCTTATTTGCCTTCTGTATACCTTCTTTGATGAGGTGTCTGCTCATGTATTTGCCCATTTTTTAATCAGGTTGTTCATTTTCTTATTGTTGAGATTTAAGAATTTTTTGTATATTTTGGATAATCGTCCTTCACCTGTTATTTCTTTTGCATATAATATGTACCAATCTGTGACTTGTCTTCTTATTCTTTGGCAGTGTTATTCACAGAGCAAAAGTTTTTAATTTAATGAAGTCGAGTTTATCAATTTTTTCTAGTTTCACAATTTTATAAATTGTGACTTTGGGTTTACATCTAAAAAGTCATTGTCATACCCAAGGTTGTTTAGGTTTTCTCCATCTTTATCTTCTAGGAATTTTGTAGTATTATGTTTTACATGTAGGACAATGATCTATTTCGAGTTAATTTTTTGTGAAGGGTATAAAGTCTGTTTCTAGATTCACTTTTTTTGTATGTGGGCTTCAAGTTTAAAAATAGTAATCCTACTTCTTTGGATATATCTGAAGAAAATTGAGTTAATATATCAAAGAGCTACCTGCACTCCCATGTTCATTGCAGCATTATTCACAATAGCCAAGATATAGAAACAACTTATATGTCCATCAATGAATAAATGGGTAAAGATGATGTGAGATGTGTATATATGTGTGTGTGTGTATATATATATAAATATATATATAATATATATATTATATATATTATAAATATATATATTATCTCCTTTTAAATGGGTAAAGGCAATGTGTGATATATATACTATTATCGCCTTTTTACAGGAAAGGCAACAGGATTTAAGGAAGTTAAGAGACTTGCTTAAAGCAACTAATCTAGTAAGAAGCAGAGATCATATGCAAACTCAGGTGATTTACACCCACAAACTCATGCTTTCAATCAACATGCTGTACTGATACATGCAACGACTTGAATGGATCTCCACAAAATTATATTGAGTGAAAATTAAGTCAATCTCAAAAGTTTACAAACTGAATGATTCTATTCATATAACACTCTTGAAATCACAAAATTATCAACACAGAGAACAGATTAGTTGATGCTTGAGGTTAAGAATGGGGATTAGGGAGAGGTGAGTGTGGTTATAAAATGAAAACATATGGAATCATTGTGGTTATGAAACTGATCTTTGCCTTGACTTTGGTGTTAGAAACATTAACCAGCATATGTGATAAAATTGTATAGAAATACACACACACAAAGAGTATAAGTGAAACAGGATATCAGCATATGGCTGACAGATTATATAAATGAAAATATTCTGGTTGTGATATTATACTATAGATTTCCAAGCTATTACTGTGGAAAGGATATAAAGAATACATGGAATTTTTCTGTAAAATTTCATAAAACTACATGTGAAACTGCAATTATCTCTACAATAATTTAATTTGAAAATGTAAATAAAGAAATAGATGATATAAAAATAGCTGAATCAAACTTCTAGAGAAAAAAGAATCATGTCTGAGAGCAAAAATATATGGCAGACAATATATAACAAAATAAAAGATTAGTGAGTTTAAGACATACTAATAGAAAGTATGCCCCCAAAACTTCCAAAGATAAAGAGTATATAAACAAAATAATATGTGATTACAAACCCATAGATTCAAAACTTCACGAGACAGAAAATACATCTGATTGGATTCACTCAAAGAGGAGAATACATAAAAAGATTTGAAAAAATAATGACCAAAATTTTGAGGAATGGATAACTATTAACCTATAGATCCAAGCAGCTTAATGCATCTCAAGGAGAAGGGTCATGAAAAAAACTACACCAAGGCATAAAGCTACATTATAATCAAATTGTTTAAACCAGTGAATGATTAGAAAATCTTAAAAGCAGCACAAGAGGAAAACACACAGTATGTACAGAGGAACAAAGATGATGCCAAAGTCAGATTTATTTTCAGAAAATATTCTAGTGAGAAGACATAGACACAACATCGTAAAGGTCCTAAATGGAAAAACTGCCAACTAAGTAACCTATACCTGGCAAAAATATTATTCAAACATGAAGGGAAATAAAGACTTTTCAGAAATATGAAAGGTGAAAAATTCATAACTAACAAACCTTCACTAAAAGAAATGTTATAGTAACTCCTCCAGGCTACAGAAAAATGACATTAGGTGGAAATATGGACATACATAAAGGATTAAACCGTAATAGAAATGATAACTACATGAATGAACACATGATTTTTTATTGTTTATTACATTATTGACTATTTAAACAAACACAAAAAAAATGAACTGTGGAGAATCACTTGCAGAATAGTGGTGTGGGAATCTCTGTGAACCCTCTCCCCAGTGAAACAACTGTAATTCTTGAAAAAATGAAATGTAAAAAGAAAAAAAAACTGCTCTGGGAATTGTCCTAAGGGCATATAGCAAATGGAGAAACATTTATTAAAGGAAATCTACTAAACCTCAGTAAGAAGAGTAAGAATTTGTGATGCTTGAGCCATTCCCCTTGGAGCTCAGTGTGATGGAAACTCTACTATAGGCAGGTGTTAGTAAGAAGATCAAGCTCCCTCCCTTCTTCTTTCCAATCTAGCATGATGATTTATCCCCAGGAAAAGTAGGATACTGACATTTCTCATCTTCCCAGATCCATATAGCTGAAGCTCTATTTCAGGAAAGAATAGGCGAGAGATATGGGGCTCCCTTCCTCCCCACAACCCTCACACATAGGATAGAAACTCCATCCTATTGGCAGCAAGCTAAGAATACTGGACTTCAGTTACTTCTGCCAAAGATTGCTCATAGAACAAAGATTTTATTGTGGGAGAGGCTATATGAAAAGACCAAGAGCTACTACTCCCACACGTTTCCCTACTTGTAGAGTGAAAGAATAACTCACAGAGAAGTTGATCACTGTCCCTGACTCTGGCTTTGAGCACTGGCACAGAGATTTTGCCCATGGAAAAAGGTAGGCCTTAAGAGCAGACACCTCCATGGGTATTTCTAAGGAGACCGATTTTATTTGAAACAGAGCATGAGAAATTCAAGCCTACATTTCAGCAAAAGAAATGTTCATGGGAGGCAATTAAGAGGACTTCTGCAGCTCCATGATAGCCACAATTGAAATGGTAGTCTAGCTAGTAATGTATGAAACAGAACCAGTGCAAGAGTCATCTAAGAAGTGCTCTTGTGTGTTTGGATCAAGCCACAAAAACTGACATCAAAGACTGCCCCTGCAAAGAGACCTGATTTTATTTGGATCAGATTGTGAAGCCATGAATGACCCAGGGAATTGTTTTGAAAATAATAAAGCAATCAGCCAGCAATCAGTGGAGGCTAATACCTGAGTGTAATATAAATAGAGGTGGACTAGCCAGAAGATTAACAGGGAATTCAGGGAAACAGTAAAACAGAGACAGTTAAAACCAAGACTCTGTTCATACCCTAGACCTGTGTTCAGATGAGTGAAAACAGAAGTTATACACTGAGGGGGAAATAGACTTCATTGACATTGTCTATCTATGTTACTAAACAAATAAACAAGAAACAAGTGAAACCAAAAACTACAACAACAACAAAATAACAGGAAGCCTCATGTTGGTGGGGAAAGCAGCAACAAAAGATGGAGAATCAGATCCAGAGTTGCTAAAATATATTATCCAAATGTCCAGTTTTCAACAACCACAACAACAAATGAGACGTAAAAAGAAACAGGTGAGTATGACCTATATAGACTGGAGAAAAATAAAAGCAGGTAATAGAACATGCCTTTAAGGAACTCAGATGGTGAACTTTGCAGGCAAAGGCTTCAAGTCTGCTATTTATAAATATGTTCCAAGAACTAAATGAGGTTGTGCTTAAAAAATTAAGGTAAGACATTATGACAATGCTTTATCAACTAGCAAACTCCAATATAAAGATACCAGTTAGTAAAACAAGCCTAATGGACATTCTGGAGTTGAACACCTGGAGTTGAAAAATACAATAACTGAGATGAAAAATTCACCACATGGACTCAACAAAAGATTTGAGTTGTCAGAAGAAAAAAATAGTGAACTTAAGGGTAGCTCAATAGAGGTTATGCAATATGAGGAACAAAGAGAAAAAAATAAAAAATAAACAGACTCTCTGAGACATGCCAGACACTATTAAGGGCACCAACGCATGCATAATGGGAGTGTCTACAAGGGAGAAGAGAAAGTAGCAGAAAATATTCAAAGAAATAATTGCCGAAAATTTCCCAAATTTGACGGAAAACTTTAATCTACACATTCAAAGAGTGCAATAAAGCCAAGAAGGACTAATGGAAAGACATCTATATCAAGAGCTAACATAGTCAAAACGTTGAAGAAAAGCACAAAAGCAGCAAGAGAAAAATTATTTATCATATACAAGGGAATCCTAGTAGGATTAACAGCTGACTTCTTATTAACAAAACAAGTGAAGTCAGGGGCATGTGATGGTATATTAAAAGTGCAGAAATAAAAAAAAGTCAAACAAAAACATAGCTCACAAAACTATTTTTCAAAAATAACAGCAAATTAAAGACATTCCCAGGTAACAAAATGTAAAAGAATTTTATGAAAGCCGACCTACCTGACTAGAAATACTCTAGGAAGTTCTTTAGGCTGAGACTAATTGAAACAAGACAAAAATTAGAACCCACACACATAAAAAGACAAAGACTACCAATAACGTTAATTATTAGGTAAATATGAAAGATATTAATTACATATTTCTTCTCCTTTTATCTCAACTTATTTTAAAATAAATGCATACAACAATATGTGCATAATTGCATCTTGGGCTTATATATAGAAATATATTATGTTTGACAATGATGGCACAAAGAGAGAAACAGAAAATTCAAAAGGAACGGTTTGTATATCTCACTACCAAATTTATAATTATTACTATAACAACTAGGTAGAATACCAAAAAGAATAGATAAGACTTGCACAATGCTGCATACCAACTAGACTTAAAAACATCTATAGAACGTTCCACCCAACAAGAGCAGGATACTCATTCTTCTCAAGTGCACATGAAACATTCTCCAGACAAGACCATATGCTATGTAATAAATAAAGCACCTCAATGCATTTAAAAGAATTGAAATAACACAAAGTATATGTCTGATCACAGTATAATGAAATTAGAAATAGTAAGAGAAAATTTTTTTGACTACAAACATGAGGAACTTAAACAGCACACTCCTAAATAACCAATGTATCAAAGAAAAAATAACAAGGAAAATTAGAAAATACTTTGCGATGAATGAAAAAATATCCAAACTCTGGGATATTGCTAAAGCCATGTTTACAGGGAAATTTATAGCAATAAATGCCTATATTAAAGAAAAAAGAAGCACCTCAAATCAATAACCTCATCTTCCACCTTCAGAAACTAAAAAATGAGGAACAAACAAAACCTAAAGCAAGCAGAAAAAAAGACTAATGAAGAACAGATAAGAAATAAATGAAATAAAGAATACAAAAACAATAGAAAAAAATCAATAAAACTAAAGATTTTTTCCTTGTAAATATCAATGAAATGACAAAGGTTTAGGTAAACTCATTGAGAAAAGATAAGAGAAGACTCAAATTACTAAAATCAGGAATTTAAAAAAGGACATGACTATTGACTATCCCCCCACCCCAAAAAAATATAAAAAAAACTAAGCCAGCAAGTTAGATGAAATGGACAAAATCCATAGAAAGAAACAAACTGTCAAACTGACTTAAGAAGAAATAGAAAATCTGAATAGACTAATAAAGGAAAAAAAGAGAGATTGAATTAGTAATTTTAAAACTTTTCACTAATAAAATCCTATGCCTATATGGCTTTACTGGTGAACTCTATTTTTTTAAATTAATACTTACAAACCCTTCCAAAAATAGAAGAGAGGGGGAAAATTACAATTCATTTTATGAATCCAGTATTATTCACCAACCAAAACCAGACAAAGACACGACAACAACGGACTAATACCCCTTATGAATATAGATACAGTATTCTTCAACAAAAGACTAGCAAACCAAATTGGGCAGCATTACAAGAGTTATACTCAATGACTAAGTGGGATTTATTCTAGGAATATAAGGATGGTTCCATATGTGAAAATCAGTCAATGATTGATTAATATTCACCATAAAAATAAAGGATAAAAATCACACGATCATCTTAACAGATGCATAGAAAAGCATTTCACAAATACAACACTGCTTCATAATAAAAATCTCTCAATAAACTAGGAATAGAAGGGAACTTCCTCAATCTGATAAAGTGCATCTAGAAAAACCTACAACTAATACCATATCTACTGGTGAATAACTGAAATTTTTCCCCTAAGATCAGAAAGAAGATGAGATTTTCACTTGACATTTATTTCCAATATTGTTCTGGATATTCTAGTGAGTTCCATTAAACAAGAAAATGAAATGAAAGGGCTCCAGATAGAAAAAAAAAAAGTAAAGCTATCTGTATTTGCAGATCATATATTCTTGTATGTTAAAAATCCTAATTAATCATAATCCTAATTATTAGAACTAAAAAATGAGTTCAGAAAAATAATATGGAATATACAAATTTCAAATTTATTTCTATACACAAGAAATGAAAATTCAAAAATGAAATTAAGAAAACAATTTACAATAGCATCAAAAGAACAAAATACTTATGAATGAATTGTGCAAAATAAGTGCAAAATAAGTATTCTGCAAATTATAAGACATTGTTGAAAGAAATTAAAGAAGACATATGGGGGAGGGTGGAGGGATAGCATTAGGAGATATACCTAACGTAAATGATGAGTTAATGGGTGCAGTACACCAACACTGCACATGTATACATATGTAACAAACCTGCACGTTGTGCACATGTACCCTAGAACTTAAAGTATAATAATAAATAAATAAATAAATAAAAGAAGACATAAAAAATGGAAACACATCTAGTGGTCATGAATTAGAAGTCTTAACATTGTTAAAATGCATTATTTCCTGAATTGGTTTACAATGCCAATGCTACCTCTTTCAAACTCCTAGTTGCCATTTTTTCCCTTAAACTGACAATGCAACTGACCCAGAATAATAAAAAAAACCTGTTTTTTGAGTACTAAATTGGAGGATACTTCCTGATTTCAAAACTTACTACAAAGCTAAAATAACAAAGACATTGTGTTACTGGCATAAGAATCTGCATGTAGATTAATGGAACAGTATATGTGTGTAGAAATAAATTCATATTTATGGCCAATTTCTTTTCAACAAGAATGCCAAGACAATTCAATGGAAGAATGAATAGGGTTTTCAACAGATACTGTTGGACAATTGGATATCCAAATGCAAAATAATGAAGTTGGCACCACCGTAAACATCTTGCACAAAGGGTAACTCAAAACGGTTAATATATCCAAACGTATGAGCTAAAATTATAAAACTCTTAGAAGCAGAGTAGTACATCTTCTTGGCCTTGTTTATGCAAAGGCTTCCTAGATACAAAAACAAAAGCACAAGTGACAAAAGAAAAAAACAGATGTTTAGACTTCTTCAAAATTAAAATATTTTGTGTTGCTAACGATAATATCAAGAAAGTTTAAAATGATCCAGAAATAATGGGAGAAAATATTTGCAAATCATATATATGATATGGGACTTATATCCAGAAAAAAAAAAAAAGAGCTGTTACTAATCAACAAGTAAAAGAAAAAAAAAACAGGCCAGGCGCAGTAGCTCACCCCTGTAATCCCAGCACTTTGGGAGGCCAAGGCAAGCCAATAATGAGGTCAGGAAATTGAGAACATCCTGGCCAACATGGTGAAACCCAGTCTCTACTAAAAAAAAATACACAAAAAAAATTAGCTGGGTGTAGTGGCATGCGCCTGTAGTCCCAGCTATTTGGGAGGCTGAGGCATGAGAATCGCTTGAATCCAGGAGGAGGAGGTTGCAGTGGGTGGAAACTGCACCACTGCACTCCAGCCTGGCGACAGAGAGAGACTCTGTCTCCAAAAAAACAAACAACAACAACAAAAAAAAACAATGTTATAAATGGGCAAAGGGTCTCTATAAATATTTTTTCAATTTAAGGTATACTAATGGTCAATAAACACATTAAAAAATATTCAATTCCATAGGCATTAGGAAAATGCAAGCCAAACTCACAATGAAATACCACTTCACACTCACTAGGATGGCTAGAATTTTCTTTAAAATAGACAATAACAAGTTTTGTATACTATGTGGAGAAACTGAATCCCTCATGCACTGCTAGTGGGAATGCAAATGTTGTACTCCCTTTAAAAGCAGTATTCCCGGGGGAGGAGCCAAGGTAGCCGAATAGGAACAGCTCTGGTCTACAGCACCCAGCGTGAGCGACGCAGAAAACGGGTGATTTCTGCATTTCCATCTGAGCTTTGAAGAGAGCAGTGGTTCTCCCAGCACGCAGCTGGAGATCTGAGAGCGGGCAGACTCCCTCCTCAAGTGGGTCCCTGACCCCTGACACCCGAGCAGCCTAACTGGGAGGCATCCCCCAGCAGGGGCAGACTGACACCTCACAGGGCCAGGTACTCCAACAGACCTGCAGCTGAGGGTCCTGTCTGTTAGAAGGAAAACTAACAAACAGAAAGGACATCCACACCAAAAACCCATCTGTACGTCACCATCATCAAAGACCAAAAGTAGATAAAACCACAAAGATGGGGAAAAAACAGAGCAGAAAAACTGGAAACTCTAAAAAGCAGAGCGCCTCTCCTCCTCCAAAGGAACACAGTTCCTCACCAGCAATGGAACAAAGCTGGACGGAGAATGACTTTGACTAGCTGAGAGAAGAAGGCTTCAGACGATCAAATTACTCCGAGCTATGGGAGGCCATTCAAACCAAAGGCAAAGAAGTTGAAAACTTTGAAAAAAGTTTAGAAGAATGTATAACTAGAATAACCAATACGGAGAAGTGCTTAAAGGAGCTGATGGAGCTGAAAACCAAGGCTCGAGAACTACGTGAAGAATGCAGGAGCCTCAGGAGCCGATGTGATCAACTGGAAGAAAGGGTATCAGCCATGAAAGATGAAGTGAATGAAATGAAGCCAGAAGGGAAGTTTAGAGAAAAAAGAATAAAAAGAAACGAGCAAAGCCTCCAAGAAATATGGGACTATGTGAAAAGACCAAATCTACATCTGATTGGTGTACCTGAAACTGACGGGGAGAATGGAACCAAGTTGGAAAACACTCTGCAGGATATCATCCAGGAGAACTTCCTCAATCTAGCAAGGCAGGCCAACATTCAGATTCAGGAAATACAGAGAACGCCACAAAGATACTCCTTGAGAAGAGCAACTCCAAGACACATAATTGTCAGATTCACCAAAGTTGAAATGAAGGAAAAAATGTTAAGGGCAGCCAGAGAGAAAGGTCGGGTTACCAACCAAGAGAAGCCCATCAGACTAACAGCGGATCTCTTGGCAGAAACTCTACAAGCCAGAAGAGAGTGGGGGCCAATATTCAACATTCTTAAAGAAAAGAATTTTCAACCCAGAATTTCATATCCAGCCAAACTAAGCTTCATAAGTGAAGGAGAAATAAAATACTTTACAGACAAGCAAATGCTGAGAGGTTTTGTCACCACCAGGCCTGCCCTAAAAGAGCTCCTAAAGGAAGCGCTAACCATGGAAAGGAACAACTGATACCAGCCACTGCAAAATCATGCCAAAATGTAAAGACCATCGAGACTAGGAAGAAACTGCATGAACTAACAAGCAAAATACCCAGCTAACATCATAATGACAGGATCAAATTCACACATAACAATATTAACTGTAAATGTAAATGGACTAAATGCTCCAATTAAAAGACACAGACTGGCAAATTGGATAAAGAGTCAAGACCCATCAGTGTGCTGTATTCAGGAAACCCATCTCATGTGCAGAGACACACATAGACCCAAAATAAAAGGAGGGAGGAAGATCTACCAAGCAAATGGAAAACAAAAAAAGGCAGAGGTTGCAATCCTAGTCTCTGATAAAACAGACTTTAAACCAACAATGATCAAAAGAGACAAAGAAGGCCATTACATAATGGTAAAGGGATCAATTCAACAAGAAGAGCTAACTATCCTAAATATATATGCACCCAATACAGGAGCACCCAGATTCATAAAGCAGTCCTGAGCAACCTACAAAGAGACTTAGACTCCCACACATTAATAATGGGAGACTTTAACACCCCACTGTCAACATTAGACAGATCAACGAGACAGAAAGTCAACAAGGATACCCAGGAATTGAACTCACCTCTGCACCAGTGGACCTAATAGACATCTACAGAACTCTCCACCCCAAATCAACAGAATATATATTTTTTTCAGCACCACACCACACCTATTCCAAAATTGACCACATACTTGGAAGTAAAGCTCTCCTCAGCAAATGTAAAAGAACAGAAATTAAAACAAACTATCTCTCAGACCACGGTGCAATCAAACTAGAACTCAGGATTAAGAATCTCACTCAAAACCACTCAACTACATGGAAACTGAACAACCTGCTCCTGAATGACTACTGGGTACATAACGAAATGAAGGCAGAAATAAAGATGTTCTTTGAAACCAATGAGAACAAAGACACAACATACCAGAATCTCTGGGACACATTCAAAACAGTGTGTAGAGGGAAATTTATAGCACTAAATGCCCACAAGAGAAAGCAGGAAAGATCCAACATCGACACCCTAACATCACAATTAAAAGAACTAGAAAAGCAAGAGCAAACACATTCAAAAGCTAGCAGAAGGCAAGAAGTAACTAAAATAAGAGCAGAACTGAAGGAAATAGAGAACCAAAAACCCTTCAAAAAATCAATGAATCCAGGAGCTGGTTTTTTGAAAGGATCAACAAAATTGATAGACTGCTAGCAAGACAAATAAAGAAAAAAAGAGAGAAGAATCAAAGAGACGCAATAAAAAATGATAAAGGGGATATCACCACCGATCCCACAGAAATACAAAGTACCATCAGAGAATACTACAAACACCTCTACGCAAATAAACTAGAAAATCTAGAAGAAATGGATAAATTCCTCGACACATACACTCTCCCAAGACTAAACCAGGAAAAAGTTGAATCTCTGAATAGACCAATAACAGGCTCTGAAATTATGGCAATAATCAATAGCTTACCAACCAAAAAGAGTCCAGGACCAGATGGATTCACAGCCGAATTCTACCAGAGGTAAAAGGAGGAACTGGTACCATTCCTTCTGAAACTATTCCAATCAATAGAAAAAGAGGGCATCCTCCCTAACTCATTTTATGAGGCCAGCATCATCCTGATACCAAAGCCGGGCAGAGACACAACAGAAAAAGATAATTTTAGACCAATAACCTTGATGAACATTGATGCAAAAATCCTCAATAAAATACTGGCAAAACGAATCCAGCAGCACATCAAAAAGCTTATCCACCATGATCAAGTGGGCTTCATCCCTGGGATGCAAGGCTGTTTCAATATATGCAAATCAATAAATGTAATCCAGCATACAAAGAGAAGCAAAGACAAAAACCACGATTATCTCAATAGATGCAGAAAAGGCCTTTGACAAAATTCAACAGCCCTTCATGCTAAAAACTCTCAATAAATTAGGTATTGATGGGATGTATCGCAAAATAATAAGAGCTATCTATGACAAACCCACAGCCAATATCATACTGAATGGGCAAAAACTGGAAGCATTCCCTTTGAAAACTGGCACAAGACAGGGATGCCCTCTCTCACCACTCCTATTCAACATAGTGTTGGAAGTGCTGGCCAGCGCAATTAGGCAGGAGAAGGAAATAAAGGGTATTCAATTAGGAAACGAGGAAGTCAAATTGTCCCTGTTTGCAGATGACATGACTGTATATCTAGAAAACCCCATTGTCTCAGCCCAAAATGTCCTTAAGGTGATAAGCAACTTCAGCAAAGTCTCAGGATACAAAATCAATGTGCAAAAATCACAAGCATTCTTATACACCAACAACAGACAAACAGAGAGCCAAATCATGAGTGAACTCCCATTCACAATTGCTTCAAAGAGAATAAAATACCTAGGAATCCAGCTTACAAGGAATGTGAAGGACCTCTTCCAGGAGAACTACAAACCACTGCTCAAGGAAATAAAAGAGGATACAAACAAATGGAAGAACATTCCATGCTCATGGGTAGGAAGAATCAATATCGTGAAAATGGCCATACTGCCCAAGGTAATTTACAGATTCAACGCCATCCCCATCAAGCTACCAATGACTTTCTTCACAGAATTGGAAAAAACTACTTTAAAGTTCATATGGAACCAAAAAAGAGCCCGCATTGCCAAGTCAATCCTAAGCCAAAAGAACAAAGCTGGAGGCATCACACTACCTGACTTCAAACTATGCTACAAGGCTACAGTAACCAAAACAGCATGGTACTGGTACCAAAACAGAGATATAGATCAATGGAACAGAACAGAGCCCTCAGAAATAACGCCACATATCTACAACTATCTGATCTTTGACAAACCTGACAAAAACAAGAAATGGGGAAACGATTCCCTATTTAATAAATGGTGCTGGGAAAACTGGCTAGCCATATGTAGAAAGCTGAAACTGGATCCCTTCCTTACACCTTATACAAAAATCAATTCAAGATGGATTAAAGACTTAAATGTTAGACCTAAAACCATAAAAACCCTAGAAGAAAACCTAGGCATTACCATTCAGGACATAGGCACGGGCAAGGACTTCATGTCTAAAACACCAAAAGCAATGGCAACAAAAGCCAAAATTGACAAATGGGATCTAATTAAACTAAAGAGCTTCTGCACAGCAAAAGAAACTACCATCAGAGTGAACAGGCAACCTACCAAATGGGAGAAAATTTTCACAACCTACTCATCTGACAAAGGGCTAATATCCAGAATCTACAATGAACTCCAACAAATTTACAAGAAAAAAACAAACAACCCCATCAAAAAGTGGGCGAAGGACATGAAAAGACACTTCTCAAAAGAAGACATTTATGCAGCCAAAAAACACATGAAAAAATGCTCACCATCACTGGCCATCAGAGAAATGCAAATCAAAACCACAATGAGATACCATCTCACACCAGTTAGAATGGTGATCATTAAAAAGTCAGGAAACAACAGGTGCTGGAGAGGATGTGGAGAAATAGGAACACTTTTACACTGTTGGTGGGACTGTAAACTAGTTCAACTATTGTGGAAGACAGTGTGGCTATTCCTCAGGGATCTAGAACTAGAAATACCATTTGACCCAGCCATCCCATTACTGGGTATATACCCAAAGGACTATAAATCATGCTGCTATAAAGACACATGCACACATATGTTTATTGCGGCATTATTCACAATAGCAAAGACTTGGAACCAAGCCAAATGTCCAACAATGAGAGACTGGATTAAGAAAATGTGGCACATATACACCATGGAATACTATGCAGCCATAAAAAATGATGAGTTCACGTCCTTTGTAGGGACATGGATGAAATTGGAAATCATCATTCTCAGTAAACTATCGCAAGAACAAAAAACCAAACACCGCATATTCTCACTCATAGGTGGGAATTGAACAATGAGAACACATGGACACAGGAAGGGGAACATCACACTCTGGGGACTGTTGTGGGGTGGGGGGAGGGGGGAGGGATAGCATTGGGAGATATACCTAATGCTAGATGACGAGTTAGTGGGTGCAGCGCACCAGCATGGCACATGTGTACATATGTAACTAACCTGCACATTGTGCACATGTACCCTAAAACCTAAAGTATAATAATAATAAATTTTAAAAAAAATTTTAAAAAGTTTCCAAAAAATAAAAAATAAATAAATAAATAAAAGCAGTATTCCCAATCCTGAAAATGTTAAACACAGAGTTATCATATTCAACTCGCAGATACATACGACAGAAAATAAAAATATATGTTCACACAGTAAGTTGTAGACAAATGTTCATAGCAGCTTTATCACAATAGCCAAAAAGTGCAAACAAAAATGTTCATCAATAGATGAATAGATAAACAAAATGTGGAATATCCACACTGCAAAATAGTATGAAATATTGGTTTTTGTTACTGGTTTCTGACACAGAGCTCTTAAAGCTGTTTATATTTTTCTGGATTATAACAGCATGTTTTGTTCCAATGAGATGACTCTTGGTGGACTTCAGGATAGGGGCTGGTCACTAGAATGAACAAGCCATGATTAGAAATTGGTAACTTTCAGCTCCTTCCTCCATTCTCTGAGATGGGGAGGGGATCTGGTGATTGAGTTAGTAATCCACCATGCTTTTTTGATGAAACCTCCATAAAAAGGGTTTGGAGAGCTTCTAGGTTGGTGAACACATCCAAATGCTGGGAGGGGGCTCCTCCCATCTCCACAGAGACAGAAGCTCCTGTGCGTGGGACCCTTCCAGACCTTGCTCTGGGTACCTCTTCATCTGGCTGTTCATCTGCATCTTTTATCATATCTTTTGTGATAAACTGATAAATGTGTTTCCCTGAATTCTGTGAGCTATCACAGTGATATATCCAACCTGAAGAGATAGTCCTGAGAACACATGATTTGTAGTCAAGTTGGACAGAAGTGTGAATAACTTGGGGACCCACTACTGGTAATCGGCGTCTGAAGTTAGAGGGCAGTCTTGGGGGATTGAGCCCTTAACCTGTGGGGTCTGCACTAATTCCAGGTAGTTAGTGTCATAAGTGAATTGTAACATACTCACCTGGTGTTCACAAAGTTGAAAAATTTGTTGGTGTGAGAAAAAAATCCCCACATATTTGGTGTCAGAAGTGTTCAGTGCAGTAGAAAAAGAAAAAAAAAGTTTTTCATTTGGTGTCAGAAAAGTAGAATTTGTTAATTGCCCTGGCTTATGGAAAGAAGTGGTTTGAGAAGAGAAAGGATGAAAAGGTGGGAGATGAGAAAGCTTCGGTCCCTGGATTGCTACTTAGTCACCCATGGTATGAAACTACAGCTGTGCTGCCATTAGATACCAAAGGTAAATGTTACCAGTGGAATTTAGAAATGGTGGTATACCAAGCTCCTAAGGAGCTGGTTCATTGGATACAAAAGAAAATGCAAAATGAGAAGCCTGCTAAATATATGATCCCTTGGTTATAGACATCTGTAATAAGTAAAAGGGAAAAAACGTGCTAGGTTAGACCTTGATGCTAGATTAAGCTCATTTTGGACAGGTTGGAGATTTAGTACTAGCCTCAAAGCCACACTCAAAGGTAAAAATCATGCCAGGAAAACAGAGTGTATCTTTAAAGCTCTGATCACCAAGAAGCCAGTGAATATTGGGAGAGCACAAAAACTAAGAAACTACTGAAGCCAGGGGGTATAGTGTGAAGGAGTTGTCTCATTTTATAGACTGGTATCCTCAGCTCCCTGAAGAGTCTTTACTAAAAATGGATTGTGAGAGTGACTAATTTGGGGGCATTATCTTTGGCTTTGTATGCTGCAGAATAGAAAAGCATGTCTGGTATAATACAGGACCTGTAGCTCACTGTGAAAAAACAACCACAGATGGCTGTACATGATGAATAAAATGGTCATTGATGGGGTTAAAAGAAAGGTTTTAATATGAACCACCAAAGGTTGGGCAGGCCAAAGGGATCTCCTAGTGGTCCCCCAACATTAAAGGCTTACAAAGAAGTTCGCTCTATTTAGCCTAGTTTGAAGAAATGTTTAAAAGTCAGAGAGCACAGATTACAATAAGAAACCTGATCAGCTATTGCTTGGGCAGTGGTTAGGCAGATTAACCATGATAAGGACTGCAAAAGAGTCAGGTCTCTTGGCTTAATCCCGTGCTGGGGACCCAAAGCCATTGCATAAGAGTGAGTAAAATGGTCGTGGGGTGAAGAAGTTCATGGGACAACTTAATACCAGGAATCCTGTGCACTATGGTACCAGTGGTGAAGCACTGATGCAGGCTACAATTTTTATTTTATTTCAATAGTTGTTGGGAACAGGTGGTTTTGGGTTACATGGACAAGTTCTTCCGTGGTTATTTCTGAGATTTTGATGTACCCATCACCTGAGCAGTATATGCTGTCCCCAGTGTGTAGTGTTTTATCCCTTACCCTGCTCCCACCCTTCCCCTTTGAGTACCTAGAGTTCATTATATTATTCTTATGCCTTTGCATCCTCATAGCTTAGCTCCCACTTATAAGTGAGAACATACAATATTTGGTTTTCCAATTCTGAGTTACTTCACTTAGAATAATGGTCTCCAACTCCATCGGGTTGCTGCAAATATTATTGTTTCATTTTTTTTATGGCTGAGTACTATTCCATTATGTATATATATCACATTATTTTCATCCATTCATTGATTGATGGACATTTAGATTGGTTTTATGTTTTGGCAATTGTGAGTTGTGCTGCTATAAACATGTGTGTCCAAGTGTCTTTTTAACATAATGACTTCTTTTCCTTTGGGTAGATACCCAGTAGTAAGGTTGCTGGATAGAATGGTAGTTCTACTTTTACGTATTTAAAGAGTCTCCTTATTGTTTTCCGTAGTGGTTGTACTAGTTTACATTTCCAGCAGTGGTGTAAAAGTGTTCCCTTTTCACCACATTCATGCCAACATCTATTTTTTTTTATTTTTTAATTATGGCCATTCCTGTAGGAGTAAGGTGATATCTCATTGTGGTTTTAATTTACATTTCCCTGATCATTAGTGATGTCGAACATTTTTTCATGTTTATTGGCCATTTGTATATATCCTTTTGAAAATTGTCTATTTATGTCTTTTGTCCACTTTTTGACGGGATTATTCGTTTTTTTTTTCTTGCTGATTTGTTTGAGTTCTTTGTAGATTCTGGATGTTAGTCCTTTGTTGGATGCATAGTTTGCAGATAGTTTCTCCCACTCTGCGGGTTGTCTGTTTACTCTGCTGATTATTTCTTTTGCTGTGAAGAAGCTTTTTAGTTTAACTAGGTCCTATTTATTTATTTTTGTTTTTGTTGCATTTGATTTTGGGTTCTTGGTCATGAACTCTTTGCCTGAGAAAATGTCTGGGAGACTTTTTCTGATGTTATCTTCTAGAATTTTTGTGGTTTCAGGTCTTCAATTTAAGTCTTTGATCCATCTTGAGTTGATTTTTCTATAAGGTGAGAGATGAAGATATAGTTTCATTCTTCTACATGTGGCTTGGCAATTATCCTGGCATCATTTGTTGAATAGAGTGTTCTTTCCCCACTTTACATTTTTGTATGCTTTGTTGGCTGTAAGTATTTGGCTTTATTTCTGGGTTTTCTATTCTGTTCCATTGGTTTACATGAATATTTTTATACCAGTACCATGCTATTTTGGTAACTATAGCCTTGTAGTATAGTTTGAATTTGGGTAATGTGAAGCCTCCAGATTTGTTCTTTTTGCTTAGTATTGCTTTGGCTATGTGGGCTTTTATTTGGTTCCATATGAATTGTAGGATGTTTTTTCTTGTTCTGTGAAGCATGATGATGGTATTTTGATGAGAATTGTGTTAAATTTGTAGATTGCTTTTGTGGCAGTATGGTCATTTTCACAATATTGATTCTACCCATCCAAGAGCACAGGATGTGTTTTCATTTGTTTGTTCTATCTATGCTTTCTTTCAGCAGTGTTTTGTAGTTTTCCTTGTAGAGATCTTTCACCTCTTTGGTTAAGTATATTCCTAAGTATTTTATTTGTTTGCACAGGCTACAATTAAGTTGAGTTAATATAAAAATGTAAGGGGTGATAGGATTATGAAAGTTGGAATGCACAAATAGGCTTTATGTAAAGAAGTGTATGTCCTTTACCTAAACGTTTTATAGTAATGGATATTATGCCTGGCTTGAAACATTTCCCCCACCTAATATTGTAAAACCAAAACCTTCTAATGAAGTACTAATGAAGGCTACAGTTAAGAATGTAAGAGTTGATAAAATGAATGTGAAAGCTTGTAGGATAATTGGTATGTTTTAATTGGCTTTACATGAAGTAGTTCCATCTATTTTACCTAATTGTATTATGAGGATGGACTTGGGAGTGTTTCCCCTACATAGTATTGCAAAACAGAACATATGTAAATCTTCCCTTGAGGCAATGTTAATTAGACATACTAAATGGGAACCTGTAAGATTGCCAAGCCCACAGAATGTAGAATAGAAGCTGGAGTGCTGGTAGGGACAAATTCACTGTGTGACAGCCCCATGTGAAGTGTAGGCTGAGGCTTATGGCAAAAGCCTGAGAGTACCTCCCAACATTGACTACTGGGTCTTTGGGCTAAAAAAATTCCACTAGATGGGTAATTCTTAGCTTTCTATTGGATGTTAATTGAAACTGCCACTATGACTAAAGGACATAAAATAATCTTAAAACCTGAAATCCTCATGGTGTCTTGGGTGATGTCACTCTAATAAGAATGGCAGTGCCCAGAAGAGGTCCATAAGAAAATCGAAATGTTTTATACAGGATTATGCTACCTAAGGAATGTGAGAGGAGATACTCAAGAGCAGAGAGCCTCTTTTCCTCCAGGACTGACTCTCGAACTGTGTGAGGAACTACTAGATTATATCATCATTTACGCAGTGCCCTATAAACAGCTCTCAGTTGATCAACAAACAGCTGCTTGGTTTGTGGAGAGCAATTTTAAGGTGATCAGACAAAAATCCTTTTTAGAAGGCTGCTGTAATCAAAGAAAGTAAAAAAATATTTAGGTCAGTGGGCTGAATTACATGCTGTTTTTCTAGCAGTGATAAAAGAATTGAAAAGTGGTAAAAAGCCCCTTTGTTTGGGTTTTTACTAATTCATAGGCAGTGTCCAACAGCGTGGCCATATGGTCAGGCGTAAGGATAATGCAAATCTGGCCAGTTTACTAAAGAGATACCCACAAGGGACACAGCTCTATGGACACCTGAAGGATGCATTAAAGCAGAACATGTCGACACCCATCAGAACTCCTTTCCATGTTCATAAGGTGATTACAATCAACAAGCAAATTTCCTAAGTAATTGCTTAACATGGCCACCTAGGTCCATGAAAGTAGTGGACACGGGATACTACAGCAATGCAGAAATGGACTGAATCTAGGCATGCTCCTCTTGCACCTTCTGAGGCACAAAGTACCAACAAGAACTATTCTGTCTCCCTGCAACAGAGACAGAAACTGCGGATGGCTATCTGGCAGATTCTCTTGAGGGAAGGTCCTGAACATAACTGTCAAATGATATGAATGCTGGTATCCCTGGAGGGGGGCTACAAATGAGACTTGACAGGAATAGACACTGGGTGGTTGGCTTTGTCCTCATTGACTTGGAACCCAGAAATAACCAAGTCATGGTTATTTATCATGTCTACATGATAAAGTCTCCATAAAAATCCCTAAAGTATGGGGTTTGGAGAGCTTCTAGGTTGGCAAACACATCCACACACTGGGAGGGCGGCTCATTCCACTTCCACAGGGACATGCATTTATCATCTCACCTGAAAATTTGATTTCTAGATATTTGCCCAGAGAAATAAAAATGTATATGCTCACAAAGACTTGTTGACAAATATTTATAGAAGTATTATCTATGATAGCTAAAAGCTAGACTTAATTCAAATGTTCATCACTGGGTGAATGGCTAAATTACTATATCCATAAAATGGTATACAACTCATACATTTAAAAAACCAAGATACTAATACACATGACAACCTGTATGAATAGAAAAACATTATGCTGAATAAAAAAGCTATATATAAGATACTACTTACTTTGTAATTTTACTTATAAGAACTTCGAAAGCAGGCAAAACCAATACATAGTGATGAAAGGCAGATAAGTGGCTGTCTTTGGTTGAGCGTGTTGGGGAGGAGTGTGAGTGATACTTGTGGTGATAGGAATGTTTTGTATTTTAATTGTGATGGTGATTACATGGGTGTTATTTTTTGAAATTCCTTGAACTGTATACTTAAAATAGGCGTATTTACTTTTTGTATATTATTCCTTAATAAATTTTATTTAAAAAGTTAAAAAAATCATTATGACAAAGCTATAAATAAATGAAAATAAAAACAAAACAAAACAAAACAAAGAAAAGCCAGATGTAGTACTTAGCCATGGAGACTAATGATAATTTTATATATCATAAACTATGACAGTTACTATGTATAAAAACTGCTGTTAGCAAGCATCATCAATAAGACTGTAAAACAAGAAGACTGCTTTACCCTGGAGCTTTAAAGAAGACTTTGTCAGGAAGTGACATTTGTGACAAGATATGAATGATGAGCAGAGATTAACTATGTAAAGGGGGAATGATGAAGGGCAGGGGAAGAATATTCCCAACTGCAAGAAGAGCACGTGCTCTGTCGTGGTGGAAAGTGAAGTCAGCCCTGACTGGGGAACAAAAAAACTGGCTGGAATTTGGTTGAGATAAAGGTGAAGATGTAGCCAATAACTAGACCATGTAGAGCTTTATAGGATTTTAGTCTACTATCCTAAGGCTACTGAAGGATTTTAAGTTGGAAATGTTTATGTGTACCATGATCAGATTTGCATTTTTAAAATATTGTTCTGGCTTCTGGGTAGAGATTGATGAAATGGGGTTTTGGAGAATGGAAGCTGGGAAAATATTTATGTGTCTATTGCTATAATTCTGTAAGGAAATGCTGGACAGATAACAAGCTGTTGTGGTAGAAGTGGTGATGGAGAAAAGTGGACAAGTCTCAGAAATATTTGGGATCATAAAATCTGGTGTTATTTGAATAAAAAGGGGAAGGAGAGTATGCTGATGAGGTTACTTCCTACGTTTTCCTCTTGTGGAACAGGACACATAATGATGCCATTCATTGAGATAAGAAACACTGGGAAAAGATGCAATTTGGTGGAAGAAAAGTCATGAGTTTAGTTTTTGGTATATTATGGTATATTTTTTCGCCCATTTGTGCTGCCATAACAAAGTACCCAAACCAGAATGACTTGTAAACAACAAAAGTTTATTCCTCACAGTTCTGGAGGCTAGGAAGTCCAAGATCAAGGCATTTTCAGAGTCGATGACTGGTGAGGGCCAGTTTCCTGGTTCATGCATGGTGTCTTCTTGCTGTATCTTCAGATAGTGGGAGGGGCATTTCCCAAAGGCCCTGCCTCTTAATACCATCACATGAGTAATTAGTTTCCACATATGAATTTTGGGGAGAAACAAACATTCAGATCATAGCATTTCACCCCTTGCCCCCTCAAAATTCATATTTTATCACATGCAAAACACATTCATCCCATCCCAATAGTGCCCAAAATCTTAACTCATTTCAGCCTCAACTTTAACATCTAAGCCTAAAGTCTCATCTAAATATCACCTGTAAGGATGGTTAATGGGTACAAAAAAAAATAGAAAGAATGAATAAGACCTAGTATTTGATAGCAGAACAGGGCAATGGTTGTCAATAATAATTTACTTATACATTTTAAAGTAACTAAAATAGTATAATTAGATTGTTAGTAACACAAAGGATAAATGCCTGAGGAGTTGGATACCCCATCTTTTATGATGTGATTATTGCACATTGCATGCCTGTATCAAAACATCTCATGTACCCCATAAATATATATAACTACTATGTACTCACAAAAATTAAAAGTAAATAAATAAACATCATCTAAATTAGATATGGGTGAGACTCAAGGTGCATTTCATCCTGAAGCAAACTGCTCTCCAGCTGTGGACCAAATCAAACATGTTATGTGCTTCCAAAATACAATGATGTGACAGGCATAGGATAGACATTTCTATTCCAGAACAGAGAAATCAGAACAAAGAAAGGGATACAGGTCCCAAGTAAGTCTGAAATCTGACATGGTAAACAACATTAAATCTTACAGCTTGAGAGTATAATTTTCCTTTATGCTGTATCCCACATTCCAGACATACTGGGGTAATGGTTTTCCCCAAGGCTCTGGGAGGCTCCACACCCATGACTCCATTAGACATTGCCCTAGTGGGGACCCTGCAGTGGTCCCACTCTTGTGGCAGCCCTTTGCCAGGATCATACACCAAAGGCACCAGGCTGGACCATCCTTTAAAGTCTAGGTGGAGGTAGCCACACTTCCACAGCTGTGCACTCTGCACACTGGCAGTGACAGTAGTGCATAGACACTGTCAAGGTTTAGCACCTGCATCCTCCAAAGGGACAGCCACCATGATCTGCACTGTACCTGGGGCCACTGGAGCCACACCTGGGGCAGCTGAGGAGCACGGCACCAGAATACTGTCAGGCCCTTGCACACTTGGTCTGTGATGAGAGGGCAGCCATGATCTCCAAAATGTCCAGGGTCATTCTTTCATTATCTTGATGAATAACACCTGGCTTCCATTGAGTTGGCCAGTTCATATCAATGTCCTCATCAAACAGTGACTTGGCCACACCATTGTTCTCTTCCAAATAGCATTTTCTATTTTTTCCAATATGGATAGGCCAAGGATTTCCCAAATTTGTAAGTTCAGCTTCCCTCCTGATTAACAATCCTTTCTTTAAGTAATTTCTTTCTTCTTATGTCACATTTTCAACACTTAGCTTGGAAGTTTATTTAGCCAAATATTCAATTTCATTGCTCACAAGTTCTACCATCCACAAAACACTAGGACATTCAGTCATGTTTTTGTCACTTTATAACAAGGATCACCTTTCCTTCAGTTTCCAATAACATATTCCTCATTTCCATCTGAGACATTATCAGAATTTCCTTTTTCATCCATATTCCTTCCAACATTCTGATCAGAATTACTCAGGTATTCTCTAAGAAGACTGAGGCTTTCTCTACAGCTCTCCCCCCTTCCATCTGAGCCCTCACCAAAATTATACTTACCAATATATTTTTGGCAATGTGGGCTTTATTAAATATGGTTTAAATTCTTCCAGCCTCTACCCATTATTCAGTTTCAAAGCCACTTCCACATTTTTAGATATTTGTTATAGCACCCTTACTTCTCAGTACCAATGTTCTGTCTTCATCCAATTGAGCTGCTATAACAAAATACCATAAATTGAGCAGCTTATGAACAGCAGAAATTTATTTCTCACAGTTCTGAAAGCTGGGCAGCCCAAGATCAAAGTGCTGGCAAATTCGGTGTTTGGTGGGGGCCCTCTTCTTTATTCATAGATGGTTCCTTCTAGTTGTGTCCTCACATGGTAGAAGGTGCAGACTAAGTCTCTGGGGCCTTTTTCCTAAGGGCACTAATCCCATTCATGAAGGCTCCACCCTCATGACCTAATTACTTCCCAAAGGTCTCTACCCATTACTCAGTTTCAAAACCACTTTGGCATTTTTAGATATAATCCTCATACGATCGCATTGATCGTCAAGTTTCAATATATGAACTCTGGGAAGACACAAACATTCATACCCTCCCAGTGTCGCCGAGATGGCTAAATGGAGTTGTTAGGGTGCAGATATAAATTTGAAATTTGAACCAATTGTATTTCTCATCTTTACCCTTTTTCTCTAGTCCCTTTTCTGTCTTTAAAAGATTTTTCTCTTTGTTTGAAAACCCAGGGCATAATTGTTGTCTACCTAAAGTTAGATGATGAGCACAGTATATTACGTAAATTATCATGGAACATTTTGCAGAGTCAGTGCAGTGCTATGGGACTGATGTCAGTATGAAGGACTTTGAGGTCAGAAATCAGCCTGCACTAGAGATGTGTCAAGCAACATTTTTATTTGTAAAAGTTGAGGTGAAGCTTATTAGTAAGCTCAATAATTTATAGTCAACAAATATTTTCTGAGCAACTACCAAGTGCAAGCATAATCTAGATACTGCAAGACATATAAATAGTATGTTGTCTAATAATGGTTTTAAGAATGAAAAGTAAAAAAGAACCAAAGACATCATGTCCTCTTGGAAATTAGCCAAGTATACTGTCAAAGTGACATTTAATTTCACATAGTACTGGACTCAAAAACAGTAGTAGAATTCATTATTTCTGCTGTCTACCAAACGCCTCCTCACTCCAATTCAGGGACTATAACACTGAGATATACCCAGGATACCTAGGGTATATCCAGAAGCCATGTTTGAAAGCACAACTGTCTCACTGCTTAATCTTGAAACATTGAGCACATTTTGCATTCTGTTTCTCAATGTATTTATACTTGTTTATATGTGAAATATTTCCAATTACTTAAAATAAATAAAAATGATACTTCAGAAAGATGTGATGCTTGTCCTGTGGGATCATCTATTCTCTAACTTAATCCAAATACTCTAAATCTATGTATAATCTAGTTTGAAACATGTTACCATAGGTAAACCTCTGTTTAATAAATAGACATGTTCACAAAAAACTGTAAATTTTTTAAAAAAATTTACAACATGCTATTTCCAATTTATTTTTCATTATAGATTTTGAGATCTCTTTTTTGTTGTTGTTGTTGTTTTTGAGACAGAGTCGCGCTCTGTCGCCCAGGCTGGAGTGCAGTGGCGCGATCTCGGCCCAGTGCAAACTCGGCCTCCTGGGTTCACACCATTCTCCTGCCTCAGCCTCCCGAGTAGCTGGGACTACAGGCGCCCGCCACCACACCTGGCTAATTTTTGTATTTTTAGTAGAGATGGGGTTTCACCGTGTTAGCCAGGATGGTCTCGATCTCCTGACCTCGTGATCCACCTGCCTCGGCCTCCCAAAGTGCTAGGATTACAGGTGCGAGCCACCACGCCCAGCCGTTGAGATCTCTTTCTTTAGAATAATTATATGTATAATCGTGACATGTATGTTTACCAGCCGAATAACTGGAACAGAGAACAATGAGCATTTTCATTAGATAGACTACTGTTTATATTTATGTTTCGGTGATAGCTACTTAAGAAAGTTCTGTTGCTTTGACTAGAACTATGAACACATAAAAATGTTTGCTAATCGACTCCTGAGTATGATTTAAAACTACTGGCAAAAATTAAAATGTATATTTGAAATACAAGCATATTTTTATTATCATACATGATTGTAAGAGCAAGGTACTGTTTCTCTGCCAGTGACATCATGAAATAGTGAACTTTGACAGCTAAATCAATAAACCCCACACATACTTATATGTGAATATCTATCTGGTAGATTGTCATCATATTGTACATATCTGATTGAACAACAAGGAGGCTCCCCAAACCCCTATCAAAATAACCTGGAAGCATTTCCAACAATTTGAAACTTAAAAAAATTATTTTTTGGCCTGGCACAGTGGCTCATGCCTGTAATCCCTGCACTTTGGGAGGTCAAGGTGTGTGGATTACTTGAAGTCAGAAGTTCAAGACCAACCTGGCCAACATGGTGAAACACCGTCTCTACCACAAAAAACAAAAAAAAATTAGCTGGGCATGCTGGTACATGCCTGTAGTCCCAGGTACTCAGGAGGCTGAAGCAGGAGAATCGCTTGAACCTGGGAGGCAGAAGTTGGTGTGAGCTGAGATCATGCAGCTGCACTCCAGCCTGGGCAACAGAGCAAGACTCCCATCTCAAAAAAAAAAAAAAAAAAAAAACTTTATTTTTTAATTTTTAGTTTTTGTGGGTATATAGTAGGTGCATATATTTGTATATATTTAAGAAGTGCCTGGGATGTTTTGATACAGAAATGCAATGTGAGATAAACACATCATGGAGAATGGGGTATCCATCCCCTCAAGCATTAATCCTTTGTCTTATAAACAATCCAGTTAAACTCTTTTACTTATGTTCAAGTGTACAATTAAGTTATTATTGACTATAGACACCCTGTTGTAGTATCAAATAGTAAGTCTAATTCATTCTTCTCAATTATTATTTGTACACGTTAACCATCCCCCCACCAACTCCAGCCCCCCAACCCTTCTCAGACTCTGGTAACAATCCTTCTACCCTCTATCCCCATAAATTCAATTGTTTTGATTTTTAGATCCCACAAATAAGTGAGAACATGTGATGTTAGCCTTTCTGTACCTGGCTTATTTCATTTAACATAATGATCTTCAGTTCCATCTATGTTGTTGCAAATGACAGGATCTCATTTTTTTATGGCTGAATAGAACTCCATTGTGTATAAGTACTACACGCTCTATATTCATTCATCTGCTGATGGACACTTAGGTTGCTTCCAAATTTTAGCTATTGTGAACAGTGCTGCAACAAACATAGAAGTACAGATATCTCTTCAATATTCTGATTTCCTTTCTTTTGGGTATATACCCAGCAGTGGGATTGCTGAATCAAATGGTAGCTCTCTTTTTAATTTTTTGAGGAACCTCCAAACAGTTCTCCATAGTGGTTGTAGTAATTTGCAACCCCATCAACAGCGTACAAGGTTATTTTTTCTCCACATCCTTGCCAGCATGTGTTATTGTCCGTCTTTTGGATAAAAGTCATTTTAACTGGAATGAGATATCTCATTGTAGTTTTGATTTGTAATTCTCTGATGATCAAAGGTGAGCACCTTTCATTATGCCTGTTTGCCATTTGTACCTCTCTTTTTTTCAGAAATGTCTATTTTTCCTAGAGAGTTCTTTAAGCTACTTATATATTCTGATTATTAATCCCTTCTCATATAGGTATTTTGCAAATATTTTCTCCCATTCTGCGGATTGTCTCTTCACTTTGTTGATTGCAGCCTTTGCTGTGCAGAACAATACTCTGTAAGTACAGGTAACCCGAATGAACTTGGAAAAACGGGATCACATCAAGTTAAAAAGGTTCTGCATAGCAAAGGCTGCAATCAACAAAGTGAAGAGACAATCTTATTGTACTATGTCTTGAAAAATGGTTGTTTTTATTATTTTTGATTGGTTCATTGTTTAGATAGTTGTTAACTTGGTGTCCTTGCCAGGAGACAATTGGTAGAGACTTCTAGTCCACTATCTTCCTTCGCCTCCTCTCCCGAGATCCAGAATTTAAAACTTGAATATGGTTATAATATAGGCAACAGAAAAATAATCAACTTTATTATATACTGTTTTGAAAAAGACAGCAAGAGCAGCAGTCTTGACAGCAGTAAAAGCAGCACGCATCCCCCACCACTTGGGTAGAACTCGTCCTCACTTCACCTGTGCAGTTCCCATTGATAGAGCAGTAGCAAGAAGCGAGTCTCTCCATCCCAGTAGAGGAAGCAAGATAATGGGAAAAATGTTGCTATCACACTCTAAACATAAACCAAAGTTTTACACCAGAGGTATACTTAAACAAATGATTCAAAACCAAAGCAAATAAGCACACATGAGACCCAAACCAAGAAGCCTTTTGTGACTTTAACCAGGGTCTTCAAAGAGGGAACAAAAGCTGCAACCTTTCCAAAATCCAGACTACTTCCAATGACAGCTTAAAGAAAGGAATATCTTGCTAGCTGCAAATGGGGTACAACCCACAACTCTGTTTAGCTATATTTTCTATGGTCCCAACTTCTCAGGTGGCCATCTGCACCTATAGGTATGTGTGTCCCTATACAAAAAATGAAAAGAGACAAACAGTAGGTAAGACAAGAAATCAAAAGCTGTTTATGGGAACAGAAAGATACAAACAAATGGGTGCCCCAAAAGGTCAGGAGTCATACTAATGTAAATTAAAAGCAAGTATTTCAAACTATTTTTTAGAAACGTTTCTTTTTCCTCTTGACTTAAAGGATTTCCATTTTCAGAGAACTGGCTCCCTGACCTGTAATCAAAACTGGATCATGGCAATGAAAGTGTGAATGCTAGCCAGTACACTACAGGATGAAGTGCCCTGTGGCAAAACTTAAGGGAATCCAAAGCAGGCAGTTTGCACATTCAAAGGATTTTAACTTTTAAATCTGATTTCTGTTTTTTAAATCTTACCTAGGAAGTTGCTAAGGCTATATTTCTGTTGTATCTTTTCATAGGTACTAAAAACTCACTGTTTAAGACAACAGCTCTCTAAAACTTTTTTTTTTAATATAGCCCATTTATTTGTCTGTGAGCTAAAGCTATGAGGACTGGCTGCTGGGCTTCCCTGAAGCCTTGCACACATCTTGCTGTGAGCTTCTGTCTTTTGTTTTAAGCCTCTCAATCCTGGAGTCTGGACAGGTGGCTACGATGATGTCTGGGGTCATATGTGTCTGCAGTGCCTGGGCCACTAGCTACAAGGAGAGCTTAGCCCAGTATGGCTCCATCTTTCCTGGCCTAGCTCTGCTTCCTGGCCATGCTGGGAGGGGTTGGATCCTCTAGGCATCATCTTCACAGCTCTATCCTCTGTCCTTGGCTCTGTATCTGGTGTGTAAATCCAAAACCCAGATAGGCCTTGCCTTTCTTAGCTTCTCTGGGTGCCATGTGGGAACTTTGGACAAATGTGTTTGGGAAGAGAAAGGGGAGGGTACTTGTGTCCAGTATTTCAAAGACCTTGGTTAAGATAAGATTGGTTGATGCGGGGTTAGCCTAGTTTTGCTTTTTCAATAGAAAAAATAACTTAAATGGCTAGCTTTGTTTTCCATAAACAATTCAAATATAATTGTTAAGAATGAGTACATTAGGTACATGTAAATTAAATAAATGTTTATAAATAAAACTTGGTTTCAAAAATCTATTTGGTAATTTAAAACTTTAAAGGTCTGTTATGTTCAATTAAGTAATAGATAATCATGAAATGGCTGAGTCATTTTAAGTAAGCAAAAATACTGAAATATTAATTATTAAATGTAAGTTTAAGTTTAAACATATGTACTTTGACATTTTGTTTTTATATGGTACAGAAAAGTTAAATATATCTAGATCTGCTGGAAAACATTTTACAAATTGAGAAAAACATCTTTCTAGAAATTATAAAATGATTTTCATCCCTGAATACTGATATAAAACAATTCAAAAGTACTTGCTTCTTAGGTTTTCACTAGAAATTAAGGTTACTAAGAGTTATAATTGTAATTAATATATGTAATTAAAACTACTAAATATAAGAAACTAATAAATATACAAAATATAAAACTACTAAATATACATAGTATATAATGAAAATAAGATGTTATAAGGTATGAGGATGTGTTTTTTGTTGAGAAAAAATGATTTTTGTCTAGGTGGAAGTTATTTAAAAGTTGTTTCTGAAGAAAAATTAATGAGTAAAGGAATGAATGTTATAGATAAAAATAAATGGATATTAAAAGTTGAGAAAATATGAAAAAATGTAAGAGATTCAAGAAAGTTTATCGTAATCTTGTGTGGTGAAAGCTGACTGAGGTAGAATGGATTTGTTTACAAGGTTTTATTAAAATTGGCTTTAGTATTAATAGCACCCTGGTACAAAACTAAAATTTAGTGTTCTTTTTTATAAAATATTTTCATGTAATACTGATAAAAGACAATAGAGATTTTTGTTCACCTTTTGAGTAAACTGCAAAAAAAAAAAAGAGAGAGAGAGAGAGAAACATTCTGTGTGCCTCATACTGTCTTTTTTGGTCTTTTGGTTATTTCTGAAACTGAGTCTCCTCTCCATCAATGAGTAAAGGTTTTTGTTTTTTGAAATCTTTCAATTATCATTTTGGTTAAATAAATGACTATTATTACACAGGGAGTGTGATTCTATTTTTGATCAAGTGTTTTGAAACTTTCTTTTTGATAAACTTTCCAAATCAAATTCAAATTAAGTCTTTTTGACCTCAGACTAACTTTGAAATGTTTTAGAGGGTTCCAAAACATTTTAAATCTTTTTCAAATTGTATTTGTAAAAATATGTTATTATGTGTTCCAAATTGTATACGTTTTTTGAAATACTGGTATGTCTTTGTATATGTTATCAGCAAAAATTATAATTATTATGTTAAATTGTTGTAGGACACATAAAATAACCAGTTTTCCCTGTAAATTGTGTCTTTAAGCGTGACTATTTTAAGTCTTGTCCTCAGTCAATTGCCTTATTTTGGTATTCTTTATAAAAGCATTTTACAGTCAACTGAAGCCCAAAATTTGCTTCTTCGTCAATGAAGTTTATGGAAAGGACCCTGACAAGTACTCTTAGAAACAAGTTTCTTGATATTAGACCTTTGTCAGATGGGTAGATTGCAAATTTTCTCCCATCCTGTAGGTTGCCTGTTCACTCTGATGATAGTTTCTTTTGCTATGCAGAAACTCTTTAGTTTAATTAGATCCCATTTGTCAATTTTGGCTTTTGTTGCCATTGCTTTTGGTGTTTTAGTCATGAAGTCTTTGCCCATGCCTATGTCCGGAATGGTATTGCCTAGGTTTTCTGCTAGGGTTTTTATGGTTTTGGGTTTTACATTTAAGTCTTTAATCCATCTTGGGTTAATTTTTGTATAAGGTATAAGGAAGGGGTCCAGTTTCACTTTTCTGCATATGGCTAGCCAGTTTTCCCAGCACAATTTATTAACTAGGGAATCCTTTCCCTATTGCTTGTTTTTGTCAGGTTTGTCAAATATCAGATGGTTGCAGATGTGTGATGTTATTTCTGAGGTCTCTGTTCTGTTCCATTGTTCTATATCTCTGTTTTGGTACCAGTACTATGCTGTTTTGGTTACTGTAACCTTGTCTACAAGGAACTGAAACAAATTTACAAGAAAAAACAAACAACCCTATCAAAAAGTGGGTGAAGGATATGAATAGACATTTCTCAAAGGAAGACATTTATGCAGCTAACAAACATATGAAAAAAAGCTCATCATCACTGGTCATTAGAGAAATGCAAATCAAAACCACAATGAGATACCATCTCACTCCAGTTAGAATGGGAATTATTAAAAACTCAGGAAACAACAGATGCTGGGGAGGCTGTGGAGAAATAGGAATGCTTTTACACTGTTGGTGGGAGTGTAAATTAGTTCAACCATTGTGGAAGACAGTGTGGTGATCCTCAAGGGTCTAGAACCAGAAATACCATCTGACCCAGCCATCCCATTACTGGATATATACCCAAAGGATTATAAATCATTCTACTATAAAGGCACATGCACACCTATGTTTATTGAAGCACTATTTATAATAGCAAAGACTTTGAACCAACCCAAATGCCCATCAATGATAGACTGGATAAAGACAATGTAGCACATATACACCATGGAATACTATGCACCCATAAAAAAGAATGAATTCATGTCCTTTGTAGGGACATGGATGAAGCTGGAAGCCATCATTCTCAGCAAACTAACACAGGAACAGAAAACCAAACACTGCATGTTCTCACTCATAAGTGGGAGTTGAACAATGAGAACACATGGATACAGGGAGGGGAACATCACACACCGGGGCCTGTCGGGGGGTGGCGGGCAAGGGAGGGAGAGCATTAGGACAAATACCTAATGCATGTGGGGATTAAAACCTAGATGATGGGTTGATAAGTGCAGCAAACCACCATGGCACATGTATACCTATGTAACCTGCACGTTCTGCACATGTATCCCAGAACGTAAAGTAAAATTAAAAAAAAAAAAAGAAGTTTAATAAAAACAAAAAGTTTTTTTTTTATCACTTTAAGACCATATCATTGGACTGGGGAAAATGTCAGAAGTCTAAGAGAAATAGTGGACTGATAAAATTGCTAACCCAACATCAATCAAAACAAGAATTAATTTCATGGGTCTAAACTGATGGGCCAAAATGATGACTTTTTTGTATGAATTATTGCTCATTCTCTTTTTATGTTTTGTTTCCCAGAGTTAAGAAATCTTTCTTTCTTTCTCTTGGCTACCTATAGCTTTACAGTAATTTGATAAAGTATACTTTTGTGACCAAAATCAAAACATTTACCTTTCTCCTTACCTGGTCACCCTAGAACTTGAAAACTATCCATGAGTATTCTTACTTCATGGCAAAATATTTATTTGCATAAGTTCAATAAATTTTGTTTTCTTTTGCAACAGGATACAATTGGAGACTCTGATTATTTTACCAAGACATTGACTGAAATGTAATGTTTTCAGATATACCTGAATTGCTTTGAAGGAATGAGGTTGACTTTATATAGCCAATATGCTTGGAAAAATACTGGCCTGGTATCTTGTGTACACCGTTTCCTTACAAGGTTCCTGGCCTTGGGTAAGTAATAACTGTCATTTTCTGACAGACCCAGGAACCTCAGGGTATTTGAGGGACTTCCAAAAGAGAGAAATTCACCAAATCCATACATGTATTACAGACACAGTCTGATCATGAGTTCTTGGCTTGACTCTTAAACTTTTGATAGGCTTTTAAAAGTCTAATCTGACATTTCTTGTGAAAAGTTCCAGCAAATCCAATTTAAAAACAACCTATGTGAGATAAATCACTCTTCTTACTGTACTTTATGCAAATAGTCAGCCCAAGTTTATGAATCCAAATATATTTAACAAATAAATTAGTCTTGTAAATACATTTGGTAGAAATGGGGGACAGGAGAGAGAAAAATGATGTTTCTCAACAAAATCTATACTACACTCATTATTAGATTCCAGCTCATTGGTTTTTGATATTGTAACCACCCAGCAGGTTCACCTTGCCTGCTGCCTCGATAGAGCTGATTTATCAAGACAGGGAATTGCAGTAGAGAAAGAAGAATCCACACAGAACTGGCTGTGTCGCAGACAGGAGTTTTATTATTACTCAAATTAGTCTCCCTGAGCATTTAGGGGATCTTTTTAAAGATAATTTGGTGGGTAGGGGCTCGGGAAGTGGGGCATCCTGATTGGTCAGGTTGGAAATGGAATCATAGGGGGTCAAAGTAAGTTTCTCTTGCTGTCTTTTGTTCCTAGGTGGGATCGAAGAACTGGTTGAGCCAGATTACAGGTCTGGGTGTTGTCAGCTGGTGAATCAAGTCGGCAACATATCTCAATCACTGATCTTAGGTTTTACGATAGTGATGTTATTCCCAGGAGCAATTTGAGGAGGTTGAGATTCTTGCAGCTGGAGGCTGCATGGCATCTAAACCATAATTTTTAATCTTGTAGCTCATTTGTTAGTTCTACAAAGACATACTGGTCCTCAGGCAAGAAGGGGCTCTTTTTGGGAAAGGGCTACTATCAACTTTGTTTCAACATCAAACTATAAACTAAATTCCTTCCCAAGGTAAGTTTGGCCTACACTCAGGAATGAACGAGGGCAGCTTAAAGATTAGAAGCAAGATGGAGTTGGTCAGGTCTGATCTCTTTCACTGTCATAATTTCCTCAGTTAGAATTTTTGCAAAGGCAGTTTCAATATTTTGTTATTTACCGGCAATTTGAACTGCATCTGAATTTTTTATGGTTTCCTCCAATATCTGGCTGTGAGTTGCCAAATTAACATTTTCTTTTTTTTTCTCTCCAACCCTTCTGCATCACTAAAATTAAAACTGTGTTTTCCTTGAAGCCTTACAAACTGACAAATAGACTCCAGAGAAATCACAATGATGGCATGTGTATGGATAACTTTTATGCTTGAAAACTCTGTCAGATTACCACTGTCTTCCCTGCTACAAGTGAAGATGCTTCAAACCCATTCCAGAAGTCTTCTAAACTCACTGCCCTCTAGACTCTAGAAAAACTAGCCTATAGACTACTTCAAACATTAATCTTTGTTTTTCTTCTGTTTCCATAGAAATGCCTCTTATTAAAGATCTGTTTGCTGCATCATATATACAGGCTGAGCTTTCTCAGTCCAATTGCAATGCCATCTCCTGAAATGAAACACAAGTGTTTAACTGAACTAATCTATTCCCAGGACTAAGAAACTGATTCAAAACGGTATGAAACAGTATACTAAAATTTGTTCCTTTTTGCTTGTTCTTCCCTTTGCCAGTCTCTTATCTCATAACTTCTAACCCAAACTTTTCTATAGCTACCAATTCTACTTTAATATGTACAACTTTCTGAAAATAAAGATTCAAATGGGGAAATGAAACAAATATTTGACCCCAAAACATACTTCTGTAGCATATTTTAAGATGACTAATGAGAGGGGCTACAAATACAAAAGAATAGCTGAAAATCTGCATTTTGTGGAGGAGATTTGCATCTGTAGAGGAAATCTACATTAGTAAACTGAAGTAAACAACAGATGCAAACATGTTGCTCTGAGCACCTACCTACTCACCATCTTAGATATAGAAAAGATTATCTAACAGGAAAAGGAGACTAAAGGTCTGTCAGAGAAACTTGTACCACAGGCTACCATCTTTTCATTTTTGAGAGATGCCACCTGTGAGGTTTTGTCTGCATAACAAGAAGACCTTTGCTCTATACCTTTTCCCTTCTCTCCCTTCCATAACCTGTCTTGCCATGCTCTAAGCATCTATTTTTTCTGTAACCTCAGGAAGGTTATAAAAACTTCAGACATCTGATCCCTCCTTTGAGCCTCATACTCTGTGAATGACTCCTGTGCCCACATGCATGTTAATAAATTGGTATCCCTTTTTTTCCTGGTAGTCTGTCTATTATTAGTTTGTTTTATAAACTCAAATTATTGAAACTTCAGAAAACATTGAGAAGAAAACTATTTTTGTCTCTGCAAAGTCAACTGATTTTCTTTCTGGAAGCATTCATCTAATTACAATTCTAGCATTATGAGGTTGAAGGTATTCTGATATTTTATCAGACTTAACAACAATAATATTTCACACTGAATTAATGTTCTCTTGAAGTTATAAGAATTGACTACTCAGCACGTGGTGAATAACGTTCAGTTTTAATGTTCTTTGATGATGGAGCCGTCTCAGAATTCAAAAGCTGCTCACACGCCATTTAACATTGCAGTTAAATGGAATTACAATCAGCTTGAATAAAGCCCTACTGGAGAGAAGTTTTTAAATGAAGCAGTCATCATTCAACGCTATTGATTACATTCTCCTTGGGGATTGGCTCCAGCTCTCATTTGTGGTTTCTCTTTTTAATACTTTGTAAAGCATTCTGCAAAATGAAATACACAAGTAATAGAGGGCTTATTTTCTGGAATGTGTTAGCAGTTGTCACATTTTAGATTTATAAGTCACAGCACCATTCATTTTTCATATTACAGTTTTGAAATGGGCTCATTTCTTTGCAATTTTATGCCAGAGTTAAAATGTCAGCTACACATCAATTCCAAAAATTCAAATGGAATTTGGTGGGAGTCACGGGAATTCTAAAGATATTGGTTCTGCTCAAGTCATTCTTCCAAAATATATTCTTCCTTTACCTCCACTGAAAAAGCATCCTCTAAGAGGATGGGGATTTTGCAATTTTAGCCTGCCTGAAATTAATTTATTATTTAACCCTCATGGTTTATTCTCTCAAATCCTTGTTTTCTATTCTTATCTTCTTTTGATGTTTCTTCACATTATAGGGCATGTTAGTCACTTCCCAAGGCATAGTTTCTAGCAATGTATTAAAACACATATACATATGTAGCAGGACGAGCCACAGACAAAACCCCTCAGACACCGAGTTGTAGAAGGAAGGGCTTATCTGGGAGCATCGGCAAGCTACTGCCTTAAAATCCGAGCTCCCTGAGTGCACAATTTCTGTCCCTTTTAAGGGCTCACAACACTAAAGATTTTACATGAAAGGATCGTGACTGATTGAGCAATCTAGGGGATACGTAACAGGGGTTCATGCACTGGTAGTCAGAGAGAAACAGAAGAGGGCAGGGAGTTTCACAATGTTCTTCTATACAATGTCTGGAATCTATTAATAACATCGGTTTCTAAGTTATGAGTTGATTTTTAACTACTGGGTTTAGGCCAGGCAGGCCCAGGCCTAGTTTCGGGCCTGGTACCAGGCTGCCTGTCTTTGGTTTTACTTCCTTGTTGTTGTTGTTTTTTTCTTAAAAAAGGTACTGAGTATAAAACAATATAAAACAATATGAGAGGGTCTCTCTCTTCCCTCATATACAGAGTTAGAAAAGTGTCTCTTGTATTCTCATCCTACAACCATAATCTCTCCCCTTCAACTCTGCTGGACGATTCTGTTGAGGGCCTTTCAAGTTGACAAAATAAATATTGAAAGTTTGAGAAAGAGAGGGTGCACATTAGTTGCCACAAAATTTACATGTGTCATTGAGAATGATCTTTCTTCCTAGCTGGCAGCTCTTCCGAGTGTGTTTGTAAATAGTCATTTGTTGCTTAATGATGGAGATATGTATTGAGAAATGCATTGTTAGTTGATTTCATCATTGCACAAACATCATACACAAGCCTAGATGGTGTAGCATACTACACACCTAGAATATACGGTATAGACTATGACTGCTAAGCTTACAAATGTACAGAATGTTACTGTACTGAAAATTGTAGGCAATTATATCATAATGGTAACTATTTGTGTATCTAAACATATTTAAACATAGAAAAGATAGAGCAAAAATAAAGTATTATAATCTTATGGGACCACTATTATATGTAGTCCCTTGTTGACTGAAACATTGTTATATGGCACATGACTATATTTGCATGTGTATCCATACATTAATTCTTCACACACTGGATGTACACTCTATTCAGAGCACAGAGTTAGAAAGTTAGATGCTAAGGAGCAAAAATGATTCAGACAGAAATAATATTTTCAAGGTGGAATCTTCTTTTTAATACCTATTTGGTATGGGCAATAATTACTATAAGTGTAGATACATAGAATAATCTCAGATGGTAAGTAATAAAGAAAATTGATGGCATTGCATTGGACCTTAAAGGATGAGTAGATGTCGAAAAGATGGTATTTCAAAGATAAATAACTGTATGAGCAAACATGCAGGGAGAGGTGGAAGCACTATTGGCAGTAAAGACATATGTCTGATAACATTATGGGGTTCACTTTGAGGAGCAGGAACAAATAGAACTGGAAAGATAGACTGGAAACTGTAGATGTTTAAACACAAAGATGAGTCAGCCCTCATTAAGACAGGCTGTACCTTGAGAGTTTCATCTCCCGAACGAATGAGAAATGGAATTGATCTTGTAGCTTGAAATTCGGTATTTCTTATGTCTAGGAAAACTTGAACCACACTTGCCCACTTAGTAAGTTTTTAAAATCTTTATATCTAGGATACTGTCACGGTTTTCTGATTTAATCTACAATAGCTCTTGTTGTAATTAAAGTTCTGCTGTGAAGCATGGTCTGCTTGGCTGATCCCTTCCTTCTAGGGACTGCACCTAGGATTCTTTTTTTAATTTAGGACTTATGTTGACTTTTGGTTTAGTATTTTTATTTTTTTAATTTTTTGTGGGTACATAGTGGCTGTATATATTTATGGGGTACATGAGGTGTTTTGAGACAGGCATGCAATGTGAAATAAGCACATCATGAAGAATGAAGTTTCCATCCCATTAAGCATTTATCCTTTGAGTTACAAACAATCCAATTACACAGTCTAAATTATTTTAAATTGCACAACTAAGTTATTGTCAACTATAGTCACCCTTTTGTGCTATCAAATAGGTTTTATTCATTCTTTCTAACATTAATTTTTTGTACTTATTAACCATCTCCATCTCCAGCCCAGCCCACTCTACCCTTCCCAGCCTCTAGTAACCATCGTTCTACTCTCTACTTCCATGAGTTCAATTGTTTTGATTTTTAGATCCCACAAATTATTGAGAACATGCAATATTTGCCTTACTGTGCCTGGCTTATTTCAGTTAACATAATGATCCCCAGTTCCTTCTACATTGTTGCAAATGACAAGATCTCATTGTTTTTTATGGCTGAATAGTACTCTGTTGTATATTATGTACCATATTTTGTTCATTCACTCATCTGTTGACAGATATTTAGGTTGCTTCCAAATGTTAGCTATCGTAAACAGTGCTGCAGCTGTAGGAGTGCAGATATCTCTTTGATATACTGATTTCCTTTCTTTTGAGTATATAACCAGCAGTGGGATACTGTATCATATGGTAGCTCAATTTTTAGTATTTTGAGGAACCTCCAAACTGTTCTTCGTGGTGATTGTACTAATTTACATTCCCACCAACACTGTGCAAGTGTTCCCTTTTCTCCACATTCTCACTAGCATTTGTTATTGCCTGTCTTTTGGATATAAGGCATTGTAACTGGGTTGAGATGATATGTCATTGTAGTTTTGATTTGCATTTCTCTGATGATCTGTGCTGTTGAGCACCTTCTCATATGCCTGTTTTCCATTTGTATGTCTTGTATTGAGAAATGTCTATTCAATCTTCTGCCCATTTTTAGATAGGATTATTAGATTTTTTCCCATTGAATTGTTTGAGCTCCTTATATATTTGGGTTATCAATCCCTTGTCAGATGGATAGTTTGCAAATATTTTCTCCCATTCTGTAGGTTGTCTCTTCATTTTGTTGATTGTAACATTTGCTGTGTAGAAGCTTTTTAACTTGTGATCCCATTTGTCCACATTTGCTTTGGCTGCCTTTGCTTCTGGGGTATTGCTTGAAGACGTTTTGGTCCAGACAAAATGGAGATTTTCCTCAATGTTATCTTGTAGTATTTCCATAGTCTAAGGTCTTAGATTTAAGTCTTCAACCCATTTTGATTTGATTTTTGTATATGGCAAGAGATAGGGATCTAGTTTCATTTTTCTGCATATGGATATCAAGTTTTCCTAGCACAATTTATTGAAGAGAATGTCCCTTCCCCAGTTTATATTTTTGGCACCTTTGTCAAAAAGGAAGTCACTGTTGAAGTGTGGATTTGTTTCTGGGTTCTCTATTCTGTTCCTTTGGTCCATGTGTCTGTTTTTATGTCAATACCATGCTGTTTTGTTTACTATAGCTCTGTAGTAAAATTTGAAGTCAGGTAATGTGATTTCTCCTTTTTTTTTTTTTTTTTGCTTAGGATAGCTTTGGCTATTCTGGGCCTTTTGTGGTTCCATATAAGTTTTAGGTTTTTTTTTTTTCTATTTCTGTGAAGAACGTCATTGGTATTTTGATAGGGATTGCATTGAATCTGTAGATTGCTTTGGCCAATGTGTCCATTTTCACAATATTGATTTTTCCAATTTATGAGCATAGAATATTTTTCTATTTTTCAGTGTCCTCTTCAATTTCTTTCATAGTTTTTTTTATTATAAAGTTTTATAGTTTTCATTATAGAGATCTTTCACTTCTTTGGTTAATTCCCCAGTATTTAGTTTTCTTTTTAGGTATTGTAAACGGGATTATTTTCTTGATTTCTTTTTCAGATTGTTCATTGTTGGCATGTAGAAATGCCACTGATTTTGCATATTGATTTGGTATCCTGCAACTTTACTGGATTTATTTACAGGTTCTAATTGTTTTTTTTTTTTTCTTTTTCAGAGTCCTTAGGTTTTTCCAAATATAACACCATATTAGCTGCAAAAAAGGATAATTTTATTTCTTCCTTCCCAATTTGGGTGCCATTTATAGCTTTCTCTTGTCTGATTGCTCTAGTTAGAACTTCCAGTACTATGTTGACTAACAGTGGTGAAAATGGGCATCTTTGTTGTGTTCCAGATCTTGGAGGGAAGGGCTTCCATTTTTCCCCATTCAGTATGATATTAGGTCTGGGTCTGTAATATATGGCTATAATTATGTTGAGGTATGTTCATTCTACCCCCTGTTTTTTCAGGACTTTTATCATAATGGCATGTTGAATTATATCAAATGCTTTTCTAGTATTAGTTGACATAATCATACAATTTTTCTCCTTCATTCTGTTGATATGATGTATCACATTGATTGACTTGCCTATGTTGCACCATCATTGAATCCCATGGATAAATCCCACTTGGTCATGATGAATAATCTTTCTAATGTATTGTTGAATTTAGTTTGCTAGCATTCTGTTGAGGATTTTTGCATCAATATTCATCAGAGATATTGGCCTGTAGTTTTCTTTTTTTGATGTGTTTTTGTCTGGTTTTGGTAGAAGGGTAATACTGGCCTCATATAATGCATTTGAAAGTATTCCCACCATTATTTTTCAGAATATTTTGCGTGGGCGTTACTGGGAAACTTAAGTCTCGCAGTAAAGAAAAGCCTGGGACCTGAAGGTTTCACAGATGAATTGTACCAAAAATTTAAAGAAGAACCTCTCTCTTGCCGTATACAAAGACTTATGGCTTATTACAACTTTGACCTCATTACTGTTGTTGTTCAGGTTTTGGATTTCTTCATGGTTCAATCTTGGTAGGTTTTACGTATGTAATAATTTGTCCATTTCTTCTAGATTTTTCAATTTATTGGCATATAGTTGTTCATAGTAGCCACTAATGATCCTTTGAATTTCTACAGCATCAGTTGTAACGTCTTCTTTTTCTTGTCTGATTTTATTTATTTGGACCTTCTTTCTTTTTTTCTTAGTCTGGCTAAAGGTTTGTCAATGTTGTTTAACTTTTCAAAAAACCAACTTCTTGTTTCATTGATCTTTTATATTTTTTTATTTCAATTTTATTCATTTATCTTCTGATCTTCATAATTTCTTTTCCTCTACTAAATTTGGGGCCTGATTTGCTCTTGCTTTTTTAGTTCTTTAAGACACATTGTATTGCTTATTCTAAGTTTTTCCTCATTTTTGATGCAGCTACTTGTAACTATAAACTTCCATCTCAGTAGTGTTTTTGCTGTATCCCATATGTTTCGGTATGTTGTGTTTCTATTATCATTTCTTTCAAAGAATTTTTCAATTTTCTTCTTAATTTCTTCATTGACCTACTGGTCATTTGGGAGCATATGGTTTCATTTTCATATATTTGTATAGTTTCCAAAATTCCTATTGTTACTAATTTCTAGTTTCATTTCATTGTAGTCAGAGAAGATTCTTGATATTACTTCAAATTTTTGAATGATTTAAGACTTGTTTTGTGACTTAACGTATGTTTTATCCATGGGAATAATCCATGTGCTGGTGAAAAAAATGTATATTCTCCATCCATTGAATGAATGAAATCTTCTGTAAATATCTATTAGATCCATTTGCTCTATAGTGCAGATGAAGTCTGATGTTTCTTTGTTGATTTTCTGTCTGGAGGATCTCTCCAATGCTGAAAGTGGGGTGTTGAAGTCTCCAGCTATTACTGCACTGGAACTTATCTCTCTGTTAACTTCTAATAATATTTTCTTTATATATTTGGGTGCTCCAGTGTTGGGTGCATATATATTTAAAATTCTTATATACTTTTGCCTAATTGACCCCTTTGTCATTATATAGTGACCTTCTTTTTCTCTTTTGATTTTTGCCTTGAAATCCATTTTGTCTGATATAAGTATAGCAACTTCTGCTCTCTTTTGCTTTCCATTGGCATGGGACATCTTTTCCGGTCCCTTTATTTTTATCCTATGTGTGTCTTTATAGATGAAATGTGTTTCTTGTAGTCATCAGGTCAATGAGTCTTGTTTTTCTCATCCATTCAGCCAGTCTATATCTTTTGTTGGACAGTTTAGTTTATTCACATTCAATGTTATTATTGATAAGTAAGGGCTTACTCCCACCATTTTGGTATTTGTTTTGTGATTGTTTCGTGGTCTTCTCTTCCTTTTTTCTTTCATTCCTGTCTTCCTCTACTAAAGATGGTTTTCTCTGGTGATATGATTGAGTTTCTTGACTTCTTTGTGCGTGTATCTATTGTATGTTTTTTGGTTTGCGTTTATCATGAGGCTTGCATATACTGTCTTATTACCCATTATTTTAAGCTGATAAGAAGTTAACACTATCTGCTACAGTGCACAAAACAAACAAGCAAAACAAACATAAACAAACAAGCAAAAGAAAACTAATAAAAACTTGACTTTGAACTCGGGGGGGGCGGTTCCAAGATGGCCGAATAGGAACAGCTCCAGTCTATAGCTCCCAGTGTGAGCAACACAGAAGACAGGTGATTTCTGCATTTCCAACTGAGGTACTGGGTTCATCTCACTGGGGCTTGTCAGAGAGTGGGTGCAGGACAGTGGGTGCAGTGCATTGAGCATGAGCTGAAGCAGGGCGAGGCATCGCCTCACCCAGGAAGCACAAGAGGTCAGAGAATTCCCTTTCATAGCCAAGCAAACTGTGACAGACAGCACCTGGAAAATCGGGTCACTCCCACCCTAATACTGCACTTTTCCAATGGCCTTAGCAAACAGCACACCAGGAGATTATATCCTGTGCCTGGCTCAGAGGGTCCCACGCCTGTGGAGCCTCGCTCATTGCTAGCACAGCAGTCTGAGATCGAACTGCAAGGCAGCAGTGAAGCTGGGGGAGGAGCACCCGCCATTGCTGAGGCTTGAGTAGGTAAACAAAGTGGCCGGGAAGCTGGAACTGGGTGGAGCCCACCACAGCTAAAGGAGGCCTGCCTGCCACTGTAGACTCCACCTCTGGGGACAGGGCATAGCTGAACAAAAGGCAACAGAAACCTCTGCAGACTTAAATGTCCCTGTCTGACAGCTTTGAAGAGAGTAGTGGTTCTCCTAGCACAGAGTTCGAGATCGAAGAATGGACAGACTGCCTCCTCAAGTGGGTCCCTGACCCCCGAGTAGCCTATCTGGGAGGCACCCCCCAGTAGGGGCAGACTGACACCTCACACGGCCGGGTACTCCTCTGAGATGAAACCTCCAGAGGAACGATCAGACAGCAACATTTGCCATTCAGCAATATTCGGTGTTCTGCAGCCTCCGCTGCTGATACCCAGGCAAACAGGGTCTGGAATGGACCTCCAGCAAACTCCAACAGACCTGGAGCTGAGGGTCCTGACTGCTAAAAGGAAAACTAACAAACAGAAAGGACATCCACACCAAAACCCCATCTGCACATCACCACCATCAAAGACCAAAGGTAGATAAAACCACAAAGATGGGGAAAAAACAGAATAGAAAAACTGAAAATTCTAAAAATCAGAGCGCCTATCCTCCTCCAAAGGAACGCAGCTCCTCACCAGCAATGGAACAAAGCTGGATGGAGAATGACTTTGACAAGTTGAGAGAAGAAGGCTTCAGACAATCAAACTTCTCCAAGCTAAAGGAGGAAGTTCGAACCCATTGCAAAGAAGTTAAAAACCTTGAAAAAAGATTAGATGAATGGCTAACTAGAATAACCAATGCAGAGAAGTCCTTAAAGGACCTGATGGAGCTGAAAACCATGGCACGAGAACTGCGTGATGAATGCACAAGCTTCAGTAGCCGATTCGATCAACTGGAAGAAAGGGTATCAGTGATGGAAGATCAAATGAATGAAATGAAGCAAGAACAGAAGTTTAGAGAAAAAAGAGTAAAAAGAAACGAGCAAAGCCTCCAAGAAATAGGGGATTATGTGAAAAGACCAAATCTACGTCTGATTGATGTACCTGAAAGTGACAGGGAGAATGGAACCAAGTTAGAAAACACTCTGCATTACGTTATCCAGGAGAACTTCCCCAACCTAGCAAGGCAGGTCAACATTCAAATTCAGGAAATACAGAGAACGCCACAAAGATACTCCTCAAGAAGAGCAACTGCAAGACACATAATTGTCAGATTCACCAAAGTTGAAATGAGGGGAAAATGTTAAGGGCAGTCAGAGAGAAAGGTTGGGTTACCCACAAAGGGAAGCCCATCAGACTAACAGCAGATCTCTCGGCAGAAACTCTACAAGCCAGAAGAGAGTGGGGGCCAATATTCAACATTCTTAAAGAAAAGAATTTCCAACCCAGAATTTCCTATCCAGCCAAACTAAGCTTCAAAAGTGAAGGAGAAATAAAATCCTTTACAGACAAGCAACTGCTGAGAGATTTTGTCACCACCAGGCCTGCCCTACAAGAGATCCTGAAGGAAGCACTAAACATGGAAAGGAACAGCCGGTACCAACCACTGCAAAAACATGCCAAATTGTAAAGACCATCGATGCTAGGAAGAAACTGCATCAACTAACAAGCAAAGTAAAAAGCTAACATCATAATGACAGGATCAAATTCACACATAACAATATTAACCTTAAATGTAAATGGGCTAAATGCTCCAATTAAAAGACACAGACTGGCAAATTGGATAAAGAGTCAAGACCCATCAGTGTGCTGTATTCAGGAAACCCATCTCATGTGCAGAGACACACATAGGCTTAAAATAAAGGGATGAAGGAAGATCTACCAAGAAAATGGGAAACAAAAAAAGGCAGGGGTTGCAATCCTAGTCTCTGATAAAACACACTTTAAACCAACAAAGATCAAAAGAGACAAACAAGGCCATTACATAATGGTAAAGGGATCAATTCAACAAGAAGAGCTAACTATCCTAAATACATATGCACCCAATACAGGAGCACCCAGATTCATAAAGCAAGTCCTTAGAGACCTACAAAGAGATTAGACTCCCACATAATAATAATGGGAGACTTTAACACTCCATTGTCAATATTAGATAGATCAATGAGACGGAAAGTTAACAAGGGTATCCAGGAATTGAACTCAGCTCTGCACCAAGCAGACCTAATAGACATTCATAGAACTCTCCACCCCAAATCAACAGAATATACATTCTTCTCAGCACCACACCACCCCTATTCCAAAACTGACCACATAGATGGAAGTAAAGCACTCCTCATCAAATGTAAAAGAACAGAAATTATAACAAACTGTCTCTCAGACTGCAGTGCAAATCAAACTAGAACTCAGGATTAAGAAACTCACTCAAAACCACTCAACTACATGGAAACTAAACAACCTGCTCCTGAATGACTACTGGCTACATAACAAAATGAAGGCAGAAATAAAGATGTTCTTTGAAACCAACAAGAACATAGACGCAACATACCAGAATCTCTGGGACACATTCAAAGCAGTGTGTAGAGGGAAATTTATAGCACTAAAAGCCCACAAGAGAAAGCAGGAAAGATCTAAATTTGACACCCTAACATCACAATTAAAAGAACTAGAGAAGCAAGAGCAAAAGCTAGCAGAAGGCAAGAAATAACTAAGATCAGAGCAGAATTGAAGGAGATAGAGACAGAAAAAACCCTTCAAAAAATCAATGAACCCAGGAGATGGTTATTTGAAAATATCAACAAAATTGATAGACTGCTAGCAAGACTAATAAAGAAGAAAAAAGAGAAGAATCAAATAGATGCAATAAAAAATGATAAAGGGGATATCACCACCAATCCCACGGAAATACAAACTACCATCAGAGAATACTAAAAACACCTCTACACCAATAAACTAGAAAATCTGGAAGAAAAGGATAAATTCCTGGACACATACACTCTCCTAAGACGAAACCAGGAAGAAGTTGAATCTCTGAATAGACCAATAATAGGCTCTGAAATTGAGGCAATAATTAATAGCTTACCAACCAAAAAAGTCCAGGACAGATGGATTCACAGCCGAATTCTACCAGAGGTACAAGGAGGAGCTGGTACCATTCCTTCTGAAACTATTCCAATCAATAGAAAAAGAGGGAATCCTCCCTAACTCATTTTATAAGGCCAGCATCATCCTGATACCAAAGCCTGGCAGAGACACAACAGAAAAAGAGAATTTTAGACCAATATCCCTGATGAACATCAATGCAAAAATCCTCAATAAAATACTAGCAAACCAAATCCAGCAGCATATCAAAAAGCTTATCCACCATGATCAAGTGGCCTTCCTCCCTAGGATGCAAGGCCTGTTCAACATATGCAAATGAATAAACATACTCCAACATATAAAGAGAACCAAAGACAAAAACCACGATTATCTCAATAGATGCAGAAAAGGCCTTTGACACAATTCAACAGCCCTTCATGCTAAAAACTCTCAATAAATTAGGTATGGATGGGACCTATCTCAAAATAATAAGAACTATTTATGACAAACCCACAGCCAATATCATACTGAATGGGCAAAAACTGGAAGCATTCCCTTTGAAAATGGGCACAAGACAGGGATGCCTTCTCTCATCACTCCTATTCAACATAGTGTTGGAAGTTCTGGCCAGGGCAATCAGGCGAGAGAAAGAAATAAAGGGTATTCAATGAGGAAAAGAGGAAGTCAAATTGTTCCTGTTTGCAGATGACATGATTGTATATCTAGAAAACCCCATCGTCTCAGCCCAAAATCTCCTTAAGCTGATAAGCAACTTCAGCAAAGTCTCAGGATACAAAATCAATGTACAAAAATCACAAGCATTCTTATACACCAACAACAGACAAACAGAGAGCCAAATCATGAGTGAACTCCCATTCACAATTGCTTCAAAGAGAATAAGATACCTAGGAATCCAACTTACAAGGGATGTGAAGGACCTCTTCAAGGAGAACTACAAACCACTGCTCAAGGAAATAAAAGAGGATACAAACAAATGGAAGAACATTCCACGCTCATGGGTAGGAAGACTCAATATCGTGAAAATGGTCATACTGCCCAAGGTAATTTATAGATTCAATGCCATCCCCATCAAGCTACCAATGACTTTCTTCACAGAATTGGAAAAAACTACTTTAAAGTTCATATGGAATCAAAAAAGAGCCCCCATTGCCAAGTCAATCCTAAGTCAAAAGAACAAAGCCGGAGGCATCACACTACCTGACTTCAAACTATACTACAAGGCTACAGTAACCAAAACAGCATGGCACTGGTACCAAAACAGAGATATAGACCAATGGAACAGAACAGAGCCCTCAGAAATAATACCACATATCTACAACCATCTGATCTTTGACACACCTGACAAAAACAAGAAATGGGGAAAGGATTCCCTATTTAACAAATTGTGCTGGGAAAACTGGCTAGCCATATGTAGAAAGCTGAAACTGGATCCCTTCTTTACACCTTATACAAAAATTAATTCAAGATGGATTAAAGACTTACACGTTAGACCTAAAACCATAAAAACCCTAGAAGAAAACCTAGGCAATACCATTCAGGACATAGGCATGGGCAAGGACTTTATGACTAAAACACAAAAAGCAATGGCAACAAACGCCGAAATACACAAATGGGATCTAATTAAACTAAAGCACTTCTGCACAGCAAAAGAAACTACCATCAGAGTGAACAGGCAACCTACCAAATGGGAGAACATTTTTGCAATCTACTCATCTGACAAACGGCTAATATCCAGAATCTACAAAGAACTCAAACATATTTACAAAAGAAAAACAAACAACCCCATCAACAAGTGGGTGAAGGATATGAACAGACACTTCTCAAAAGAAGACATTTATGCAGCCAAAAGACACATGAAAAAATGCTCGTCATCACTGGCCATCAGAGAAATGCAAATCAAAACCACAGTGAGATATCATCTCACACCAGTTAGAATGGCAATCATTAAAAAGTCAGGAAACAACAGGTGCTGGAGAGGATGTGGAGAAATAGGAACATTTTTACACTGTTGGTGGGACTGTAAACTAGTTCAACCATTGTGGAAGACAGTGTGGCGATTCCTCAGGGATCTAGAACTAGAAATACCATTTGACCCAGCCATCCCATCACTGCGTATATACCCAAAGGATCATAAATCATGCTGCTATAAAGACACATGCACACATATGTTTATTGAGGCACTACTCACAATAGCAAAGAGTTGGAACCAACCCAAATGTCCAACAATGATAGACTGGATTAAGAAAATGTGGCACATACACACCATGGAATACTATGCAGCCATAAAAAATGATGAGTTCATGTCCTTTGTAGGGACATGGATGAAGCTGGAAACCATCATTCTCAGCAAACTATCACAAGGACAAAAATCCAAACACTGCATGTTCTCAATCATAGGTGGGAATTGAACAATGAGAACACTTGGACACAGGAAGGGGAACATCACACTCTGGGGCCTGTTGTGGGGTGGGGGAGGGGGGAGGGACAGCATTAGGAGATATACCTAATGTAAATGATGAGTTAATGGGTGCAGCACACCAACATGGCACATGTATACATATGTAACAAACCTGCACGTTGTGCACATGTACCCTAGAACTTAAAGTATAATAAAAAAATAAAATTTAAAAAAATGCAAAAAAAACCAACCTTATCTTTGTCACTCAGCTTTTTAACTTTCTGTTGTTTCTATTTATATCTTATTGTACTATGTCTTGAAAAGTTGTTGTCATGGTTAGTTTTGACTGGTTCATTATTTAGTCTTTCTACTTATGATAAGAGTAGTTTACACACCACAGTTGCAGTGTTATAATATTCTGTGTATTTCTCTGTACTTTCTATTACCAGTTGATTTTGTACCTTCAGATGATTATTTATTGCTCATTAATGTTCTTTTCTTTCTGACTGAATTACTCTCTTTAGCATTTGTTATGGGACAGCTCTGGTGTTGGTGAAATCCCTCCACTTTTACTTTTTTTGTCTTTTGTTTGTCTTGGAATGTCTTTATTTCTCTTTCATGTGTGAAGGATATTTTCACCAGATATACTATTCTAGGGTGAGAGGTTATTTATTAATTTATTTATTTTTCTGTTAGTACTTTAAATATATCAGGCCACTCTCTCCTGGCCTGTAAGGTTTCCACTGAAAAGTCTGCTGCCAGATGTATTGGAGCTGCTTGGGCCTCACAAGGGAGGGAGGGAGCTAGGGCCTGAACGAGGTCCTCAGGACCCTGATGGGTACCCTATCTTGCTGTGGCTGAGTTGGTATCCTAGGTGCAAGACAAAGTTCTCCCCATTCTTTCCTCTCCTCTCCTCAAGCAGAAGGAAGGGGTCTCTTATGCAGCTGAGAGCTGTGAAGCCTGGAATTAGCAGAGGGGTGATGACAGCACTCCCTTGGCTGTTCCAGCTGGTGTCTTAGTATGTCACACCCTGCCACCGCTGCCACCCCTCCACCCCCACCCCCAGTCCACTGTGCCTGGGCCTAATTCAGCAATTCAGCACTAGGACTCGCCTAAGAGTTGCAGTTTTTGTGGCCTAGACTGCCTTTCAAATTTACCTGGAGACAGAGAGCACCATAGCCCTTGGTGGCAAGGTTTGTGGGAACTCAAGTTCACACTACTGGGATCAGAGATTCCCCTCTGTCTGGGGCTGGTTTAAATGCTCCCTCCATGATCAGGCATCAGCTGAGTTTGTTCTGGTTTTCCTTTCTATTTTAACAGGACATGACTGAGTTCAGTGCTTCACAATTGTGTTCTCCTTCCCCCAGTACCCAAAGACTCTCTCTCTGCACCACCATGCCTTTGCTGCAGGGAGTCAGGGAGGGGTGGCATCAGTGATTCAAGACTATTTTTAAAACCAGGTACTATGAGTACTCAATTGATTTTTGGTTCTTATGAAGGTGTTCTTTCCGTGTAGATAGTTGTTAACTTGGTGTCCTTGCTGATGGGGGTAGTGGGGGGGCAGTGCGGGGACTGTCAGTGGAGCTTTCTTTTTCACCATTTTGCTCTGCCTCCCCTACAGTCTCTAATTCTTCATAGAAGCCATTTCTATAGTTACTTTGGTTCCTGCTTCTTCCTCTCTGCTACTAGTTTCCTGCTGTGGTACTCCCAATTGAAGTAACACAAGATTAAGCTCTCTGTCTTAGAATGGACTCAGATTTATAGACAACAGAACTAAAGTCATAGAATGCCAGAACTGTAAAGGACCTTACAGTTATTTCAGCAAGTCTAAGCCCTTCATTTACAGAGGAGGGAATCTAAGGCCCAGAGGATTTTAATTGACTTGCTCAATCACTAATTAGTAAAATAACCAGTTCCTATATTTTTTCTCTGTATTTTTAAAAACAGAAAACGGACAAATATGTTAGCAAAATATCCCTCTAATATCTCTAAAACCTGGAAGAAATTGTTTTTATTTCTCACAAAACTGTTTCACATTTTCACCATTGTTCTCAACTCTTTTCTCCACCATTACCCTTTTTCCTTTTCTGCTAATAACCAGGTCTCCTAGTTCATGAAGAAAACGTATGTGATGGAGTAAGTGCAAAGGTCTAATAAATGTTGGCTATAATTACTCTTTCCCTATTTTTCCCACTGTGCCTAGCCAGCTCTGGGGATCCCTTTCAGCTTTCTACTCCTTTCTCCACTGATCTACATCCAGACTTATCCTTAAAACTTCCCATTTTTTTCCTAAATAGAGTCTTATCTCATGGCTAATCCACCCACCTCTATTTTGGATTCCAGTCTTTCCCACTTTTTCAGGTACCTCCTCATTTGATACATTTTGATATTCACTAAGTTCCAATTCTCCCTTTCTATTCTGCTTTCTTTCATTAATTGCATGTGTACATTTTCAAGCTGTTCCCATTAAAAAAATCAAAATTATCTCTCAATTCTAATACTCTATTCATCTTTTTTTCCCTCGGAATGCTAGTTTCTAAAAAGTGTAGTGCACTTCATATAACTATTTTTCATCTTCCATTATTTTTTTCAATCCTTTAAATTTGGAATATATTATCCCTTTAATTCAACTGAAACTGCTCTTGCCAAGGTTTCTAGTGGTTCCTTTATTGCTAAATCTCATGGGCATTCTTCTCTATAATATTTGACATTGATAACTCTACTTCCTCCTTGAAATACTCTTCTCTCTTGACTTATTTGAAGCCAGACTTCCCACCCTTCTGGGTATTTCACTTTTTATTTATTTTCTCTGTGGGATTTTTTTTCTCCCTTATATACATCTTATAGGTTAGCTTTCCTATATGCCATGTCTGGAGGCAAATTTTCTTCTCTTACGCTACCCACTTTTTTTTGGGTAGTATCATACACCATCATGGCATCACCTGTCACAATAAGTGGATGACTCCCATGTATTTACTTTCAGTGTCAAAATTTCACCTGATCTCCAGAATTTATATCCAATTGCCTATCAGACACATCTACATGGCTGTACTACAAGCGTATTGAACTCAGTATCTTCCAGCTTTTCCTCCAAATCCTTTCTTCTCCCTGTGTTCCTTTTCTTGTTGTTACTTACTACCATTCACCCATCTGTCAAAGACAGAAATCTATCTAATTCTTCTCTTTTAAGCACACCTCCTATCCAATTAGTCACTGTTCTTGTCCATTGTGCATTGCTATAAAAGAATACCTGAGGCTGGGTAGTTTATAGAGAAAAGAGTTTTATTTGGCTCACAGTTCTGCAGGCTATATAAGAAGCATGGTGCCAGCATCTGCTTCTGGTGAGGGCTTCAGGTAGCTTCCACTCACAGCAGAAGGAAAAAGGGGAGCAAACAAGTAGAGATCACTGGCAAGAAGTGAGAGAGGGGAGGGAGGTGTCAGGCTCTTTTCAACAACCTACTCTGGGAGGGAGAGGTGGCTCTCATAGGAATTAATAGAGTGAGAACTCACTCATTACTGTGAGGACAGTACCAAGACATTCGTGAGGGATCCATCCCATGACCCAAACACCTTCCTTTAGGTCCCTCCTCCACCACTGGGGATATAATTTCAACATGAGATTTGGAGGGGAAAAATATCCAAACTATATCAGTCACCAAGTCCTGTTTCTTCTCCTAACTTAATATAGTTCCTTCTTTACCTACTGCTACTATCTTGGTTCAGTCCTGCATCATTCCTAGATTATGATTACATTATTCACTAAATGTTTACTGAGTGCCTACCATGTGCCAGCTACTGTTCTAAGTGCTGGTAATACAATAATGAGCAAAACAGAACAATCCCTATTCCCATGAAACTTGCTTTCTACTGGCAGGTCAATAAACAAATGAATAAATAATATAATTAATTTCAAACAATGACAAGTGTTATTTTTTAAAAAGTAAGATAAGAGAACCAGGATCAAGTGTGCATGTGTGTTGTGTGTTTTAAACAGGGAAGACCAGAAATGGCCTTTATAAAGAAATGTTATTTGAATAGAAATCTGAATGATGAGAGGTCAGCCAAATAAATGGAGGAAGAACATTCTAGAAAGAAATAGCCTATGTAGCTCAGAGAGAGAAATGAGCTTAATGATTTCATAAATAGCAAAAAGGTCACCATGACAGAAGCTTAATTGTGAAGAATGGAAGGACATGAAGTAAGAAAGGAGATCAGATCATGTAGGTCCTTTAAGTTTATGCTATTGAGATTAGATTTCTAGTAAAAGATTTCTAGATTGTATTTCTGGAAATACAAATGAAGGAAGGATTCTGATTTACGTTTTAGCTTCCGTGTAGAAAATAGACTATAAATGAGCAGGTATAGACATGAGATCAAGTAAAAAATTAATAAAGTCTGTGAGAGATTATTAGAATGATAGCTACTGCAATGGTAAGAAGTGGTTAGATATCAGCTATATCTCAGAGTTAGAGCTAATAGGACTTGCTAATGTAAGAGATAAGAAAAAGAAAGGAATCAAGGATACTTCTTAAAAAACTGACCTTTCTTTTTCTGGTTTTGGCCTCCTTTAAATCCATTCTCTAAAATAGTACCACTATTGTTTTTCTAAAAGAATATCCTGATAATGAAACTTTCTACCACAGTTGTTATCAACCAGGGTTAATTTTGCCCTTCAAGACAAGTTTGGCAATGTCTGAAGACATCTTTGGTTGTTGCAACTTGTGGGGAGAGGGCTTTCTACTGGCATCTAGTGGGTAGAGGCTAGGAATGCTTCTAAACATTCTACAAAGCACAGAACAGCTCACCACAAAAAGAAATTATTTGGCCTCAAATGTCAATAGTAACAAAGTTGAAAAATCCAGCTCCACTTAGTTTAAATGTCACCTTCTCTGGGAAACCTTTTCCAGTTTAACAATATAGCAATAATAGTTAACATTAGCTAAGACTTGTTATGCCTCTAGTGTTAAGAGGCATGCATGCATTTGTGAATTAAGAATTATCCTCATTTCACAGATAAGGAAACTGAGGCTAAAGTGATGAATAATTTGCCTAAAGATACAATGTTAGAGAAATAACAAAGCTGAGATTTGACCCCAGACGTATTTGACTAAAGGGTTCTTAATAACTACACAATACTGCCATTCCACTCTGAAGGTTGAAGTAGAAGTGCTCCTCCATGGTAAATGGTTTGATTTTAGAGCTAATTACATTGTCTTTTAACTGTTTATTTGGCTGTGCCTGCACTAAACAGTGAGCTCCTTGAAGGCAGGCAATGTGCCCTTTGTCTATGTATCTATAGCATCTAGAGAAGTGTCTGGCACACTACGAACCCTCAGTAAATGTTTACTGAATGCTTACATTGTAGAGATGTGTGCACAGATTATTATTTCTCCAGGGTAGCTATTTGGACTTCATTAAATTCACAAATTTATTTAACAAGTTTTACAGATGGGGATTAGTCTCTAAGGGAGATAGCAACGGGCAAAATTTACATTTGTAGTCACTGTATTGAGATTATGTTGGTGGTAGAGTGGTGGGAGTCGAGGATGAGATGAGCAATTGTCATGCATTTTATAAGCTTTCAAGTGTAATTTCAGAATGCCGATAGCTTCTTTTTGATAGAGAAATTTAGAAGCATTCTATATCCTGACAATTCTCTGAGAAAGATCTGAGTTTCTATCTCTGGCCCAACACTCACTTAATAAGAAAATATATGAAGAGGCAAATAAGATTAATTTAGTTCATGTTTTCAAAAGAATGCTAGTGACCTTGCAAAGATAGACACAGATTTAGAAAAACAGATATTGTTGGTAGAAAACTACCAAACTACAAATACACAAAAATAACAATTTTCTGGATTTATTTTAAAACTAAAATTGTTGAATATCACATGGCTGTGCTGATGTAATAAGCCCAGTTTGCTAATCTTTGCCTAACTCTGCTCTGGCATGTCCAAGATATTCTTGATTTTGAGAAAAAAAAAAAAAGGCATAAGACTAGTTTAACTCTCTTCCTGGGCCACTCTGGATCCAGAGCCTGGTACAAGTTGTAGCCTGGCTTGGCTACCTACCCAATGTTGAGAATTTAGATGATCAGGTCATCTAGTTAAATAATGCTGTGGACCCACACAGTAAATAATCAGTATTCTTTCTACCTAATAGAACGCTTCTGAATAACTAGTAATAATTAATGATAACTAGGGATTTATTAGGTAAGACAGCAGTGCTGACAGAGGAGGAGGGCATATCTAGGACACTTAGAAGAATGTTAGCAAGCGGCAGGCAATTATGATCACAATCATGGAGTTACAAAATTCCAGTCAATAAAGAAGAGGATAAAGCTAATGTTGGATAGATAAAAAAAAAAAAAAGTTGGCAGGGAACAAGGTTTTAAGACCGAGTGCACACAGGAAGACACTGTTCCTAGGGTAGTTGGCAAAAAAATGAAAATGGGGACCCAGGAATTGGAGGAAAAGACATGGGTTTTAGAATAAGTCAAGAGAACCAGTGTTGAAACTTAAGAGTGTTATCAATAGCTAGATTGATTTGATCTTGAATTCTTGAAAAATAGTGGTCTAAAACACCTTCTATTCATCTGGACCAGGAATAGGATTGGTTTGAAAACCTAGGAAAGAAAGGGTTTAATTTTCCAGAGCTATAAAATTTAAGGGACTTCAGTGAAAGAAAGCTCACCATATCATTTTGTATCCCCCTCCCTGGGGTTGAAAAACAGGGTGGATGACTGTTCCCTTCTTTCCATTGGTTGACTCACTCTGGGGGTGGAGAGGAACAAGAGGGTCTGGTGGCCTTCAGGTAGAAAGACTTTCCTTAGCCCAGTGCTCTATGTTCTGGTTGATGTCACTTAATGCATTTTTTTCTCTATGTGGAGATTCAGAGTTTTGTTCATTAACTACACAAATACTATAATGCTTTTCTTCTCTAAGATAACTTCTGATATGTTAAGCTCATCACATGTCTTCATTGAATGATGGTTGGTATTTCTGAGGTTGTCTTCCTCTACATACAGGTACCAATATCCTATATTCATTGACTGAGTCTACAGGATGCTGGTGAGCATCACTAGTCTCCCTTCCTGGAACACCATTTGTGGCTATCTTCCAGCACCTTTCCAGGAGAGCCAGTAGAAATGCTGTCATTTAACCCTCTCATGGCAACTAGGAAATCATGCAGTTTTTTTTCAGGGTATGACTCATTTCAATTCACTCAGTACTCCTTGACTTGGCCCAGATAATTAAATCTTAAGTCAAAGTAGAAGGTAGATCTATTGAACAGCCCCTAGTCTCCCATACACTCAAATGTAGGTTTCCTGTCATGTGACAGGGTGGAGTACATTATTACATCTTTGTAAATATCATATCAAATTATTTCGGGGATTTGATAACAGTACCCAAAATACCTCTTCAAGACATATGAACATATGACTTAGGAGGCCAGGTGCAGTGGCTCATGCCTATAATCCCAGCACTTTTGTAGGCCAAGGCGGGTGGATCGCTTGCGGTCAGGAGTTTGAGGCCAGCCTAGCCAACATGGTGAAACCCCATCTCTACTAAAAATACAAAAATTAGCCAAATGTGGGGGTGCATGCCTGTAATCCCAGCTACTCAGGAGGCTGAGGGAGGATAATCACTTGAACCCGGGAGGCGGAGGTTGCAGTGAGCCGAGATCATGCCACTGCACTCCAGCCTGGGTGGCAGAATGAGACTCCATCTAAAAAAAAAAAGAAAAAGAAAAAAAAAGACATATGACTTAGGAAACTCTGAAAAAGATTTCTGACTTACAGGAATAAGTCACTTTAAAACATCAGATATTTATTAAACTGACTTTGGTTTAGTGACAGAGTTCCAATTATTAGTCAGAAGAGTTTCCCACATACAATAGCCACAGCTTTGTATAGTAATCACTGATACTAAGAATGGCAACTTTGAGGCCCTTTATAAGTTTCAGTCTTAAATAAAATATTAATAAGCATGCTAAGTCACAGAAGGAGATTCAGTGAGTTCAACATGTGTATGGAATTCTCTTGATTAGAGAGATACAAAATGTTGTTAGGATGGTAGAAGAAGGAGCAATTATTTCCAATGGAAATTAGAGTTGGGGCAGTTGTGAAGACTTTATGGAAGAGGTGATAAGTAAGTTAGGCTTTAAAGAGTGAGTTATATTTTCATGGGTGGAGAAAGCAGAAAGAACATTTGAGATTGAAGGACCAGCATGAATAAAGTCACTGGAGGAGTAAAATTTCATGGTGAATAATTTGATTCAGCTAGAGTATAAAAATGTGTAAAGGGAAATAGTATTTAAAGGTAGATAGATTGGGGGCATATATATATACAAAGGGAAAACTCATTCTTGGCTCTCTGAAGGTTTGCTGAAAAATCAACTGACAAAAGGAAGATCAATAGGAGAAAAGGCATATACATTTATTTGATCATAGTTTTATGTGACAGAGGAGACTTCAGAAGGAAGACCCAAGATACAGGAAAGATTGTCTATTTTTATGCTTAGGTTCAACAAAGTATGGATACCCAAGTAGAAATATGATTGGACAAAAAGATCATGATCTAATGCTAATAGGCTGAGTGGGGAAACCCAGCAAGGCCTCTTGTCTAGATTCTTCTAGGCCTCTCTGAGCACGCATTCCTTCCTTCTGGATGTGGGGCAGGACCCTCTCTGGAATGAGGCTCTTACGGTCAAACAAGGTAGGTCAGATCATTTCTTTATGGCCAGCTTTTACACAGAAAGGTGGAGCTGGAAAAAAACGCAATATTTTATGGCTGGCTTTGGGGAAAAACAGCTCTGGTTTCTGTGACCTGCCTTGGGGAAGTGGGATTCTAGTTCGTATCTCTAGCCTTGCGGGAGAATGGGTCTGAGAGACAGGAGGGCAGGAGAAAGTCAGAGAGAAACTTGCTTCTGAGGCCTTCATTTTGGTGTATCATTTTCTGAGCCCCAATAGCCAGATCACAGAGAGCCTGCAATGCCCATGGAATAGCACAAAATTATGCCCAGAATGATTCAGATGTTTTAAAAATTGAAATTGCCTTGATTTTCTATTACTGAGCACATCTTGCTCTGAAGTACCCATACCAGCTGATATGGACTTGCCAGTTAAAGGTAATCCAAACTCTTCTAATTTATACAACAATCTATTTTAAGTAAATATCCTGTCATTTCTAGGTGAAATCTGCCTGTCAGGGTATATTTGCCCTTTCAAAGGGTATTCTTTCTTCTTTGCCTTCTCAGGATGATATCTGAATGGATAGGCAAGTGTATATCTCCTTATAGCATGGGAAAAGCCTCAATTCCACATGCTGTCCTCTGGGTCTTCTTTGGTCTCTGCCAAAATGCTCCTAATCTTGATTGGTCACTAGTAAGCCTTTGGTGGTGTCTGCTGAAGTGTTACTTGCCAATGCCACAATTTATGAAGTCTCTATATTATATAGCCTCCTCATCCAGACCCCAAGCCTCTAGCTCTTTCAGGAGTTCTGCCACCCTTCTCTAAGGTGTGTGGAGATTTCTGGATTTCTTGTATATTATGTTCCTGGCTGTGGGAAACTTCCAGCATTTTTCCTTTTTCTAATTATGCTGTGTCTCCACTTCTTCTCTACTGGGACTCTCTATGTTGATGCAATGTGCTCTCTTTCCAGCATTCCAAATGGGAACCATTCTGATTTTATCTTCCCCCAAAGCCAATTTGGGATGTCTCACATACCTTTATCCTTCCTGTGGTAGGTACTGAGGCATGAGTACACCATGCGTTTTCTCAGAAAATCAGACAACAGCTTAACCTTAGTCTCATAACCTATGAATAACTCTATTATCTGCTTATTATTTAAATTTTTATTTACCCTTCAGTCCCAGGAAAGCTGTTTTTTGTCCTCTCTGTTTTATGGCTTGCGGCAAAACATGAAATTCATAATTCTATGCTTTGCTCTTAATATTTAAAAAGAAGCATTTGGAATTCAGAAACACAGAGAGGCACACACACATACACATACAGACATAACTCTTTTTCAGAAAAACCTGGCTCCTCACTGGATTTTTCACTGTGGACTTCAAACATACAAACAAAACCATTTAACCTAAACTAATCAATGACCCTATTGTTCAATGCCATATCTGCTCTACCCACAAAGCTATGACAGCCACTGATTCAAGAAGTGAAAACAAAATAAAACTAGTAATATCAGAAATTGAAATAATTTGATGTCATATATCTAAAAATATTATTATTATCATTATTACTATTTTACCAAAGTATAAGGACCCAAAGGTATCTCTGGGGACAGACTAAAGGTGGCTTGGAGGCAATATCAGGACAATGTTGTAACAGTCCAGATGAGAGATGCCAATGCAGGAATGAAAAGGAAGAGATGGAGTTGAAAAAACTTCAGATATAGAATTACTAGGATCTGGTGACTAATTAAAATGGAGTGTGTGAGAGAGAAATTAAACATTAATGGGTTTTTAGCTAGAAGTGTGTTATAGATGGCAACTTTACACCTCTATTAACACAACTCTTCACCTGGAGCAAGAACTTCAAAATAGATACCAGAGTTATTTTAGTGATAGAACCAATAAGACTTGATGGCTGAGAAAGGAGTTGAAGTTGATTCTGAGGCTATTATACTTGAATAACTAGGTTAACGCTATTGCTATTATTATCTGAGTTAGGAAACAGTTGAGAAGCAGGTGAAAGAGTGGAGAAAAAAGATGCTGGATTGGACATATGGTTTTTTTAGCCAGTGGAAACACCATGTGGGAAAACAAAGCAATCACTTGAAAATTTACGTTGTGGAATTTGGTAGTAAGCTTGGGGCTGGAAATACATACTTGGGAGTCACCAATGCTAGGGTGGTATTGAATTGATAGAAGTAGATGATGTCATGAAAGAGAGCGTGGGCAAAGCAGAACAGAGAACCAAGCAATAACAGAATTTTGAAAGATGCTTAAATTTAAGGAATGCATGATAGGCAAAAAGATCCACCTGTATTAGTCTGTTCTCAAACTACTATAAAGAACTACCTGAGACTGGGTAATTTATGAAGAAAAGAAGTTTAATTGACTCACAGTTCCACAGGCTTAACAGGAAGTATGACTAGGAGGCCTCAGGAAACTTATAATCATGGCAGAAGGCAAAGGAAAAGCAAAGACCCTCTTCACATGGTGGCAGGAGAGAGAGAGAGTGAGGAGGGAAGAGCCACAAACTTTTAAGCCATCAGATCTCGTGAGAACTCACTCACTATCATGAGAACAATATGGGGAAAATCTGCCCCCATGATCCAATCACTTCCCACCTGGCCCCTCCTCCAATTTGACATAAGATTTGGGTAGGGACACAAAACCAAACCATATTACCATCTAAGGAGTCTGAGAAAAAGAAAATCAAAACAGATGGAAAATCAGAAGATAAGAGTGCCAAAAGCCTAAATAGGAGAGAGATACAAAGAGAATCCACAGAAGGCTATTAATAATTACTATCAATGATCTTTGAGAGAGTTGTTTTATTGTAGTGATGTCAAGATATCAGTGGAAGTTCTGAAGGGTAGCTAGTGAGAAAGAGATACTCTGGAAAGACGAGATAGGCAGAGGTTGCAGTGAGCTGAGATCGTGCCACTGCACTCCAGCCTGGCATCAGAGTGAGACTCCATCTCAAAAAAAGAAAAAAAAAAATAGAGATACTGTTTTTGTTTTTTTTTCTGACGAGCACAAGAGTTTAGGATCAGGAAGACATGAAGAAATTTTCAACCATGAAAGAGTCGTGACATCTCAAGTCTTAGCTATAATAATACACTTTTAAAACTTTCTAGATAATCAAAGAGTTGAAGTTTTCAGTTCATTATTGTAAATGGGGACACATATGACATGGAGTACTTGATATCTCTATTTAGGAAATTTACAGATACATTCTTGTTGGGAAATGCAGTCACGTGCATGCAGTCTTTTGAGCCCTGCATAGTTGCATAAGCATGTGTCTTGGGCCTGGATCATTTCCTTGCAAAGAGATAAAGAGCCCTTACAGTTTGTGTTGGGCATATCTTTTTGTTTTGGAATATTTTTCCCTCTTCCGGACTTGATTGGCACTTCTTTGTTCTGATTAATCATGCACATCATATGGCACCTGAACAACCCTACTACTGTATCTGTTCCCAGTTGGGAGGCAATGGGGTCCTTCACCTGTAGCACAGGAAGGACTCATCCAAACCCTCTCACTGCATTGGCTGAGGGGTGAGTTCTCCTGGTCATGGGGGACCAAAACTCTCTATTGAGGCTGATCTTGCTCTGTGTCTTCTCTATGTGAATATAGTGTTATTCCATCCGGTGCCTGAGTGAGCTGTATCTTTCTTGGCAACCCCAATACCTGCAAATTATGCAGTGAGTTGACATCCTCAAACTGCTGCTCCTGGTGGTAGACAACAAATGTTAATTGCTCAACAATTTCAGCCTGACCAGTCTTTCAAAAATAAAGCAAAAGACCAGGCTTTTGCTCTATATGATACTGATTCCCTGAGAGCCAGACTCATTTGGGGGCCTTGCTGCAGTTTGCTAGGTCCAGGCTCTCAACTGAAATTGCATTTTCCAAGATCAATTTCTTTTATGGCTTACTTCAGTGATATGTGACATCTCCGAAATAATAAAAATGAATCTTTCCCTTTGAAAAGAATAACGTTTGGCTTGCACCAAACCGTATGGTGTAAGGTACTGAATTGCAGTGATGAAGTTCTAAATCACATTGATTGAGCTTTACTCATGGTGAAAAATTATTTTTGCAGTCACTGAGTGATTGTATGTGTGGTGAGAGGAGGGCAAAGAGAAGGTGAGGAAGTACTACTATAATCAAGAGTTATGTGTGCCAAAAAATTATTTTCTAGACTTTGTGTTTTGTTTGATAAAACTAGCAATAGCTATCACTTCTAGACTATTCACTACATGCTATAAACTGGACTACGTAGATTTGCATATTGTCTTAGTCCATTCAGGCTGCTATAACAAAATACCATAAACTGGTTGGCTTATAAACAACAAACACTCATTTCTCATAGTTTTGGAGGCTGGGAAGTCCAAGAGCAAGGAGCCAGCCAGTTTGTTTGATGAGGGCCTGTTTTCTGGTCCATAGATGACACTTTCTCACTGTGTCTTCGCATGGTGGAAGAAGCTAGCTTTTCTCTTTACATATGTGTCCCCTTTACAATAATGAACTGAAAACTTCAAATCTTTGATTATCTAGAAAGCTTTAAAAGTGTATTAATGTCCTTATAAAAGAGATCTGGGATCCCTTCCATTCATGAGGACTCCACCCTCATTACCTAATAACTTCCCAAACACCCCACCTCATAATACCAACAACTTAGGGGTTAGAATTTCAACATATAAATTTTGGGAGAACACAAACATTCAGACCATAGCACATATATTAACTCATTGATTCCTCAAATAACACTGTAGGATAAGTATTATCCTTCTGAGATTTGCAGTGGTTAGGTAACTTGCTTAAGGCCATAGGCTGGTAAAGGGTAATCAAATTTTGAATACAAATCTATGTGGCTTTGAAGTTCATGCTCTTAACCAATATTGTATCTCATTTTTTCTAAGACCTTGTTAATCATCCTGATCACCTGGAGAGCCTTAGAAATAAAGATTCCCACATAAACCAAGTTTGAGAACAAGTGTTCCATACTAAGCAGGGAAGAAAGATGAACCATATACTACAGCACTAGACCACTAACACCCCCAACCACCCCACTCTACCATAAAATAGCAACACCAAACAAAGAAATTAATACAACTCTGTGGGTAATGATGGAAGTAAAGTGAAAAGTACAGTGATAACATTCTTGGACCTTGTGGTTTTAGTTGAATCCTAGCCAGGTTTCCATTGTAAAAGATTCCCTCTTCTACCCTATGTTGTTAGGAAAATAAAAGGAAATCCTTCTGCTACATATACATGTACTTCAGGAGCAAGCTCAAAAACAATTAGACAATGATGACCAATATTTTAATTAGGTTTAGACATCCTAGTCAATCAGATATAAGAAAGGATTTGAACGTGTCTTTGTGAAGACAGACTTTGGATGGTATTAGAGTGGTTGGTGTAACATGGCGTCCACAAATTCCTATAGCTTCAGCAAGTTAGTCTTATTCATTCTCTTAGAATAGTATTTTCTCTTGTTGCTCAACTGTCCTTGAAATTATTCTATAAAATATATACTACAATTTTCTATTCAAAAGTTAGTAATACTATCTTACCTCTGTTGAAAACCGATATTCATCCTAGCCAGTGCTCTGCAAGCTGCCATCCCTTTTTGTCCTCAATGTTTTCTGAAAACTATTCTACTTAGAAATCTTTCCTCTAAACTGTGGTTCTTCAAAAGATGTCTACTTTTCTGCATGGGACAATTTTAGCCATTACTAAATTGAAATCACAGACACACACAATGTCTATGATATATATGTTTTAACATGAACAGAAAATGTAAACATGAATAGAAATTAAATGGACATAGAAACTATGGCAATCTCACCAGATATTAACATATTAAAAATGAGAGTTAAAACCTTGGCTTGGTTTTTTTGTGGCTAGAAATAAAGGTCAACAGGACTTGGCAAGGCACCTGTAAGTGGATTAATTTCTTCTCATTCTTGCAAGGATCTGGATTATCACAAGCATTTTTTGTTTGATGAATCATCTAGAAACTGTTAGAGTATCACCTAAAACTTTCTAAGAAAATCTTTATTAAAAGAGCTTTTCTCACCCACAGAGAAACATAGCATGTCTCCGTCTATAATAGATAAGAGAAGGAAGTATTTTTAGACAAGATAGTTAGAAAAACATTTTTTGTTGTCCCTAATATTATACCAAAGAGTCATTCATTCAATATGTATTTATTGAATTACTACTATGTACCTAACACTGTAGCAGGGAGACTAGAGGTAAGGCTTTTAAATTACCCAATACCTACTTGCAATCCTTGCCATATTCTGCAATGGCATTTCCATTTTGTTGCTTTTGGAATTATTTTATCTGAGCCCATATTCGCAGATAATTCTGAGAGTCTGTTTTTCCCTTGGATCAAGCCTGAACCCAATTGCAGAGTACCTAGCAGGGAGAGTAAAGAATAATTTTAAACCTGGTCTTTATGCAGGCCATAGCTGGCATAGACTTCCAAAGATGGAAGGTGACCATGAGGAATCTTGTTGCCATATAAGATAAGAGAGAAGAAAGGACATCAGAACTTCGCTTAATCTGTTTCCAAGGAAAATGCTGCATTTTTGTGCTTCTATATATACCTTCACAATTTTCTGTATCTCTTTCCTGAAAAAGAAGAAGATTTATGTTTTGAGGATTTGTATAGATTTTTATTTTTTTGTGTATATATATATATATTTATGGGGTACATGAGATATTTTGATACAGGCATGCAATGTGAAATAAGCACATCATGAAGAATGGGGTATTCATCCCCTTGAACATTTATTCTTTGAGTTACAACAATCCAATTATACTCTTTGAAATATTTTAAACTGTACAACGAAGCTATTATTGACTATAGTTACACTGTTGTGTTATCAAACAGTAGGGGTCATTCATTCTTTCTGTTTTTTCTGTACCCATTAACCATCCCCATCTCACCTGCCCCAGTCCCCTGCTAACCTTCCCAGCCTCCGGTAACCATCCTTCTACTCTCTATATCCATAAATTACATTGTTTTGATTCTTAGATCATAAAGATAAGTGGAAACATGCAATGTTTGTCTTTCTGTGCAGGACTTATCTCACTTAACAAAATGATCTCCAGTTCCATCCATGTTGTTGCAAATGACAGGATCTCACTATGTTTTATGGCTAAATAATACTTCATTGTATATATATACCGCATTTTCTTTTTCCATTCATCTGTTGATGTACACTTAGGTCACTTCCAAACCTTCGCAATTTTAAACAGTACTCCAACAAATGTAGGAGTGCAGACATCTTCTCAATATACTGATTTCCTTTCTTTTGGGTATATACCCAGTAGTGAGATTGCTGGATCATATGGTAGCTCAACTTTTAGTTTTTTGAAGAACCTCCAAACTGTTCCCCATAGCGGTTGTACTAACTTACATTCCTACCAACAGTGTATGCAGGTTCCCTTTTTTCCACATCCTCACCAGCATTTGTTATTGCCTGTCTTTTGGATATAAGGCATTTAAACTGAGGTGAGATAGTATCTCATTGTTTTGATTTGCATTTCTGTGATGATCAATGATGTTGAACACCTTTTCATATGGCTGTTTGTCATTTGTATGTCTTCTTTTAAGAAATGTCTATTCAAATCTTTTGCCCATTTTTAAAATTGGATTATTAGATTTTTTTCCTTTAGAGTTTTTATGAGCTCCTTATATATTCTGATTATTAATCCCTTGTCAGATGGGTAGTTTGCAAATATTTTCTCCCATTCTATAGGTTGTCTCTTCACTTTGTTGATTGTATCATTTGCTGTGCACAAGCTTTTTAACTTAATATGATCCCATTTTTCCAACTTCACTTGAGTTACCTGTACTTATAGAGTATTGCTCAAGAATTTTTTGCCCAGACCAATATCCTAGAGTTTTTCCCCAATGTTTTCTTGTAGTATTTTCATAGTTTGAAGTCTTAGATTTAAGTAATTAATCACTTTGATTTGATTTTTGTATATGGCAAGAGATAGGGATCTAGTTTCATTCTTCCACATATGAATATCCAGTTTTCCCAGCACAATTTATCAAACAGACTGTCTCTTTCCCAGTGTATGTTTTTGGCACCTTTTTCAAAAATGAGTTCACTGTAGGAGCGGATTTCTTTCCAAGTTCTCTATTCTGTTCCATTGGTCTATGTGTCTGTTTTTATGCCAATACCTTAGTGTTTTGGTTATGATAGCTCTGTAGTATAATTTGAGGTCAGGTAATATGATTCTTCCAGTTTTTTTCTTTTTGCTGGGGGTAGCTTTAGCTGTTCTGGGCCTTTTGTGGTTCCATATACATTTTAAGATTTAAAAAAAAAATTTCTGCAAAGAATGCCTTTGGTTTTGCATTGAATTTATAGATTGCTTTGGGTAGTATGGACACTTTAACAATATTGATTTTTCTAATCCATGAACATGTAATATTTTTTCATCTTTTGGTGTCCTCTTCAATTTCTCTCATCAGTATTTCATAGTTTTCATCATAGAGATTTTTCATTTCTTTGGTTAATTCCTAGGTATTTAATTTTATGTGACTATTTTAAATGGGATTACTTTTTTAATATCTTCTTCACATTGTTCACTGTTGGCATATAAAAATGTGACTGATTTTTTATGTTGATTTATGTTCTCCAACTCTACTGAATTTGTTTATTAGTTCTAATAGTTTTCTTATGCAGTGTTTAGGTTTTCCCAATGTAAGATCATATTATGTGCAAACAAGTATAATTTGACTTCTTTCTTTTCAATTTAGATACCCTTTATAGGTTTTTCTTGTCTGATTGCTCTAGCCAGAATGTCCAGTACTATGTGGAATGACAGTGGTGAAAATGGGCATTCTTATCATGTTCCAGATCTTAGAAGAAAGGCTTTCAGGTTTTCCCCATTCAGTATGACACTAGTGGTGGGTCTATCATAATGGCTTTTATTGTATTGAGGTATGTTTTTCCTATCCCCAGTTTTTTGAGGGTGAAATTATGTTTTGACAGAGCAGTATTATATTGTTTCTGTACAAAATTGGAGACAAATATTATTTATTCATTTAATTTCTCATTTCAGGGAGCTAGATGCTTTGTTTGACAGCAATAGCCTTTTTGGGTTGAATTACGGTTCATTAGCAGATTATGTGTAAACTAAGTAAGAATAGATTGGGACATGTAAACCAACATCTTAGCAGGCACATTATTGTTTTATGTCTGCGTGGATCACTGTGAACAACAACAAAGAAAAAACTAAAATTGAGGCACTGGTGGAAGAAAGACTCCGAAAGTAATAGCTGAATATGGATGGTGGTTAAAATCATGGGACTAGGTGAGACTGTCTATGTAAAATGACTAGAGTAAAGGAGAAAAGCAGACTGAGTCTAACAAAACACTGGAGGAAACTAACATTTTATCGATGAACAGAGGAAAAGATTCTAAAGATATTTAAAAAGAGCAATCATGATAAGCATAAGAAGAAACAAAATATTGTGATGCTATGGATATCAAGGGATGCATTTCAAAACAGAGGCAAAATTGCATGCCTGTATCAAAATATGTCATGTATCCCATAAATATATACACCTACTATGTATCCACAAAAACTAAACAATCAAAATTTAAAAAGTAAAAAGAATACCTTCATTAAAAAAAAATACACAAAATAGAGGAAAAAAATTAACAAGATTAAAGGCTGTCGAGAAGTCAGCTAAAAGATGACTCAAAATGACAATTTAACTTGATCAATTGATAAATCTAAGGTAAAATGGTAGGAATATATGTCTTATTGAAATGGTATGAGTAGTCACAAAAAGGTGAGAAAATGCATATAATAGGATGAAAGAATATTTGTAAAATTAAGGATTAGAGTTGGTAGAGGGTTTTGATAATGGCAAATATTCGGAAAACTGCTAACAGGCACTGTTCTGGGGTCTGGGAACAAAGCAATGAAGTCCCTAGCCTCTTGAAACTGACATTACTGTTTTGGGGACAGGTGTGGAGGACAAATTTTTTTTAATTGTCAGGCAGTAAATAGTTCTATAAAGAAAAATCAAGGTAAGGGGATAGGAGGAATGGAATACTATTTTCTAAGGAGTGGACATGGAAGATCTTTCTAATAAAGTTGTATTTTAGCTAAAGTTTTGAATGAGATGAGGGATAATCTGTGAAGGTGGTGGTTGGGGGTGGGGGAGGAAATCATTTCAGGCACAGATTAGAGCAAGATTTCTAAGAGATATATGTGCTTGTCATGTTTGAAGAAAAGAAAGGAATCAGTGTGGTTGAAGCAGAGTGTATAAGAGCAAAGAAGTAACCTGTGGTCAAATTGTAAAATGCTTTATCAACTACTCTGAATGAGACACAAAGTCATTGGTGACATTTGAACCGGAGGAGTCCTGTGATCTCATTTGTTTTATAAAGGATGATTTTGTCTGATATGTAGAAAACAGACCACAAGAGAAAGGCTGGAATTCAGAAGATCATATCCGAAGTACTTGAAGTCATTAATACAAAAAATAATGGTGGCTTGTAGCACAATGGTACTAGTAGAGGCAAAGAGATATAAGTGGATTTTGAATATATTTGAAGCAAGCATTGTTAGGATATGATTAACAATTTGATGTGGTATATGAGAAAGAGAGAAGTCAAGAATGACTACTAGAAATGTCAGTCTGAGCAATTAGGAAAATGGAATTGCCATGTATTGAGACCAAGCAGCATGTGATAAGAGCAGACTGACAAAAGGTGGGAATCAAATTCAGTTTGAGATAGGAAATATCAAGTTGGCAATTGAATATATACATCTTGATTTTGAGTCAAGATATATGTATCTTGATATTTAGAGAGGTCAGGCTGGAAATATACATTTTAAGGTTGTCAACCTACAAGGTTTATTTATAATTGTGGAATACAATACGTCCTCTTGAGCAGTGATTTTGACTAGAAAAGAGAAGAATAGAAAAAAATTGAGCCTTAAAAATTGAGGTCTAGAAGGAGAAAAAATATCATCAAAGGAGAATAGGAAAGTATGGCCAATAAAGAAGGAGGGGTCTCAAGAGTGGATACCGAGAAAAGTGTTTTGAGAACAAAGGAGTGATAAACAAGTTAATGCTGCTAACAAGTCAAGTAAAATGAGGGTTCAGAACTGACCACTGAAATTGGAGACTTGGCTGTCTCTGGAGTTGTTCAGGGACAAGTAAATTAGATTAGATGCAATGTACAGTATCTGCCTGAAATTGGAAACCACACGGCTGAATTTTTTTTCCTCCAGTATCCCTTAATTACACGTGTGTAAGTGTGGAGGAGGCAAATTGTACTTTTCAAATTTCAACTTTCATTTTAGATATAGGAGATAAATGTGCAGGTTTGTTACATGGATATATTGCACCCAGGTAGTGAGCATAGTACCCCAATAGGTAGTTTTTCAACCCATGACTCATTCCCTCCCTCCCTCTTCTACTAGGCCACAATGTGTATTGTTCCCATCTTTACATCTATGCATGCTCAAAGTTTAGCTCCCGCTTGTAAATGAGAACATGCGGTAATTGGTTTTCTGTTCCTTCATTAGTTTGGTTAGGATTGTGGCCTCCAGCTCCATCCATGTTGCGGCAAGGGACATGATTTTATTATTTTTTATAGCTGTGTAGTATTTCTTGGTATATATGTACCACATTTTCTTTATCCAATCTATCATTGCTGGGCACCTAGGTTGATTCCACGTCTTTGCTATTTTGAAGAGGGTGGCAGTGGACATAAAAGTGCATGTGTCTTTTTGGTATACTGATCTATTTTCCTTTGGGCATATACCCAGAAATGGGATTGCTGGGTCGAATAGTAGCTCTGTTTTAAGTTCTTTGAGAAATCTCCAAACTGCTTTCCACTATGGCTGAACTAATTTACGTTCCCACCAACAGTGTATAAGCATTCTCTTTTCTTGGCAGCCTTGCCAGCAACTGTTTTTTTTTTTTTTTTGACTTTTTAATAACAGTCATTCTGACTAGTGTGAGATGGTATTTCATTTTGGTTTGTGTAGCTTTATTTCTGAGTTTTCTGTTCTGTTCCATTGCTCCAGGTGTCTGTTTTTTGTACCAGCACCGTGCTGTTAGGGTTACTATAGCCTTTTAGTACAGTTTGAAGTCTGGTAGTATGATGGAGAAGGCAAATTTTAAGATTTGTCTGGAATTGGTGGTTTTGTGGGGAAGAAGCATAAGAAAGCAAGAGAATTGAGGAAGCTGATGAGATACTAATTTATTAATTAATTTAATGCAATTGACAAACATGGTCTAGTTTGTACAGGAAAGAGTGAGGCCAAGAATGTTAATAGATTTGCATAAAATAGAGAGTTAAGATGCTTGTGATATCAATAAATTCAAAGAGTAACTCCTATGGGAATGGGATTGCTGGAAGAATAAGTCATTGTGGTTAGAAAGTGAGATAATGAAGTCAAAATAATTTCCAAAGGTGGAGTAGTTGCAAGTGAAGACAAAGTCTAGCAAATGGTAATGGATGTGGGTATCTAAAGTAAAATATAGGTCAGGGTCTCCAGGATTGAAGAGTGGGCAATAAACTATGTTGCTAAGATTTGAAATGCAACATCCCAAATGAATGTTACAATCACCCATAATTGTAACAACATTTGAGAAGCAAAGGATGATTACGCACTGAGTATCAAAGTCTCCAGTGAATGTCAGGGTTGTAACTGGGACCTTGGAAGTCTAATTGATCCTTAAACAATGTCTAAAATAATTTTTCTCCTTTGTGCCCTACAACTTCAAAAAAGTTACATCATAATTTTGTGTAATATCAATATGTGGCTATCATCATTTGAAAAGTGAGCTTTTTGCAATGTATAAACTCATATCTTTTAGCTCTTCAAAAGAACTGGAATACCTTTCTCAATAGTATATTCCATATTGCTTCCTCTTTCTTGTATTCTTTTGTTTTGGTGGAGTGTGTCCTTGATGATTTTCTGAGATAGGCTAAAAAGGAAGTCAATCTTTTAAGAACGTGCATATTTGAAACAAATTTCATTCTACATTAATATTTGAATGGTATATTTTCTGGGAATAGAATTATAAACGGGGCATCATCTTCCACTTGTGATGGCATTGCTCCAAAATCTTAGTTCCCACTGTGGTAGTTGAGTAGTCCAGTGCAATTCTGACTTCTGCTCCTTTGCATGTGACATATTTCTGGAAGTTTTTAAGATCCTACCTTTATTCATTGTATGCTAAAATTCAGTGAAGATGTGTCCTGATGTGGGCTTTTTTTTTTTTCATTCTTTTAATTGGAGAGTAGGGGAAGAGACATATGGTAAGCCCTTTTAATCACCAACTGTGTCCTTCAGTTATGGGAAATATTTTTGGAGTAATTGTTTGATACTTCTCTTCCTATTTTCTGTGTTTTCTTTCTTCACTTTGTCAGACTTCTTGGATTCATCTTGTATGTTTTGTACCACTTTCCTTTTATTTTTTTTCTTTTCTCTAAGGAGGGAGTGTAGTGGTTAGATAAGCATTTCCTCTGGAGCTAGAGGTTCTGGGTTCTAATGTGAGCTCCACCATTTACTAGGTTTTGACTTTGGACAAGTCACTTGTCTTCTTTGTTACTCAGTTTCCCTATATAGAAATTGAATAGTGTCTATCTTAGGGTTTGTTGTTAACAGAAAATGAATTAATGCATGCAAAGTGCTCAGAACAGTGCCTAGCACATTATAAGAGCTATATAGAATTTTTTATTATATTGTAATTATTACTTTATAGCTTTGATGTTCTACCTTCTGTACATGTCCTCAACTTTGCCTTTAACTTCTTTTGATGATTTTTTAGAAGTTTTGATATTATTTAATTTTCAAGATTTTTTCTTGAACAGCATGGTGACAGTAGTTAGTAATACTGTATTGTATACTTGAAATTTACTGAGAGAATAAATTTTAAATGTTCTCACCACACACACAAAAAGATATGTGAGGTGATGAATATGTTAATTGGCTTGATTGTAGCCATCATGAGACAATGAATACATATATAAAAATATCACATTATACACTGTAAATATTTATAATTTTTGTCAATTATACCTTAGTAAAGCTGGACAAAAAGAGACTTTTTTTATTTGGCAATCTATCATGATCCTATATCTTTTCTTTCTCCAAGTTGTTAGAGTTTTTCTCAAATCTTTCTTATGCTTTCTCACATTGTCTGTTTCTGTTTGTTTCCTTTTTCTATTTGTTCATTTCGGCCTATGTTTCACATTGAAAATTTTCATCAAATATCGGACATCCTTGGCTCTCTACTCACATTTAAGAGTGAAGAAAGAACTGACCATTTATATTTAAGAGTAAAACTAAAAAGCTATTTGAAAGGTCTTCGTTATTTTCTTAGTTAACTGGTGATATTCACTGTAAAGTGATTGTGTAGAGACACAGATACCTGGAAGGGGGACTGCCAATTTGTTTTTCCCCTTTGAGGAGGCACTGATTCTTCAAAAATAAATTCTCTCAGCTCTTTCCTGGTTGCTTGTGTTTGAGAAGAGTTTAGGCATTTCAATTCTTCCTATGAAATAATTCACTTAATCCCACTGTTTTTTGTTTGTTTCTTCCTTCCACCCGCCACTGTGCTTGAAATTTCAATCTGGAGCCTTTCTTAAATCTTTCCAAAGAATAGACATTTGATCACCTACTAGAGTGAAGAGCACCTGGAATTCTAGTATCTCCTTATATAGTTTTTAAATAATTCCTCTGTTTTCTGCCCTATACATTTTTCTTCCATCATCTTTCGAGATACTTGGTGTTTCAAACTCTTGAGCCTTTGCAGTTTCCATGGGCTGCGATAACTCGCTTCTTACCAGCATTTCCTTCTGTAAGCATTTCAATCTTGATTTAATTAGCTTTGTTCAGTCAACATGCTTCCATCTGTTTTCTATCTTTCAAATTTATGTTAATATTTCTCATCAATTTTTGTCTCTTCTTGGGGTTCCTTTATCCTCGTGGGTTTATGCCTTTCATTCCTCATAGTACTTGAGGGCACAGGTTCTAAAGCTGAACTCTTTGGGTTGGAATCCTTGCCGTGCCGTATTACCAGCTGAGAGAGCATAGGCCATTTACTTAAGTTGTCTGCATTTCTATTTTTTTCTTGTCCTTTATTTTCGTGTTGAAAAATAAAAATAAAAAAGCACTTGTATCATAGAAGTTAGTACATGCAAAGTACTTAGAACAGTGTCTGACACAAAGTACCTGTTCAATAATCGTCAACTGTTATTATTGTTATCACTATTAACATTGTATTATTATTTAGAAGTTTCAGATAGGAGTAGAGATAGACATGTGCATTTAATTATCTATGTTTAACCATTAATTTATTTTTTAAATGTAGATGGGACAAGTGAAGACTCTATTATTAATTGTCCTGGAGAACTGAGAAGAATAGGACAGAGTAATTGTGGTCAGCTTTTATACATGACATTACTTAAGAGCCTGGAATGAATAAAGTTTAAATAATTAGGTGCATGAGTCATTGCATTTCTCTGCTTTTCTGAACTCATTATCAGTTTCATCTTAATGCTGTTTTTTTAATAGTCACAAGATGGATATAGCAGTTACATATATCACATGCATATATGACAATGTCCAGATGCAGAAAAGGTGCAATGTTATCTATGTCTTCTTCTGAAGAATGAACAAATCTTTCTCAGAAGCCCCCAGCAGATCTTCATTCATGTCTCATTGGCTACAATCCATTAATTACCCTTAAATCAATCACTGGCAATAAAAATAGAACCACAAAAATTGGCCTAGATTGATTAAGGCTGATGTCTGGGGCTGAGACTAGAATCCTAAACCCTTGGGTCATATGGGGCAGGAGTGCACACATGAAATAAATTGTGTTGTTGTAAGAAAAAAGCCAGGCACGGTGGCTCATGCCTGTAATCCCAGCACTTTGGGAGGCCGAGGCGGGTGGATCACTTGAGGTCAGGAGTTCGAGACCAGCCTGGTCAACATGATGAAACCCTGTCTCTACTAAAAATACAAAAATTAGCCGGGCATGATGGTGTGTGCCTGTAATCCCAACTAATCAGGAGGCTGAGGCAAGAGAATCGCTTGAACCCTGGCAGCGGAGTTTGCAGTGAGCAGAGATCACGTCATTGCACTCCAGCCTGGGCAATAGAGCGTGACTCTGTCTTGGGGAAAAAGAAAAAAAAAAAGGAAGGGCAAGTAGATATTTAGTAGGCAAACAAGTGATGCCGAGAAAGGGATTCTCCAGGTTGTTCCATAAAGTCATAAATATTGAGTATACCTCAATAAAATTCAGACCTATAATTTTAATGAACATGTTGGGAAAGCAAAAGTTGATTTCCCTAATGAGTCTTTGCCTAGTAAGTATTCTGTAACGCCTAATACTAGGCTTATCGGTATTCAAATCAAATTGCTATTGTAACTTAAAGCTTGCTTACCACAGTGTTGCAAATAGCCAGCTTCATTGTTCAGATAAAAACAGATAAACTTTCCCAAAGTTAACTACTTCCTTCCTTTTTAGACATGCATAAGATAGACGAAAACTGGGTAAAATAAATATAAATGTATATACTGCATTCAGAAGTGAATGTCAGTGGAGTTTCTTGACTCTTACCTATGCCCAAAGAGTATCTGAGAAAAGTGAATGAATTGCTTACCTGACTTCCTGTCTTCCTGAGTCTTCAGAGAATGAATTACAATTCCCCATTTTGCCTTACACATTTTAGTGAGCTAATTACAACCCTTTTACAGTTCAGCCTCCTTAAAAATCAAATTGGAAGTTGTGATAAACCTACTGGCAATTAAGAGACAGCAAGATGGATTATCTCCAGATGCTCACGGGACTTCTTGAAGTTTGGAGTCACATCTGTTTCTGCTACACTTTGGTATTTTTTGTTGTTGTTGTTGATGATGGAAGCTTTCTGTGGTCCTGTTGAGTTGCAGTATGCAAATAAGCTTTATCCAAGCATGCTTACTTCCTGAGATGAAAAGTTTCCAGGCAGATACACAGCAAGAAGTCATGGTACATTCATTCTCAGAGCCTGAAAAATGTATGCTAGGTCTCATAAGTAAACTTCCAATTTTGGAGAGAGACAGTGGAAGCTTGTGATATTTTTCGGTGTGATTTGGATTGGAAAAGAGGTGAAACATTTTTCTACTTTGGAATGCACTGATAAGAATAAAAATAATGCCCCTAAATAAGTCCAATAAAGCCTGGAGTAGTCTTTCTTTCAGTTTCCTATTTCTTCTTCATTCAGGTTTCCTACAAAACTTCCATATAATTCTGCATTAGGAGCACATATGTAGAAAGTTATAAAATGAGGAGACATTTTTCTTTGGCACAGATACTTTAGTGACATTAAAGATTAAAGTTTTTTTTTATAACAGTTTTTTTTGGGGCTTCTTTTTTTTTTTTTTTTTTTTTTTTTGAGACAGAGTTTCACTCTTGTTGCCAAGGCTGGAGTGCAATGGTGCAATCTTGGCTCACTGCAACCTCCTGCCTCCCGGGTTCAAGTGATTCTCCTGCCTCAGCCTCCTGAGTAGCTGGGATTACAGGCGTGAACCACCATGCCTGGCTAATTTTTGTATTTTTAGTAGAGACGGGGTTTCGCCGTGTTTGTCAGGCTGGTCTCAAACTCCTGACCTCGTGATGCACCCACCTCGGCCTCCCAAAGTGCTGGGATTACAGGCGTGAGCCACCGCGCCCAGCCTGCATTTATAATAATGTTTATCATACAGTATATTTGGCATGCAACAACAAATAACATTTACAAAGTTACATGTCTAGTACAGGGTTAAATGTGATGATGCAAGATAGGTAAGAGTTAAAACACACAGTTTGTACCCCTAATTCTGATTAGGCTTCTTTGAGAGAAGTATAGTGTCTGGAATGAAATAGTTTCATTCTACTGTGTGATGGTGAGCCTATGCTATGGTCTAAATGTTTGTGTCCTCGTGCCTCCCAATTCATATGTTGAAACCTAGTCTCTAATGTGGTGGTATTAAGAGGAGGACAATTTAGGAGGGGATGAGGTCATGATGGCTCTATCCTCATGATTAGTATTAATGCCCTTATAAAAGGGGCCCCACGGAGCTTCTTCACCCCTTCCACCATGTAAAGATGCATCAACAAGGCACCATCTATGAAGCTAAGCGAGCTCTCACTAGACACCAAATCTGCTAATACCTTGATCTTGGACTTTCCAGTTTCCAGAACTGTGAAAAATAAATTTCTGTTGTTTATAAATTACCCAGTCTAAGGTATTTTGCTATAGCAACCCAAATGAACTAAGGCAGGCTATACCTTGAATAATATATTTATTTCTGGTTGTCACACTAAGAAAAGCCATCTAGAGGGTAGAACTGTGTATGTAGAATAAAAAGGACCTAAAGGGGTAAGAACTGTCATGGGCATATGTGAAAGAAGGATTGTACTTGTTTTGTGTGATAGAGGATATAACTAGGACCAAGGAATGGATGGGAATTATATGAAGAAAGAATTCATTATATTTTAAGAACTTTTTTTCTTATTGCCTCTCTGTTGAGGAAAATTGAGTTTATCACACTCCTCAGTTGATGGCACACTGATTATCATTGCTGCTTGCAAGGACCACACTTATTTGATTGTTTTTATCTATTTCTATTTCTCATACCTCCAGGCAATTATTCTAATCCTTTACTGTTTGTCTACTTGTAAAATATGTTTTGTTGTTTTGTACTTGCATATTTTTAGTTTACATAAGTGGTATTTTGATATAGATGTCATTCCATTTATTTCTGTTTTCACTCCACTTGTTTTCTAAGTTCTATTTAGTTTGTTGCATGTATATCTATTTTGTCATTTATAAATGCTACGTAATCTCCATAATGTACATCTACCACACTTTACCAATTAAATTGACTGATGACTCGATTATCTATCATTTCTGACTCATAACCCCAAATCCAGTGATGAGTATCCTGAGTGATCCAACTTCCTGCCACCATAAACAACGTTGCAATGAATAGCCTTACATGTCCCATTTTATACTTTTGTAAGCCTATGTATTCTGGGTCACACAGTGTATGTATAAATAGCTCCATATTGCTCTATAGAATGACTTCTTCCACCAACAGTGTATGAGGGATTCTAGAGCCTAGGGCTTCACAAACTTTTTCTGTAAAGAACCGGATTGTAAATATGTTAGGCTTTTCAGGCCACTCGGGATTGTCTTTGCCACTCCTCCTCTTCCTCCTCCTCCTCCTCCTTCTTCGTCCACTTCTTCATGAATCACCCGTCAAAAATGTTAAATTCCATTCCTATCTTATGAGCTGTACAAAAATGGGCCAAGAACCTCATTAAACTCTTGGGCTATCTAGATCTAGCCCTGCATTTCTGCCAACATGTGGCAGATAACTCATTTCTCTAATTTTGACCAGTGTAGTGAATATAAAGTGAGTGCTTACTATTTTAACTTCCACTTCTCTGATTATTAATTAGCTAGATCATCTTTTAAATTATTTGTTAATCTTTGGGTTTTCTCATCAGTAAACTTCCTATTGAAATAATTTACTCAGAAACTCACTATCTGTTGTGGTGGCTCATTCACTCTGTTTGTAGCTTAGGCTGGTAGAAAACTCTCAAAAAACATCAAAATTAAGTATTTCTGTTCAATAAAAGACACCATGGATAACGTTAGTGAGCAGATAACTGATTAGAAAAAGAGACTTAAAGTGCCTAAAACTGGCCATGAATTAGTATCCAATATATAAGAAACCACAAAAATCAACAGATAGTGAGTTTCTGAGCACTGAATTGTTTCTTGAAGGGCTGAATGGTCATTTGGCATCAATGTTATATTGTAGTGTTTCAAACATTAAGTGGGTGTGTGGAAAAGAGTATTATGGTCTCTTTCAACCCTGAGATTATTTGATATGCATGAAGCAGTTTGAGAGCAACATTTGGAAATCACAGGATTTGGGTAGTAAAAGGGATATTAGTGATTCATTTAATCCAGATTTCCCATTTTCCATGGTAAGAAACAGAGGCCAGAACAGGGGATGTACTTGCTCAAATTTCCCACAGCTAGTAAGTGGCAGAGGCTGGACCAGAATTTCTCACTTCACAGTCCACTGCGCTTTTCATTACCTCAAGATAAATTCTAAATTTAATGGCTCGGCAGTAAACACTCTAGCTGGTTCTAGTGGTGGGAGGATATCACTAAGGTAGAAAATGTATGCAGAAAGGGGCATCTACAAGTTCTCCTAGGATTGACTGGTTCATGGTAAATGCTAATGCTACTTTTATGACTATACATAATCTGTGTTGTTGCCATTTATGGAAACAATTATAAAGTCATTATCCACATTTTCCCTCACCCAAATTATTATGAAGCCTGAAGCTTTTCCAAGCACCCCAGGCACAAATTGTATTGTCTTTTTTCTCTAATGTCAGATACTAAAGACTACTGTGCCTTTTCAGCTGAGCTAGGACTGTGTAACAAACTAAAACATTACAGAATCCTTAACAGCATACATTTAAGAGAGCCACTAGCTGCCAATACTTGATATGTGCAAATCAGAAATTCAGTCCCCCCCCGCCACAGTGCTTGGCAACAAAGACTTTCAAGATCTGTGCACCATTATCCATTCTAGTGGAAAAACTTATGAGAGAATATGGAGTTGTTTAAAGCTGGTGCCACCCTAGGTAAAATCAGCTTATTTTAGACCCACCCTGGCACTGCTAAAAAAAATAGTTTCTCTAAACAAGTTTTTTTTTTCCTACCATAAGTCTCAGACTTTTAGTGTTTTACACCTTGTTAGATCACAAAATAAGACTGTGAGATCCTTTCCGTGAGGCTGTATCAACAATACCAAACAACTCTTACACTGTACTGATACTTATGTATGAATATCTAACATTAGAGATTTTTGTATTGGTGGAGGGTGAGGGACAAGGGGTCAGCAGGCAGGGAGAATGTCTTTGCAATATCATAGGACAGCCATACTTTCAGTGGGCTTTATAGGTACATGTAAATGACAGGAGTTTGGTTAAGATACTCCTGGTTTTGTTTTTGTTTTTGTTTTTCCCCTCAATAGGAATAATCCTTGAACTAGCTCGTTTCCTTTTCTAAGCAGCACAGTGGGAGATTTCACCGTTTTCTCCCAGGCCTTTTCCAAACTTGACAGCTAAGTGGAAGAGTACAAAGGCCACTTTCACAACCTTTGCTCAGCTGCAATTCTTCTCTCTTGCCTACCCCCTTCCACAATGTGTCTAATTGTCCTGTACAAGAGTGTCTGTTTGATGTATCTTGAGTACTCTGACTGTCCTGACAAGTGTTGGCAAAGTTCAGAGTGACTGGGAGCAATTCTTTATACCACACTTGTCCTCATTTTTCAGTGTTGTCTACTTTTGATGTGGACTAGCTGCTATGCTGAAGCTATTTCTATTTCCTTTCTCTAGGAATACTGAATACTATTCTTGGATTGAATAGTTTTCCCACCCGCCCCTTCCCCTAGCACTACACCTGCTTCCGTTATACTCTTTCTTTTTGCTGTGTAGCTTAAATATACAATTTAAACACCCTGCTTATTTTTACACAAGTCAAAACATATTCCCTGCTTGAATCAAGAAGAAATGAAAAAGGAAAGGAAGGAGAAGGAAGTCTGTCTTCATTGGCCCTTCTTGGGCAACAAATGGCCTATGTGAGAGTTCTAGCTAGAATGAAATGCAGTTCAGTGATTGAACAATGCTAACTCAGTTCCTTTTCCATTCTAAAAGCTGAAAGAGTAGATGGGAAACCAGCAGTCCCCCCTGTAGTATGGTGAAGCACACTCCCTTTTCTATGTACAAGCAAATGAACCCTTCAGAGTGTCTCAAATCACTCCCACTGCTGCTCATGATTGGACTAAAGTACCTAACTCTACTCTCCTTGAGGAAAGAGGATACCAACTTGCCACTGTCCCCATACTCTCTTTTAGGTTTCCAACTCCCTACTGTAGCTCATTACAAGTATGGGTGAAGCCTAGATAAATATGGATATGATGAATAGGGATATAGTAAACAAGTGCTTCAAGAAAGGCAGAATAGGGTACCAAAACATAATAGAATTGCCTGCTGGTACTATAATGAATTGAGGTAATATATTAATTGAGTAATAAAATCTTAATTGTACCAAACATGACTCCCGCAGGTTATAATTCAGGGTTCTTTCCTTCTATGTCCTTAAGAGAAAATTAGGGAGGAGAGATGAGAAGATGACACATTTTTTAAGATTCGGTGTGTGTGATGTCTAGACATCCTGAATAAAATAGAGGTAACCCCCTGTCATCTGTGATGAGATATTAAATTTGTATAATAAACTGTCAAAAGTATGGTCTCTCCCAATCACCCCTAGTAAGAATGCTATTGTTTTCATAATTCATGATTTTCTTTTCTTTTTTTTTTTTTTTTGAGATGAAGTTTTGCTCTTGTTGCCCAGGCTGGAGTGCAATGGCACGATCTCAGCTCATTGCAACCTCCGCCTCCCAGGTTTAAGCAAATTCTCCCGCCTCAGCCTCCTGAGTAACTGGGATTACAGGCATGCGCCACCGTGCCTGGCAAATTTTTGTATTTTTGGTAGAGACGGGGTTTCTTCATGTTGGTCAGACTGGTCTCAAACTCCCAACCTCAGGTGGTCTGCCCGCCTCGACCTCCCAAAGTACTGGGATCACAGGTGTGAGCCACTGCGCCCAGCTGATAATTCATGATTTCCTTATCAGTTTCCAACACAGGCAAAAATCTTGTGTCTCACTACTGAACTTCTGACCATGAGAACTACTGAGTACCTGGCTGCCCATATTGACATTGTTTTGCACATGCATTCATGAGTATGAGAGTAGGTCATTCCATGTCAAAAAGCTAAGTGTATCAGGTGCAGTATTAATTGACTATCAGGTATATTGACCCAACTCTCATTATTAGGAGTCTTCCATCACCTATGGGCCTTTTTCTCCCCCCAAAACATATTTATTTTTGGTTGTGAGGATAGTAAAGAGGTAAATGGTATGAAGAGTCATTGTTGTTTCTTCTCATGAAAACATTAAATAGAATCATGAACTATCAGAAAAAGTTCATCAAACCTTGCTCTACTGCCTTTCTCTATGAAGATAATGCAACCCCTAGATGAGGACTTGTCAGTGGTGAAAACTGGAGTTGCCAAGTATCCATTGGAAATTTCACGGTAAAGAGCATAAACATGATGATTTTCTTTCCTTTTACGAAATTCAAATAAAGCCTTAAAAATGTATTCTCTCTCTTTCTATTTCAGTGAGCTAATACTCTGCTTGAGATTCATTAAGTCAAAGACTGACATTTCCTCTGACCACAGACTCGACTTCAGTCTGCAGATATTATCCTGCAATTCAGCACACATTGCTATCTGCTCATCGTGGAGGAAAAGCAAATTGCAGATATTTTACTCTGCCAAATCATTATGTGCTTAGGATATTCAAGGTTAGAAAAAGCTAAGTGACATGTACTTTTAGATACTTGGCATTGTAATTACAATGTAGTGCAAATCAGCAAGTATTTATTGGGTACTTATGTGTCTAGCATTGTAATCATGGCTTTTCCTTACACAACACTTGACATAGCCAGATGGATACAAGAGATTTTCTGGGCAGAATTTCTTCTGAAATGTTCCCTCCACTGGCCCATTATTTTACTATTGGAGCCTTTTTTTTTGGATCTAAAAAAATGTTGGTTTTCAGATTGAGGGTAATCAAGATACCCTGGTTATGGCAATTAGAGCAAGCATTGTAGTTGTCATTGGCAGGAAACAAGAGTCAGAATTGGAATTGAGATGAATATCAGGAGTGAGAGAAAGTTGTAGTTTGAGAGAGAAGATGTATATTAAATGAGAAGGGAGAGAAGGTAGAGGTCATCTCTGACTAACCTTCTCTGCTTCTTAGTTTTGCTAATAATCTGTCTTTCGTGTGGAACAGGGAAGCTCTACATACCTAAATTAGTATGATGTTGTGTTAAGGAGTGTAAACTTACAAAAAGAAGCAGAGCCAGTTATGTCCAAGTTGAAGCAAAAAAGTACATTTCACTGTTACAGACTTCTTTGATTATCCAAGCCACTGCTTTTTTTCTTTTAAAATGGATAATGTTGAAAAGTTCAGAATCTAGCAAATTTGTGAAATGTCACTTTGGGTAACATGTGCCAAATAATTCAGAGGTACAATTAACAAAATATCTATATCACAGTGATTGAATGTTCTCAACTAGTTTGTCCCTTTTGCTTCTCTCTCCTTCTGGCAAGTCTTTTATAAGTTGGAACACTGAAATTGCATGCAGATTTTAAAGACATTGATGTATAATTCAATAGCAACTCATATTGTTTTTAAACATCAAGGTTTCACTACTGATTTTCTTCAGAGAGATTTCATTTCCACATTTGTCATTCATAGAGAAGACACAAGGCGACCTCTTTTGAGGTGATTTTCATGAGCAAATGATAGAAAACATGAAGGAAAAATATTATTTCTTGTGTTTTATTTGTAATACCCTATGTATCTGCCTGCACTCTAACAGTTGACGACACAAGAAAGGAAGTTTGATGAGAAAGATGTAAAATATCAAGATGATTTTTCATCATAATATGTAGTCAGAATCTTGAGAATTGGGAGGAAAGGTAGAGAAGGCCAGCAAGACAGCATGTTCATGAGTATGAAGGTGGGCTCAGAGTGAACCAGGTATTCAAGTATTTTATAATACCACGCCACCACCTTCTCGGATGATGTTATACGGATAGTGAGAGATTCATTACTATTTCTGAGTTGGAAAGTAGACCAGCAATCCTGTAGTATAACATTTCATTTCAAATCATTCAAAGTGGCTTGAAATTATACACTGGCTGATTTTAAAAGGTGGGTTAGAATCATAACTTATTTGTTTTAAAGAAAACTATGTCATCTGCTTGCATAATGATTTTTCACTTAATGTTTTATTCAGTCTTTCTATATAATTGAGCCTAATTGTTCTCTAATACTGAAAGGACTCAGCTTTATATGCAGCCATCCCTATTTTTGATATTTCTATGAAGGTGCTTTTGAATAATAATGAATACGCCTTTTAGATTTGTTGTAAGTGTTTTATATTCCAGGACTGCTACTTATACTTACTTGTATTCTTGGTTTATAACATGTAGTACTCAGGAGAATAAACCCTTGGGAATGCTATGCAATAAGGATTCTAAGAGACACTTATGTCCTATTTATTTTTATAGTTTCTGTAAGAAAGTGCTTATTGGGCAGAAACAACCAGGATAGCTTACAAATATGAATGCCTGGAAAGATCCCCAGGGTCTTCATTATTTATGTTGTTTGATAAGCACATTCTAATTGTTGATAGGTTAAGGCCAGTGTTCTTAGACTGATGTTCTCAAGGTTTTGTTTCTTCTACCTTAAGAGTTAAAACATTCAAGAGAATTAATAGCATGTATTGAGCAATTACTACACCAGAGATACAAAGGATGGGTAATTAGAGAGCAAGAAGAAGTATTTGAATTTGGAATAAACAGTACAAATAAGAGAGACAGAGTGCAGGATATGTTGTACATCAGTGTTTGCTTGAAATGGAGGAAGACTTTCCTGCAGGATGAAAAATGGAGAATGGCTAGAAAGGTTAGAGTTAGATTGTAAAAAAGCCTGAATGTTAAACTAAGCAATTTGTTTTACCTTATAGGCAGTGGGGAGACATGGAGTACCATCAGTAATTCACTTATTTTCAGAGTAGAAGCATTTTGGCATTCTATTATCTATTACTTAATATAGAATGCAGACATTTATTTGGAAATGCAATAGTCATTTAACTCTTAGCATGACAGCTCATGTGATATACAGTATTACATTTTCCCTATATTAAATACTATACGAAGAATAAAATCGATTTATATTTCAACTCTCTTTTTACTTGGAGATGGGGGTGAATGTTGTTGATCTTCATCTTTAGGCAGTAATACTGATCATTATCATTACCTTTATTAAATTCCAACAAAGTGCAAAGTGTAAAACATACAACTTGGCAAGGGAGTCCTTCTCATGGTTGAATAATTGGAGATATTTCAAGGTGAATTATCAAACTATTAACCTCTTTGGATTTTTCTTTTGGTCAGAATCATTAAAGGGACTGGTATTTGGGTGAGATTTGAACTCTGTGAGGTCAGAAACTATGACATACTTACTCTACTATTGACAATATCCAGCACATAATTATATGCCTGGCACATATTTAAGAGACTAAAAGGAACTTATTGAGTGAATGAGTGAATGAATGATATTCTGGACTTCTGTGATTTTTCCTAATGTGATTTCACCCCCCTTTCACTTAAGTCACCTATTGGCACTTGTACATTGTTATCACTAAAATTTATCCACTCTTAAGACCTGGTAATTAATGCAACACATGATCATGAATGGATCTCAGGCAAGAAGGAGCCATTAGGAGGAAAGTCTTAGCTAGGTGTGGTGGCACACAACTGTAGTCCCAGGTACTGGGGATGCTGAGGTGGGAGGATTGCTTGAGCCTAGAAAGTCAAGGATGCAGTGAGCCGTGATAGTGATATTCGAATAACATCTTTAGATAATAGAATTATATCAATGTTAATTTTGTGACATTGATCATTGTTCTTTGATTATGTAAGATGTTAACAGAATTTTTGCAGAATCTGGATAAAGGTTACACAATAATTATTTTATAATTTTTGCAATACTTGTGAAAGGCTGAAATTATTTCAAATAAACATTTTAAAAATTGAAGGCAAAAATTTTTTAAACCTTTTCACCCTCAAGATTATATTATTATTACATTGTAGTACTCATTTCATCCCCCCTGAGTTTCACTCCTACATATACCCTCATCATGATTTTTTTTGTTAGTCTGTTTTTTAAATGTATAATTCATATGCGATTGCACATATTTATGGGTACAATGTGATGTTTCAACTCATATATAAATATATAATTATCAAATCATGGTAATTGCCATTTACATTACTGTAAACATTGATAGTTTATTTGTAGTGATAACATTCAAATTATTCTCTTCTAGCTCTCTTGAAATATATGTTATATTGTTATTTGCTGTAGTCACCCTACCGTGTAATAGAACACCAGAATTTATTCTTCCTCTTCTTGAGGTTCAGAAAACAATATCCCAAAATGAAAGCCTCAGTGGCAGCCTCAGAAACAAAAGTTTTTCTCTGACCTTCTCCTGCCTCCCTAAGTTCCATTCTCCTGCCCACCCTAAAACCCTGGAAGTAGGCATAGAAACTAGAATCCCTCTTCTTCAAGGTGAGTCATAGAAACCAGAACCCCTTTTCTCCAAAGCTAGACATAAAATCTAAAAGTATTCTATGTAAAAACTGGTTATAAAGAAATGATCTGACCTACCTTGTTCGACTGTAGGTCATGAGACCCCCATTTCAGAGAGGGCCCTGCCCCACACCTAGAAGGAAGGAATACAGGCTCAGAGAGACCAAGAAAAGTCTAGACAGACAGGCCTTGCTGGGTTTTCCTACTCAGTCTATTAGCATTAGATCATACCCTTTTCTTCAATCATACTTCTAGACCATTATCCATATGTTATTAACCTCAGCTTTATAAAAGTTAATCATTTCCCTTGTATCTTTGAGGTCATCATTCTGAAGCCTCCTGTGTATACATGTTAAATAATTTGTATGCCTTTTCACCTATTAAGCAATCTGCCTCATGTCAGTGATTTTTTTCAGAAAATCTTGGCCTCTACACTTTCTTTTTTTTTGAGATGGAGTTTTGCTCTTGTTGCCCAGGCTGGAGTACAATGGCACCATCGTGGCTCACTGCAACCTCCACCTCCCAGGTTCAAGCGATTCTCCTGCCTCAGCCTCCCGAGTAGCTGGTATTACAGGAATGTGCCACCACACCTGGCTAATTTTGTATTTTTAGTAGAGAAGGGGTTTCTCCATGTTGGTCAGGCTGGTCTCGAACTCCCGATCTCAGGTGATCCACCTGCCTCGGTCTCCCAAAGTGCTAGGATTACAGGTGTGAGCCACTGCACCCGGCCGATTTCAGTCTGTTTTATGGCTGAATAATATTCCATTGCATATATGTACATTTTCTTTATCCATTCATTTGGAGACAGTAATTTGGGTTGACTCCATATCTTGTGCATTGTGAATAGTGTTACAATAATTATGGGAGTGCAGATATCTCTTTGATATACTGATTTAATTTCCCTTGGATATATACCCAGTAATGAATGGGATTGCTGGATCATATGGTAATTATAGTTTCAATTTTTTGAGGAACCTTCATACTGTTTTTCACAGTGGCTGTACTAATTTACATTTCCACCAACAGTGTTGGTTTTCTTTTGTCCCTATCCTCCCAACACTTGTTATCTTTCATTTTTTTTTTTGATAATAGTCATTTTGACTGGGGTAAAATGAAATCATTGTGGTTCCCATTTGCATTTCTGTGATGATTAGTGGCGTTGAACATTTTTTCATATATCTGTTGGCCATTTGTATGTCTTCTTTTGAAAAATGTCAGACTTCTGCTTCTGAGTCAAAGCCATGGTGGTGGCAAATTCAAGCCCTGAGCCCCCGTGGTGTTCTTTGATGTCAGCATTGTCAGTCAGGAAGTTGGCCACATGAAGATCCAGCTCTTTGTAGACATTGTGCCTAACACAGCTGAGAACTTTGGGCAGTTCTGCACTGGAGAATTCAGAGAAGATCGGGTTCCAATAGGATACAAAGGGAGCACCTTTCACAGGGTCATAAAGGATTTCATGATTCAGGGTGGAGATTTTGTTAATGGAGATGTTACTGGAGTCACCAGCATTTACCAGGGACCATTTGCAGATGAAAATTTTAAAATCAGATACCCAGCTCCGGTCCTGCTTTCCATGGTGAACAGCAGTCCCAGTACAAATGGCTGTCAGTTCTTTATCACCCGCTCTAAGTGCAATGGCCTGGATGGGAAGCATGTAGTGTTTGGAAAAATCACTGATGGACTTCTACTGATAAGAAAGATTGAAAATGTTCCCACAGGCACCAATAATAAGGCCAAGGTACATATGGTGATCTCACGGTGTGGGGAGATGTAGTTCAGACCAAGACTGAATCAGACTTTCACTTCCTCTTGGCAATGTTCTTGAGTAAGATAATCTGGACTGGCCCCTGTGTTTGCTTCCCTGCCTGCTGCTACGCCATTTGATCAACAGACTCTAGCAGTATCAGAGATTCAGGATCCAAGATTGTGTTTAGGTTTTCAACTGTAAATAAAGTTTTTTGTATGTTTAAAAAAATAAATAAAAATGTCTATTTAGACCTTTTGCTCATTTTTAATAGGATTATTTGGTTGCTTGCTATTGAGTTGAGTTGCTTACATATTTTATTAGTCTCTTCTCAGATGAAAAGTTTGCAAATATTTTCACCCACTCTATAGATTGTCTCTTCACTCCATTGATTATTTCCTTTGCTATGCAGTAGCTTTTAGTTTTATGTAATCTCATTTGTCTATTTTTACTCTTGTTGCCTGTGCCTTTGAGTTCTTATTAAAAAAATCCTTGCCCAGTCCAATTTTATGAAGCATTTATCTGTATTTTCTTTTAGTAATTTTATAGTTTGGGACTTACATATAAGTCTTTAATATATTTTGGGTTGATTTTTGTATATAGTGAGAGATAGGTGTCTTGTTTCCTCCTTCTGCATGTGGATATCCAGTTTTCCCAGCACTATTTATCAAAGAGACTGTCCTTTTTTCCCATGCATGTTCATGGTGCCTTTGTTGAAAATCAGTTGGCTATACATGCATGGATTTATTTCTGGGTTCTCTATTCTGTTTCATTGGTCTATGTGTCTGCTTTTATGCCAATACCATGTTGTTTTGGTTACAATAGATTTGTAGAATATTTTGAAGTCAGGTAGTATGATGCCTCTCACCATCTTTTGTTCTTTTTGCTCCAGATTGCTTTGGTTATCCAGCGTCTTTTACATTTCAATACCTCATTATGATCTTTGGTCCCTTGCTCTTACAGTATTTTCTAAGTCGATCACAACAGTTTTTAATATCATTGGCTTCCCTAACTAGCCTGTAGAAACAAAGTCTACAGTTTAGAAACTATTAAGTGCTTTAATTGATATCCTTGCATGGTCAGACTGAGTCAGACTTTTGGCCTTTACCATTTCCCCCATGTCATCCACAAACCTGGGCCACCAACTTCTCACCTGTTCTTAGAATCCTAAGAGCTACTAGGAAATTAACAAAATTGCATGATAATTTTCTACCACTTTCTTCCTTCAATGTTGGGTTCTAAATTTTTTACATTCCTTTTATTTATATCTTATTATCTTCCAACCATATTCTGCTTATTCTTTCCACAAATCTCAAACAACCTTAGTTCTACCACATAGACATAGTAACCACAGTTAACCTTAAGGAGTATATGCTGTTAATATGTAGAAAGAGGATAGCTCACTGCTGAAATTTTCAAAGTGAGTTTAGCCTCAAGTGCACATACTCTTTGTAACTTAATTTTCTCATTTGATAATATAACTTGAGAATTTCCAATGCCATGAAATATTATTGAGGACAGTAATTTTTGAATGTTACAATATATTTTATGTCACAATAATGTTGCAATGAGGATACACCAATTTCTGATCCTTTCTTAGCATAAATTTTTAGTAATGGAATAATAATAATAGAAACAAGAGAAATATGTATTTTTAAGACTTACTGATCCATATTGCCAAATTTTCTTTTAAAACTCTGAACAAATTTGCGTTCTTGCCAGCAATGTAAAAGCGTACTTATTACAGAGCAAATGCAGTGCTATAATTTTTCTTTTAATTTTTCTAATTTAAATAACACAAAACAACAATAATTACAATAATATCATAGATTCATTTTGCACTTCTTTGGTTGAAAATATTTTTAATATTAATTGGCTGTCTATTTTACTTTTCTTTCTTTTCAACCTTTGTTTCTTTACCTGCAATTGTATTTTATTTTGGGGGACTTAGGTATAGAATGAGATAGTTAATATATTTAATATATATTTAGTATTAATGATAATAACATTTAGCCTACCATATACAGAATAAATTTTTCTGTTTATTTTTCTTTAAAGTTGAGTTTTTATTTTTAGTATATACTTTTTTAATGTGAGCATAGCTTTTAATATTTTATTTTATGGTTTGCCTCTTTCATTTATACTTATATATGTATCTGAAATTAATACTTATGAATTGAAAATACAAAGCATACTTGTATTTTTATCATCATTTATTTTTGGTAAGCAAAGGTTTTTTTTTCTTTTTTTGCTTAATTTTCTTGTTTTTGTTTGTTTGTATAAATGTATTGGGTACATGAGAAATTTTGATACGTGTATGTAATGCATAGTGATCAAGTCAGGGTATTTAAGATGTCCATCGCCTAATACAATACATTTTTTGTTCATTATAGTAACCCTACTCTGCTATCAAGCATTTAATCTATTCCTTCTCTCCTACTGTATGTTTGTACCCTTTAACCCATTCTCTTTATTCTCTCCCCATCCCCCCACTCACCCTTCCCAGTCTCTGTTACCTATCTTTACACTCTCTGCCTCCATGTGATCAAATTTTTTAACTCCCACATACAAGTGAGAACTTGCAGTATTTATCTTTTTAACTTTTACAATCATTTACACAATTCCCAGCACCATTGACTAGATGAACAAGGTTTTTTTCTCCACTAACTTAAAATGCGACTGTTGCATGAACTAACTTTGATAAGTTTATGATGAACTTTTTTTTCTGTTTCATGGATTTCCCCACCAATCTCATGCCATTAGCAGACTATTGAAATTACTGTGGTTTCTACATACTTTTACTATCTCATAGGGCAAGTCTTTACTCAGTAATTTCTTCAATCTTTGACAAATCTTACACATGTAGTCCTCCACTGAAACATTTAGAATTATTTTGAAAAGTTAAAAAAATTATTTATATTTTTATGCTAATTTGGAAAAAAAGATCCAGATATACACTATAGGGTCATCTCCTTTGGAAAAATAGTGTCTTTCAGGCTGGGTGCAGTGGCTCACACCTGTAATCCCAGCACTTTGGGAGGCCGAGTCAGGCAGGGTCACCTGAGGTCAGGAGTTCTAGACCTGCCTGGCTAACACGACAAAACCCCGTCTTTACTAAAAATACAAAAATTAGCTAGGCATGGTGGTGCGTGCCTGTAATCCCAGCTACAAAGGAGGCTGAGGCAGGAGAATTGCTTGATCGTGGGAGGCAGAGATTGCAGTGAGCTAAGATCACACCATTGCACTCCAGCCTGGGCGACAGAGTGAGACTTCATCTCAAAAAAAAAAAAAAGAAAAGAAAAGAGAAAGGAAAGGAAAATAGTGTTTTTCCATTATATCTTGTGTAATTTTACATGACTCCAAGTTTTATAGTTTCTTCCATATAGGTTCTATTAGGTTTTATACTAAATATTTATTTTGTTTCTATTTTGAAAACTGTGTTAAGAATCTTTGAAAAGTTTTCTCAAATTCATCCTTTAAATGCTTTTATGAATGGAGATTAGATTTTCAGTTTTACCAATTGCCTTTCAGGTTTCCATCAAAATCATATGTGATGAATTACTTTAATAATTACCTCATATTAAACTTTCATGTTAAACTTTCCCAGCATGCCTGAAGTAAATTCTGTCTTTGTATAATAAAACAGGTCTTAGTATTGATTTTTTTTTCAGTTAGGTTTTTTGAGTTATAATTTACATACATAAAACTGTCATTTTTAGTGGTACAGCTCAAAGATTTTTAACAAATACATGCATCTATGTAATCACAACTGAAATAAAAATATAAAACTTGTTCATTACACCCAGTAGTTTCCTGTTATATTTTGGATTCAATCACCTTTATCCACTCCCAACCTCTGGCAACTATTGACTATATCCTTTAAAAACAGTTTTGCCTTTTCCAAAATAACATATAAATGGAACCATACAGTATGTAGCTTTTTCAGTCTGGTGTTTTTCACTTAGCATAATGCATGTGAGATTCAACTTTGTTGTTGTATGGCAATTTCCAAATGCTATTCATTGTATAGATGTACAACAATTTGTTTATCCATTAAAAAGTTGATGGACATTTGAATTACTTCTTGATACTTCTTGATTTTTACACTGTAAATAAAGCAACTATAATTACTTCTGTACAGATTTGTGTGGACTTACGCTTTTATTTCTCTTGGATAAATGCTTATAAGTGGGATTGCTGAATCACATAAGTGAATGTTTAACTTTATAAGAGATTGCAAAAATCCCAAAGTAGCTGTAATATTTTACATTTTCCACCACAGTGGATGAAAATTCCAGTTGCTTCACATCCTTACCAACACTTTGTAATGTCAGGATTTTTTTCTTTTAAGATATATTTATTCATTCAAATACATCTGTAGGCATATCTAATTTATTTTATTTTTATTTTATTTTATTTTATTTTTTGAGACAGAGTCTTGCTCTGTCACCCAGGCTAGATGGCAGTGGCGTGATCTCAGCTCACTGCAACCTCTGCCTCCTGGGTTCAAGTGATTCTCCTGCCTCAGCCTCCCTAGTAGCTGGGATTACAGGCATGTGCCACCAGGCCTGACTAATTTTTGTATTTTTAGTAGAGACGGGGTTTCACCATGTTGGCCAGGCTGGTCTTGAACTCCTGGTCTCAGGTGATCAGCCCACCTCGGTCTCCCAAAGTGTTGGGATTACAGGTGTGGGCCACCACACCCAGCCCTCATTTTATTTTTTAAGTTTTATTGAGATTTAATTTACATAGCATTCAATTCCCCCATTTAAGTGTATAATTCAAAGTTTTTTAGTATATTCACAGATATGGAGTCAATTTTAGAACATTTTCACCACCTCAAAAAGAAACCCCACACCCTTTACCTAAGGACTGCCTATCTCCCCACTGCCTACCCTCAACCTTAAGCAACTACATCTACTTTCTATCGCTATAGATTTCTGTGTTCTAGACTTTGACATGAATGAAATAATATAATGCATATTCTTTTGTGACTGACTTCTTCCACCTAGAATAATGTTTGTGAGATTTATCCATGTTTTAGCATCCATTAATGCTGCATTCCTTTTTACAGCCAAATAATATTCCGTTGTATAGATTCCACATTTTTTAATCCATTTTCCATTGATGGACATTTGTGTTGTTTCCACTTTTTGGCTTTTATGAGTAATGCTTCTATAAACATTCCTGTACTTTTTTTTTTTTTTTTTTTTTGAGATGGAGTCTAGGTCTGTTGTCCAGGCTGGAGTGCAGTGGCATGATCACGGCTCACTGCAACCTCTGCCTCCCAGGTTCAAGTGATTCTCCTGCCTCAGCCTCCCAAGTAACTGGGATTACTGGTGCTTGCCACCATGCCCAGCTAATTTTTGTGTTTTTAGTAGAGATGGGGTTTCACTGTGTTGGCCAGGCTGGTCTGGAACTTATGGCCATATGTTTTTATTTCTCTTAGGCTAAAATGTCTTTTAATAGACATTGTTTAGGTTCATAGCAAAACTGAACAGAAAGTACAGAGATTTCCCACATATCATCTGCCCACACACATACTCAGCTTCCATACCATCACATCTCACAGGTGAGTAGTATATTTGTTATAATTGATGAACTTACATTGATACATTGTTATCATGCAAAGTCCATAGCTTACGTTAGGGTTCACACTTGGTATCGTACAATCTATGGGTTTGGACAAATTCAAAATACATGTATCTACAACTATAGTATGATATAGAACAGTTTCACTGTCCTAAGAATCCTCTGTGTTCCACCTATTAATCACCAGTCCTCTAACACCTCAGCAACCACTGATCTTTCTACTGTCCTCATGGTTTCACCTTTCCAGAATGTTATGTAGTTGGAATCATCTCAGAATGTCTTATTTCACTTAGTAATATAAAGTTATGGTTTCTCCATGTTGTTTCATGCAGTCATCTATATTTATCTTCATATTTTCTATTTTTTGGTGCTTCTTATTTCCTTCTGTAGCTTTACGTTTCCATCTGGTATCATTTTTCCATCAGCACTTATAATTTCCTTTAGCATTTTTCACAGTTTATGCCTCCTTGTGAGAAAATCAGTTTTCATTTACCTGAAAATATCTTCATTTCTCCTTGTTTTTTTTTTTTCTTTTTTGAGATGGAGTCTCAATCTGTCGCCAGGGCTGGAGTGCAGTGGCGTGATCTCGGCTCACTGCGACCTCCACCTCCCAGTTCAAGCAATTCTCCTGCCTCAGCCTCCCGAGTAGCTGGGATTACAGGTGCCCACCACTACACCTGGCTAATTTTTTGTATTTTTAGTAGAGACAGGGTTTCACCATGTTGGCCAGCCTGCTCTCAAACTCCTGACCTTGTGATTCACCCGCCTCGGACTCCCAAAGTGCAGGGATTACAGGCGTGAGCCACCATGCCCGGCCTCTCCTTCATTTTTGAAAGATATTATCACTGGATATAAGATGCTGTTTCACAGACTGTTGTTCTAGTGTTGTTGTTTTAGTGTTCAGGTTTTTTACTTTGCTGCACAGAAGAATTTGAGAGTGAGTCCAAAGTAAGAGGAGGCAAGAAGTTTACTGCAAAGCAAAAGTACACTCTGATAGCTGGGTCAGAGCAGGCTCCTTGAGAATGAGACAGTGCCTACTGGCACTGAGGAAACTCCCTTTATGGGTGTCTTACGTGATTATTCATGAAGGGGAAGGAACGGTCATTGTTGTTAGTCATGTCCTGGGTGGTCTCCTGGCATCCACAGTCACTGTACACGCTAGCACATACATCGCATGTCTCATTAGCATTTAAAATTTCCACCCAGGGGTGTGTTTTTTACTATTATAATGATCAAAGTTCACCTTAGGGACATGGTTCTTTACTACTATGTATGCTCGGCCTTTGGGACTTTCCCTCCAACAGTTCCTACTTTGACAAAAAAGTTGCCAACTGCAGGTGACCACAGATATCTTTCCTGGCCCCTTTCTGGAGCATCATGCGTTACTGACTGGGGTCCTTGTGCTAACCTGTTTGGCCTCATTTGTATTGCTCTTACCCACCTGCAAGTAATCATGCTCATTCCTTCACTAATTGCCAGCCTTATTAGGACTTGAAGGATGTCATAGGTGTCATATTTTCACTGTACTCTACTGTATCTGTTGAGAATTCAGCTGTTCCTTTTCTTTTCTTCTTCTTCTTCTTTTTTTTTTTTTTTTTTTTTTGAGATAGAGTTTCGCTCTTGTTGCCAAGGCTGGAGTGCAATGGTGAGATCTCGGCTCACTGCAACCTCTGCCTCCCAGGTTCAAGCGATTCTCCTGCTTCAGCCTCCCGAGTAGCTGGGATTACAGGCATGCGCCATCACATCCGGCTAATTTTTTGTATTTTTAGTAGAGACAGGGTTTCTCCATGTTGGTCAGGCTGGTCTCAAACTCCTGACCTCAGGTGATCCGCCCGCCTCGGCCTCCCAAAGTGCCAGGATTACAGGTGTAAGCCACCGTGCCCGGCCTTATTTTTTTTCTTATTTATATAATGGATCCTTTTTCTCTAGATGCTTTTAAGATCTTCTATCTTTGTATTTCAACATTTTGAGTACAATCTTTTCTTTGCATCTTTATTGAGCTTATAAAACCTGTTACACTGACCTGTAAGTACAGAAGTAAAGATCTTATTTTTTTTTCTTTTCAAGTTTTGATCATGTTTTCTTCAAACATCTTATCTGTCTTTTTCTTTTTTCTTTCCTGCTGGGACTACAAAAACATATATTAGATTATTTAACCGTGTCCCAAAAGTCACTGAGGCTCTGATCTTTTATTCTTCAGACAGGTAATTTCTAATGACATATTTTCAAGTTCATTGGCTTTTTCTTTTGCTCTAACCTGCTGTTAAGATCATCCAGTAAATTCTTCATTTTAGTTATTCAATTCTAAAATTCGCATTGTGTTCATGTTTATGATTTTACTCTTTGCTGATATTGCTCATCTGTTTAGATATCATGACTATAATTTCCTTAAAGTTCTAGAACATATGTTAGCTATTTTAATCTATTTATTTACTAATCTCAACATCTTTGACATTTTGTGGTTGGCATTAGAGGCTTTTTTTTCTTATTACTATATTTCACATTTTTTCTCTTGTTGTATGTCTTATAATTAAAAATATATAATGGACAGAGTAGGTGATACATTGTACAAAACATGGATTCACCTATGTTCTACAAACAGTTATCTTGTCTGGACTTGAACTTTTAAGTCTGTCTCTCCTGTGGTAGCTACCAGATGAAATTACCATTCAATTTGTCTTCAAGACTTGTTTTGTGCAAGATTCTTGGAAGCTTCTCTGCACATATGTCCTTTGATGGTTATAATTTGAGCAGGGTTCACACGTTGATTTTGGGGCTCACCCCTCTGCATTTCTCTTTGTTTCAGGATTTTTAACCTTATTTTTCTAGCCATTGTGCCATCATTAAACTCTTCCTCTAACATGTCAAGACAGTAAGAGTGAGATTTTATGCTACAACATGATACATGGATCAGAAAGTGCCTTTTGGCAAAATGGAGTAAAGACTCAAAATTCACTAAGTGTAATTCCTGTCTTTCAATAGCTGACTTCTCTTCCATTTCTGCTGTTTTTAGTTGCTGTCCACTGTATTCAAATCACTAGATTAGAATGCAGATTTTTTGGTATTCTGGTAGGTTTTCTTGGTATTTTTTTCCAGATTTTATAATTTTTGTTTTCTGGAGGGTTGGTATGACTAAAGTGCTGTACCATTAATGGAAGCTGGAATTCTTATACATAAATTTCCTCTTTATGATTTTATTTCTAAGAAATGTAATTTGCATATTTTTCAAATCTGAAGCTTTTTTTTTTTCTTTTTTCTTTTGTTTTTGAGACAAGGTCTTGCTCTGTTGCCCTGGCTTGAGTGCAGTGGTGCAATCGCAGCTCACTGCAGACTCAAACTCCTGGGCTCCAGTGATCCTCCCACTTCAGTTTCCTGAGTAGCTGGGACTACAAGCATGCACCACAACAGCCAGCTAATTTTTTTGTATTTTTTTTGCAGAGATGGGGTTTCGCCGTGTTGCCCAGGCTGGTCTCAAACTCCTAGCCTCGAGCGATTTGCCCACCTTGGCCTCCCTAAGTGCTGGGATTAGAGGTTTGAGGCACCACGCCCAGCTGTAGCTCTTTTTTTATGGTCACTTGGGCTTTATTCATATTTTTTAAATTTATTTAAATATTTTAGATATATTTTGTTTTGATACTGATATTTAGCATCCTTCTGGGTCTGTATCTGATGTTTGTTTTATTAATGGTGCCGTGTTTCCTTGTGTGATTTATTACATTGATTGTAAACTTAAAATTTTTGGAAATTGTGGGACATTTTTGAAACCTGTGAAGAAGAGTGGAACCATCTTTTCTTTTGAACACCTATAGAGGTTTATTCCTCTGTTATTGAACTTATGGCATTTCACTGTAAGGTGTTTACATATCTCTTTCATTTAGAATTAAGATTGCCTGCACAGAAAACTCCAAGTTATGTATGGTAGCTTAAAGAAGATTGGATCTTATTTTTCACCACATAAAAGCACTTTAGAGAAAGATAGTTTAGGTCTGTTATGTTACTCCACTTCATCATAAATATGGCTTCATTTTTTATTGTTGTATACTCATGTCTGTATTTTCCTCTGCATTGCCTAAGATAGTTGCTTCAGCTCTAGCCATCACACATGCATTCCAGCAAATAGAGAGGAAGAAAGAAACGAGAGGGTATGTCCCCTCTATTTATATTCATGTCATGATCGCCCTCCAGACACTATGTACCATTGCTCAAAACTTATTTACATGGGCACACCTGCTTCGAAGGAGCTCAGAAATGCAATTTTAATTCGGGACGACCAGATGCCCAGCTAAAAATTGGGAATTTATTAGTAAATAAGATAGGCATAATCTATACTAGGAGGGAATTAATATTCCCTCCTACTTTGCCTCATCTATACTACTATATTATAATTGTATTGACTGAAATAATATCTTATCATTTTATAGCCCCATAGAAGGTAGTTTTTAATGTCTTCCATGTAATATGTACTCAACAATTTTTAGTTGAATACACAGCGGAAGATTTTTTTACAGCCTTTAAAGTCACAAGGTGTTTTGCCCTTCCTAGTATTTTGTGTGACTCAGCTTAAATTAGCTAGTTATGAGATATTATTATGTTATTAATGTTGTATTTTTAGGGATGTATGTTGACGATAGGAGATTTAAGTAGTTTGAATCAAAATTTTCTAAATGAGTGTATGAGTTATCTACTCAAGCTACAAGGATGTTTTTAGATATTTACTTGAATAAATTTAAATTTAAATTTGTTATTTTGTTATTTTATTTATATATTTTATCTATTTTATGTATATTTTATGTATTATATATACATAAAATAGAAGGCTATTTGTGTTGCAGCAGCAAACATGTTCACATGTATTTCTGGTACTAAGTTACCAATCAAGATAATGCTATGAATATTATAATAAGTAATAACCGGGTATTCTATGAATAGAAAATGAAAAACAGAGACTGTAGCTGTCTTAGCCAAGGTAACACATCAGCAGGAAATATTAAATAGGAATACATAAAGAATCAGTTTTAGAGTTCATCATCAACGTTAGACAGTTACGATTAGGACTTGCCAATAGCATTTAAAACACAGGAATTTTTGGTTCCTCACATAGGTTTAAGCAGATATATGCTTGCCTCTCATTAGCCTAATTGTGAAATTCCTTTGTCACCTTAATTATTCCTTTTTGATTGTTTTTTGCTGAGATCCTGAAATTCTCTCTACTTCCCCCAGTACCTTACGACCCCTCACATAAGAGACACAACACACCATGATGCTAAGCAGACCTCTGTAGTTCATGTATTTTCCTAAAACTATTAATGTATCAAAACGTAATTGTCTCTGGTCTGCAATTATCTTTAGCAGTCTACTCTCTGCTGGTGGTAGAAGTTGATGACAGGCTAAAACTTACAAATGAATCTTTCCTATATGAGAAATGTAAATCTCTAAGTGAGATTAAATACAAGTGTCTTTAAAAGATACTCTGATATGGCTGATTAAGGAGCATTCTTTCTAGCCAGGTGCAGTGGCTCACACCTGTAATCCCAACACTTTGGGAGGCTTAGGCAGGTGGATCACTTGAGGTCAGGAGTTTGAGACCAGCCTGGCCAACATGGTGAAAACCCATCTCTACTAAAAATACAAAAAAATTAGCCAGGTGTGATGATGTGTGCCTATATTCCCAGCTACTCCGGAGGCTGGGGCAGGAGAATCCCTTGAACCCAGGAGGCAGAAGTTGCAGCAAGCCAAGATCACGCCACTGCACTCCAGCCTGGGAAAGAAACATTCTTTCTTCTTCAAGCATATGGCAGTGAGAAAGAAAATCTAATAAGAAAAAGAAAAGGAAAACACAATATATAAGGTAATCATCTTTATGGACTAAAAATAGCATGGAAATATGCAAAGTGAAGAGCAGAACTCAACAGTCTTAACTGATAGTCTCCGGGTCCAAATGAAGGCAGAGGCAGCTGAGAGATCGTTTCCTATGTTAAATAGGCTAAAAGTCCTCCAGCCAGAGTATGAGTCCAGATCCAGACTCACTGCCAGAGACCAAAGCCTTGGGAAGGTTATCCCTATTCAGGGGTGGAGGTTGAATTAAGTTACTTCTGAACACTGCCTAGAGGTGGACACAGACATAAATTTATAAGTAGTAGCTTAGCCAAAGTGCCTGCTGAATTGGTCATTGGATCAGCAGTACTCCATGGATACTCTTCAGTTAGAAGCACCAGAAGCAGGCAACTCTAAGACCACTAGGCAGGAAGAGAGTAGGAGAGATGGTAAGAAATGAAAGAGAGTTATTAGTCAAGACTAGACTAAAAACTCAGACTTAACAAGAGGAAAATATCTAACACTGAGAAAGGCAGATTAAATAATCAGCAATCAAAAGATGATTTTGCTCCAGTTAAAACTAAAAAAGGAGATCCAAAGACTGTAAAATAAGTATGTTTACTATCCTCAGAGAAATAATTGATGAAAGAAAAACTAGAAAAATAAGAAAAATTATGGAAAAATCAAATGTTAAACAATAACAAGGACATATGAAATTATTTAATTAGATAATTCAGAAAGTAAATAGCTCTTTTTCTCTTAATATATTCTCTGTGTGTTTACGTGTGTGTATTTAGTTATTGAAATTGAAAAAAAAACTCAACAAATGAAGTAAGCCCTAGAATGAGTACATTAATACAAAAATAAATTCATGAGTTGAAAGTTAACAATGATGAATACAGCACAGAATACAGCTATATTACCCTGACTGTAGTACAAAGGTCTAAAAGATGAAAATAAGTAAATAAGTTAGATGAAAATAATGCTGATTAAGTGGTTCTAATTATGTCTATTATGAGTTCCTAAGGTAGAGAATAGTCAGAGAATGGGGGAGATGTATATTACAGGGGAAAAATAAGATATTTAAAGATTTGAAGAAGTATATAATTTAAAATAACTCCTAAATTTGAAGCAAATTTTAAATATAAATCCACAGGGAAAAATTTTAAAATATTGAAGAAAAAAAAAAAGCAAAAATGATACCAGAGAGAAAAGCAGGTTATCCGTGAAAGAAAAGCAGGCACTCTCACCACCAACTTTATATTTAGAACAATGGCTTAGTAATAATAGATGATGGCATAATAGTGTCAAAATGCTGATGGAAAATAACCCTGCACCTGAAATTAATTCAAGTGTGGGGTTTAAGATATATTTTCACACCAATCAGGACTAAGTTTACTAGCAACAGACCCTTACTGAAAGACATATAAAAGCAAAAAGTTGGCTGGGCGCGGTGGCTCACGCCTGTAAACCCAGCACTTTGGGAGGCCGAGGCAGGTGGATCATGAGGTCAGGAGATCGAGGCCATCCTGGCCAACATGGTGAAACCCTGTCTCTACTAAAAATACAAAAATTAGCTTGGTGTGGTGGTGCGTGCCTATAATCCCAGCTACTCGGGAGGCTGAGGCAGGAGAATTGCTTGAACAAGGATGTCAGATGTTGCAGTGAGCTGAGATAGCACCATTATACACCAGGCTGGTGACAGAGCAAGACTCCATCTAAAAAAAAAAAAAAAAAAAAAAAAAAAAAAAAAAAAAAACAGCAGAAAGTTAAATACTAAATAGTGAATAATACTAAATAAATAAAAAATAAATTGAACATAAAGTTAGGGAAATAAGAATGAGAATAAAATTAATTTTAAAATATAAGTATATTTAATCATTGATATTTAAAGATAAGTAAATTTTGTGTGTGTAAGTAGATTTATGCTTGTGCTTAATAATGAAAGGAAAATTCTAAAGACTAGACAGTGATAACATCAGATATGGGTGGGAGTATGGAGGAAATGTTTTAGAATGAGTTACTAAGGTTGCCTAAAATTTTGTCTTCTTTGGGAGGAAAGTAGAGATATGGAATTAATTCATACTTTCTTAGAGAAGTCTAAAAGTAAGGATGCATATTAAAATTTTATGGTAAAATTTTAAATAAAATTGTCTTAAAATTTAAAATAATCATAGCATTCAAATTTTAACTGAAAATATAACTGCAATAAACATTATCCATTCAACACAAGAGTATAAGCATGATAAACAAAACAAGTAAATAATGCGCAAAATAAAGATGATAGGAACAATTACAGATATCAGTAATCATAACAGAAACCAATAAACTCACCTATTAAAAGACAGAGTTTCAAACTGAATATACATACACATAAATATGTACACAAAGAAAGAGAAATGCCTAAAACGAGCTTATATGGACACTTTAAAAATGTTAACAGTAGAAAGCTGATAAAGCATTTTAATTTCACATAAAATAAAACGAGGGCAAAAAGGCAGTAATAATCGAGGGCAATATACAATGAAACAAGAAATAATCAACTAAGAATATAGAAAAACTAAAGTGTATGAAGAATATAGATTTTACATACATGAAGCAAAAATTGAGACATTATGAAAAGCAATTTATAAAACCATGAACTCAGTAAGTGATTCAACACAATGCTCTCAAAGACTATAATGTCACACAGGAAAAATTCTCAAGGTTTGAATAACAAAATTAACAAGATAGATTTGTAGATATATATAGAAATATCCAAGTAAAGGAAACGTGTTTGTTTCAAGGACATGGTAAATATTTAAAATTTGACCTTGTTTAAAATAATTTTAAACACTAAAAGTCCACAAACTGTTTTCTTTCAACACAAAAACTTTATTAAAAATTAACAATAAAGTATGTGTAAGAGATGGTGAAACTGGAAATGCACTATTGAAATAATGTATTTATAAAAAAGGAAATAAAAATTGAAGTTACAAAATGTTTTAACCAACTACCCTTGTCAAAACTAAGTTTTAAATTGTGATACAGCTAACTAAGTATTTAAGATAAAATTATAGCAACAAATTATCATATTAAAAGTGAGGAGAGATTGAACATGAATTGAGTTAAAGGTTAGGCTCAAAAAAAGCTAGGGAAAAAAATAACAGGGTAAACCTAAAGAATATAGAATTAATAAGACACTAGAGATAAGAACAGAAATTTTAAAAGCGGAAAACAGAGAAAAAAACTAAGAATCAGTTATTCGACAGGCCTAATAAAATAGATAAACCTCTGTCAGGGATGATTACGAAACCAGAGAAAAAGGCAAAAATAAATAATATTTGGATCAGGAAAGGTTTTGTCAAATAAGACAGAGATTTTACAAATAACAAAATATTCATTTCATAAAATTAAAAAATAAATGAACAAAAGTATACAAAATTTTTATTGTGGATATTAATAATCAGAAATAAAAAAAAATCTTAGTAAAATAACATCACAGATATTTAGCAACTAAATTACCATTTTCCCCAGACTTGCCCCTCAAAACAGCAGGCCCAAACTATTTCATGGGTGAATCTTACTACATTTTTAAGTTTTAGCATACCTTACCTTAACACAAATTGTCACAGAATAAAAATGGTAGATCTATTTATAAGGCTAATCTAACCTTGATAACAAAGAGACAAGGAATGTACAAGAAAAGTATAGACAAATCTTGTGAACATAAATGCAAAAGTCCCAAGTTAAAATATCTCTAAAACTAGTTCAATAGGCCGGGCACAGTGGCTCATGCCTGTAATCTCCCAGCACTTTGGAAGGCCAAGACGGGCGAATTGCTTGAGGTCAGGAGTTCAGTGCCAGCCTGGCCAACATGGTGAAACCCTGTCTCTACTAAAAATACAAAAAATTAGCTGGGCATGGTGGTACACACCTGTAGTCCTAGCTACTCAGGAGGCTGAGGCAGGGGAATCGCTTGAACCCGGGAGGTAGAGGTTGCAGTGAGCCAAAATTGCGCCACTGCACTCCGGCCTGGGCAACAGAGCGAGACTCCGTCTCAAATACAAACAAACAAAAAAAAACAAAAAACAAAACAAAACAAAACAAAAAATTAGTTCAGCAGTCTGCCAGAAAAAAAAAAAAGCATTGCAACTAGGTGGGCTCCCTCAGAAAACTCATCAAATAATTGATGACCGATTAAAGGAGAAGTATGCTCATTTCAGTGGCTCTTATAGGGGCCAAGTTCTTGGCCCTCTGAAGGTTCACTGAAAAATTACCTAGCAAAAGGTAGGTTAATTAGGAAAAAAAAAGGATACAAATGTATTTAATGTGTATACACAGGAGTCTTTAGAATGAAGACCCAGAGATACAGGAGAAATTGTCCATTTTAATGCTTATTTTCAACAAAGTACGGACAACCATGTAGAAATATGATTGGACAAAAAGGTAGGATCCAATGCTAATAGACTAAGAGGGGAAACCTAGCAAGGCCTTTCTGCCTTTCTGTCTAGAGTCTTCTTGGCCTCTCTGAGCACACTTTCCTTTCTTCTGGGTGTGGGGCAGGGCCCTCTCTGGAATGGGGATCTTATGACCCAAAGTCAAACAAGGTAGGTCAGATCTTTTCTTTATGGCCAGCTTTGATACAGAAAGGTGGAGGGATAGTTAGAGCAATATTTTGGGGTTTTATGGCTGGCTTTGGGGAAAAGGGGTTCTGCCTTCTATGACCCACCTTGGAGAAGAGGGATTCTAATTTGTATGGCTAACCTCAGGTGAGAATAAGATTGAGAGACAGGAGGGAAGGAGAAGATCAGAGAAAACTTTTGCTTCTGAGGCCTTCATTTTGAAGTATTGTTTCCTCAGCCCCAACAATCCAGAAAAATTATTAGATAAAAATCACTTCTCCTTGAGAACAGCTATTTACAAATAGCTATTTAGAAATAAAAAGAAATTTTCTTAAACTGATAAATGTTTTCTGCCAAAAACCTAGAGTAAACATCATGCTCAATCTAGAATAAACATTATTCTTAATGGTGTTAATGAAAAAAAAAAAAAAAAAAACTCTCCAAAATATTTAAAGAGGTTTATTCTGAGCCAGTATGAGTAGCTATGGCACAGGAAATGGTCTCAAGAAGTCCTGAGAAAGGGTGCCCAAGGTGGTTGGGTTATAGTTTGGTTTTATACATTTTGGGAAGACAGGAATTCTAAGGAAAATCATAAATCAATAAAGGTGTACATTGGTTCAGTCTAGATAGGTGGGATATCTTGAAGTGGGGTTTACAGGCAAGAGGTGGATTCAAAAATTTTCTGATTGGCAACTGGTTAAAAGAGTTACGCTTTGTCTGAGGGATTAAGTCAGTAGAAAGAAAGAAATGCTTGAGTTAAGATAAGGGAGGGTGTGAAGACCAAGATTTTTGTTATGTAGATGAAGCCTCATAGGTAGCAGCTTTCAGATGGCATAGAAGGTAAATGTCTCTTATCAAACCTTAAAGGTATCTGACTCTCATTTAACCTCACCTAGATGTGAGAAAGACCTAGAAAGGGAAGGCCTGGCTGCCTTAATGGAGATGGTCTATAGATGCAAATTTTCCCCACAAAAGAAGGCTTTGCAGGGCCATTTAAAAATATGTCAAAGAAATATATTTAAGGGGAAAATATTTTTACTTCCTTTAGGGTCTGCTATCTGTCACATGATGCTATACCAGAGTCAGGTTCTAATTTGGTGTCTTATTGCCACAAAGAGTTTGTTTTGTCTTATGGTCTCTATTTTAATGTTAATGCTGGTCACTTGTACCTGAATTCCAAAAGGAGGGGAGTATAAGGGAGCCTGTCTGACCTTCTGTCTTGTCATGGCCAAGAACTCAGTTTTTCAAGTTTCTCTGGGATCTGCTTGGCCAAGATGGAGTCCATTCAGTTGGCTGGGGGGCTTAGGATTTTATTTTTGGCCTACAATGGCAATACTAAAGAAGTATTATTTAGCAATCGTTATAACACAAAGATATCTACAATCACATATTATTTTCAACATTGTGCTAAAAATAAAAATAAAGTTTAAAAAAGAAAAAAAGCACATTGTCATTATTAATGTAGTTCAATAACTTTACTAGATGCAGTATCATACGCAAAGTGTATTTCTCTACACTGACAATAAAAATTATAAAATGGAATAAAAACATGATTTTAAAAGGCAACAAAAAGTGGAGGAAATCTAGAAATAATTTTTTTAAATGATGTGCAGCCAATTTGAAAGAAATTTGAAAGACAATATGAAAATGTAAATAAATGATGAAATCTATCATGTTCATAAGTGGGAAAATTCAGTATGATAGACATTAACTGTCACCAACATAGACTATAATCCAACACAATATCGTTTAAAATCTTAGAAGATATTTTCCCCATAGACCTTAAAAAAACGTTATTTTAAAATTCATATGGAAGACTACAAGTCTAAGAAATTTCAAAATTTGCACAATTAACAAAAAATAAGCAAAGTGGTTTTATTTTGTTATAGGTTGGTTATAAATCTATGGTAATTAACAAAGTGAGATATTAACCCATGGACAGAAAAATACATTAATGGAACAGAACAGATAACAAAGAAATAGACCCATGCATACACGAAGACTTTATGGTAAAGGAAATCAAAATATTTTACCCCAAAATGTACTTCCTTGACATATTTTGGCTCTTCAGAGAGCCAGCAAACAGAAGTAGTCCTACAAACCCATCATTTGTTGGGGAGATATACATCTGTAGAGAAAATCTGTAATGATGCAGCCAGGTTTTCTCTGAGGCCTTCCCTTGTCTGGATTTAGGAAAGATTAATAAGATCAACTTTACTAGTTAGGGCTCCTCTTCTTCCCTTCCCATAACCTGTTTGCCACTCTTACCTGATTTACCACCATAACCTGTTTTGTAAGGATCCAAGCTCTCATTCTTTCTGTAACTTCAAGGTTGTATATAAGCCTCTGAACTATATTGCAGGGTTGAGAGTAATCACTCTTTGGTTCTCCTCTGTGTGCACGTTAATAAATTTGTTTTCCTTTTCTCCAATTAATCTGACTTTTGTCAGTTAATTTTTTAGCAAAATTTCAGAGGGCAAAAGGGAAATTTTTTCTTGGCCCCTACGATGGGCAATACTAATCAGAAATGAAAAAGATGCATCAGTCAGTAAATGATGTTTTGAAAACTGCTTGTCCATATAGAAAACAATTATGTATCTCATTAACCTATATCATATATATATTATATATAAATAACCTATATCATATATATATAAATAAACCCAGACTAGTCAAAAACTCAAATTTTTGACAATTTTAGGGGAAGAGAATGTTATTAGGAGAATGTTATTATGACTTTAGCATCAAAAAAAGTTTCTTAAACACAATGTAAAATGTCTAAATCCTAATGGAAAAATATGGATAAAGTTGGCAAAATTTTAAAAAGCAAAATCCGACACTAGAAAAAGCCATAAACCAATTTAAAATTTAAGCCACAGATTGGGAGTCAATGTTCTCATGTGAATAATTATAAAAGACTTTGTATCTGAAATACGTAATTACTGCAAAACAATTACACAAAAACACTCAATTAAAAAACAAACAGGCGAGTGATGTGAAAAGCCAATTAACCAAAAGAAACTATAAATGGCTGAAAAACATATTAAATACTGTTTCATAGTCTTATTAAAATGTAAATTGAAAAACAAAGACATTCCATCCCTACCCCCACCCTCATTAGATTTAGCAAACATTTTTTAAGTTTAAAAACTTACAGACAAAGTGTCTGTAAGGTTTTGAGGAAGCAGGAACTCTATACATTGCAGATAAGATAAACGCATTGTTTCAAACACTTAGAAGAACATTTGGCAATATCCAACAAAGCTGAAGACATTTATGCCCTACAACCAATATTACCCTTTACCAGGTGTGTATCTTAAAGAGGTTCACATATCCAGGCAAGAAAACAGATGATAGTATTTTTGATCTATCGGAATAGTGAAAAAGAGTAAGAACACTCTAAATATACTTCAGTAGGAGAAAGGATAAATACATTGAAGCATGTTCATTCAATATAATACTATGCAGCAATTAAAATGGGTTAACTATAGTTACAAATACCAACATGAATAAATCTGTAAAATATAATGTTGAGTGTAGAAGATAAACAGAGTGCAAAGTTAATGGTTGGAGATTATATGCAGTGTGGCATGCTGCTGGCAAGAATTTTTAATAGGAGAAGTTAATTGTATTGTTTTTAAATAATAGTAATAATATTAAAAACTAACATTTGAATGTTTTTAGAGTCTTACAAGATTTTTCACGTATGTTATCTGTCGTCATTTTCACAAGACATTTGTGAGTTAAGTACTATTTTTATCTCCATTTTTTAAAAGGGCCAATTCAGTCTCAGAGAGTTTGTTTACACGGTGGAAAGGAGACTCAAGCCCAGGTCTTTAATATCAAATGTCATGCTTTGTCTACCAAGTAGTATTCATAAAATATCATCATTCTGGTCATCTATTTGATTTATGCCAAAGCATGGTATTGTGTATGTTCAACTCCTTTCCTCGACTTCATGATCCTCTCATTACTGTAGGTAGAGGCCTATTAAATTTCCCCCAGCTGTGTCAGCAATTCTAGTCATAGATTTATTCCCTCTTCAGTACTAACCACAGGTCTTTTATCACCAAGACCTGCCAGTTCCACTTTCAAAAATGTATCCCAAATCTCTTTATGTATGTGCACATGTTATGCTTTAACCCTAATCCCAACTACCATCATTGCTTGCCTACACTACTGCAGTAGCCTCCTAACCTATACTGACCTGTGTTCCTAGCATCTGCTTCTTCAAGTCCTTACTATTAAACACAAAATGCCTCCTATGGTTGATTAGAAATGTTTATTTAGGGACATGAACATACAGGGTTCTGACGGGAAGAAAAAATGTATAAGAAAATCTTCCACAGTGGTTGCCTTTGCATATTGCCTCTCCCATTCCTTTGTTCAGTTAATTAACTGTCAGCCAGCAAATACGTATGAAACAGTGGGCAGAAAAGATCTGAACATTCTGACTCAACCTGATTCAACTATGTCATGATTGATAAAAAGGCAATTCCAATAAAACTCTGTTTATTAATATAAGTATTTACTTTTTAACAAGAAAGCACAAATAAGACAATAAAATGTCTGCCCCCACTGACATAAAAGACAGTTTGTTTAAACTTCTAAAATTCAAAAAATTATAAAATGAAAAATGAATGCTTTTTATTCCTGCACTTCCTACCCACTAATCTTTCCCCTAATAGTTAATTCTATAAAGCATTTGTTATTCCTTCTTTAAGAAAAAGTATATTCCAGCATATGTATGTATCTGTGAATATATTTTTCTAAATTCAACAAATATACTATACATAATTCTGCATCTTTCTCTTTCACTTAATAATATATTTGTATACTTTTTCATATTAGCTCAAATGGATGTACTTTATTACCATTAATGACTATATAATATCCCATGAAATGGATGCATTTAACTATTCTGTTCAATCTCATCTTACCTGCTTTGTGTCTTTAAGGAATTTTCATGTTTTATGATGCACTGAAGTCTCTTCTTGTTTGCAACCCAATAATAACTTAGGTGTTTATTTTTAGACTATTTCTAGCATTTTAAATTACTTAGGATGTTAGAGGAAAGCTGCTATGTATATTACAGTTCACCAGCTTCAACTGGAACCAAAAGGAAATCTTAAGCCACGTGGCTAATAGAGTTTCATTCTATTCTGCTCTGGTTAGACTACATATTTAAATCTGGGTACTATATTAAGATGACAAACAATGAATTAAAGTGAGCCCCTGAAGGATTTTGAAGGTATATTAGAACTAATCAAGGTAAGTCAGCCTGAAGAAGTGAAGACTTGGGGTGTGGATATAAAATTTATTCTGATGTATTTGAAAAGCAATCAAGGATTAGAATAAGAATTTTGGTTCAAGCTTATAGGAGGATGTTTAGACAGAGAAAACCAGTGATTTTCAGATGAATAGATTTTGAGGTTGGTGAATACCTATAGGTGATAGGAGAATTTCAAAACAGGCCTGTGGAGCACAATATCTAGAGAATATTGAAATAGACAATTGTTGGCCGTATAGACAGGTAGTCCTATCAGTGTGATCCAATTTATCAAGTAAGAAGAACAGTGTGATAGCGAATCTGGGAACCAGAATTGTAGTATCACCATAAAGCCTCAGTTTTAGGAGGGACACACTTAAACAACCATCTGAACCCGGAATACCCTCTGGAACATCCACACAAAGGGGTCATTTAACGTAAGAATAAATGCATGTATTGTCCAGGTTCTCATCTCAAGGTACTGTATTTTATTTTGGGGAAGCCCTGTTTAAGAAAGCTATTTGTAATACTGAGTTTAAATTTATCTCTTTAGTAGCTCCACCAATTAATACTTCTCAAAGGTGCCTCCACACTTCTGCAACCAACCTTCCTTTTGCCCAGAATGCCTTATGCCCATCCCTTCTGCCCATGTGCCAAAGGTTTACTGAAGTCCTGTCTTCTTTTCAAAATGTCTATTGTTAGCCCCAGCCCATAGTACATTTCTGAACTATTATAGAATGTCCTGTATATGTCATCTATCAGACATATAGATACAGATATGGATGCAGATATAGATCTGTCTCAGGTATATATAACATTAGATGCCTTTTCCAGGACACCTTTCTTACATCCCCAACTTCACTGTAAATGTCAAGGCCAAGATTATATCTTGTACATCTCTGTATCCAAAGAACAGCTAGCACACTATTGAGCCTATTGAGTGCTTTCTAAAGAAAACTGCTTGCTGCTGGCCTTCTCTAGTTGAATACTTGCACTTCAAAGATGTGAATAACCTCTGTGTTGTGCAGATGAGCAAGGAAATGAGACTTGAAACTGGAAAGTAGGTGGAGTGTATCAGGACTACTTCTTAGCCAAATAGCTAAATAGATAAGTTTGTGTTCCAGTCTTTCCGTCATCATTTCATCAGCCCTTTGGGTTGTTTTAAAATTTCCACATGGTTAGTGCCCACAGGCAGTTGTTGGCTTCTTAGAATATAGCATTGTGACTTCGTACCAGTTGTGAAATTGCTCTTTGCTTCTGGCCCAGTCTGTTTGCTTAGAGTGTGCTCCACCCTGGATATAATGCTTGGAAATTTCCCCTTGTTAGTAAGTTACCAAAAAAACATCTTAAAGTTTGGTCTTCTTAAGATTGGTGCCTTTCAGTGAGTGGAAGAGCAGAAATTCCAATAGGCCTCATCAAAGGAGGGTTGGACACTATGCTTTTTATTAAACCTCTCCAATTACAACAATCCTTTCTGCTACTTCTTTCCTCGTGAATCCTAGAAAAAAATATTATTTTATTTTGCTATAAATGTGAATACAAATTCCTTAGATTTATTGGCATCAGGAGCAGTCTGATATTCTCAGAGAGAGACACTGAGAACAATTTCGAGTTTTTCTGTGTTAGCATATCTAAACATACAATGTCTACCTATGGCTGTTTTACCTTTTTATCTTAAAATAAAAGTATAGATGCACAGGAAGTTGCAAAGAAATGTACAGGAAACTGCTGTATACCTTTCCCCCTTTCCTGGACACTCCTAATGTTAGCATTAAGAAATTGATATTGGGATAATTCTCAAAGTTTATTCAGATTTTATCAATTATGCATACAGTAATGTGCGTGTATGTGTGTGTGTGTAGTTCCTTGAAATTTTATATATGTAGCTTCATGTAACTAGAACCAAAATCAAGATACATAACTACTATGTGGCACAATAAATCACCTCATTCTACCCTTTCATAATCAACTCCCTCATCCTTAACACCTTTCAACCACTAAATTGTTCTCAATCTCTAATTATGTTATTTCAAAAACGCTGTAAAATAGAATCATACACTATGTATTCTCCTGAGACTTTTCTTTCATTCAGAATAATTCACTTGAGATTCATCTAAGTTGTTGTTTGTATTAATAATTTGTTCTTTTTTATTGCTGAGTGACATTCTCGTGGTATTGATGTTTGTTTGTTTATCCTTTTACCAATAAAAGACATTTGAGTTGTTTCCAATTTGGGGGTATTATGAATAAAGTCAGATACAAGATTTACAACTAACAGTTCTTTTCTTTCAGAAAGTATGTCATTTCCTCCTGACCATCATGGTTTCATATGTGAAATCTACTGTTATTTGAATCAGTATTCCTCTATAGGTAATGTATCATTTTTCTCTGGTTGTTTTAAGACTTTGTATTTGTCTTTAGTTTTCAGAAGTTTACTTATGATGTTGTTACGGGTGGGTCTTTGTTCTTAGAGCTCCCAAGATGGCAGCGGGCAGCTCCCAAGATGGTGGTGGGCAGCTCCCAAGATGGCAGCGGGCAGCTCCCAAGATGGCGGTGGGCAGCTCCCAAGATGGCAGCAGGCAGCTCCCAAGATGGTGGTGGGCAGCTCCCAAGATGGCAGCGGGCAGCTCCCAAGATGGTGGCGGACACTCCCAAGATGGCAGCAAGCCTTTTGTTCTCTGATCTGGGGTTCTTGGCCTCACGGATTCCAAGGAATGGAACCGTGGGCCATCTGGTGAGTGTTATAGCTCTATTAGAAGCTGTGGGTCACAGAAGAGAACCGTGGAACCCAGCGACTAGTGTTCAGCTCGATTAGGACGAACCCAGGCACTTAGCCACTCAAGAACAATGGCGAGCCTCTAGCCCAAACGGGAGCAGCAATGGGCGCCTCACTGGATCAGAAATGCAGTGGACACCCTGCCGGATCCGGAGCGATGGAAGTCAACGGCAGGTCTGCGAGGGCAGCAAACGGCAGTGGTGGACAGTGAGCAAAAGCTCACCTCGAGCCGGAACAAACACGGACCAGAAGAGTATGCAGTTGCAAGATTTAATAGAGTGAAAACAGAGCTCCCATACAATGGGAGGGGACCCAAAGGGGGTTGCCCACTCCCGGCTCTAATGCCTGGGGTTTATATCCCAATCATTGTCCCTCCCCCATGCTCTCAGGCGATATATGATTTGATTATTTCTTTACCTCCTGCTTTTAGCCTAATTTGTATTTTAGTGAGCCCTCTTTACTACCTGATTGATCGGGTGTGAGCTGAGTTACAAGCCCCATGTTTAAAGGTGGGTGCAGTCACATTCCCCAGCTAGGCTTAGGAATTGTTAATTGGCCTAGGAAATCCAGCTAGTCCTGTCTCTCAGTGTGTCTGGGTATGAATTTTTCTGGGCTTATTTCGTTTATGTTTTCCTCAGCTTCTTGAATCTGTAAGTGAACTTCTTTCACCAAATTCGGGAAGTTTTCAGCCATTTTTTTCAAATAGTTTTGAACTTTATACTTTTTCCTCTTCTTCTATAACTCCAATGATACAAGTGTTAGATTTTATTTTATTATCTCATGTGTTCCTGAGGCTCTGTTAATTTTTTAAAGCCTATTTTCTTTCTGTGGCTCAGATTTAGTAAAGTCTATCAGTCATCCAGTTTACTGATTCTATCACTGTCATATCCATTGTATTATTGAGCCCATGTAGTAAGATTTTTTAAAATTTCAGCTTTTTTTTAATATTCTCTCATTTCCAATATTTTCACCTTTCTATATCTTTTTTGGATTTTCTATTTTTTTTACTTGTTTAAAGAGAATGTACAGTTATTGGTGAAAACCTGTTTATAATACCTGCTTTACATCCTTGTCAGACAATCTCAACATTTGTTTTATCTCAGTGTTTGTGTCAATTAATTGTATGTTCTCATTAAAGTAGTATTTTTCATCATATTGTATGACTAGTGATTTACAATTATATTCTGGACATGTTGTAAATTATGTTAGGAGACTTGTTTCTATTTAAATCTTTTATTTCATCAGCCAGTCACCCTACTTAGATTTTGCACGTGGGTCTTTGCCTACTTTTGTGAGCTGTAGTTACAATGTCAATTTAATTTTTAGAGCCTTGAGGGTCTATTCTGATTGGCTTTGTACTTCTGGCTCTGCTGGATTTCTACTCAATCCCTGCATGTGCTATTTAGACTGCCCAGTGTCACTGAGTGGGAGTGTCAGGATACTCTGGGCTTTGGTTGCTGCTCCTGGGTAGGATCAGTCTCATTGTTCTCCCAGGTATGTCACAGGAACCCTGCTGTGCTATTGCTGCTATGGCAGACTGGGCTGCCACTGATCTGGGTGTAGAGTGGTGAATGGATTCCTGATTGGCTCTACTAACACTCCTAATGTAGCTGCTGTTGCTCTCAGTATAGGACAGAGACTCAGTTATTGCTGCTACTGTGGTGGATTGGGTTCCTACTAGTTTGGATGTGTTGTGTGACATGAGTCCCTTACTGGGTCCTGTTGATTCTGTTGCTACCCTAGGCTTAGGCAGGGACCCCCCTGCAACTGTCACAGTGGTGGAACAGGCCACCTGCTTCAATGTGGGGTAGATTCGATTGCTGCAGCTGCTCCTGTGGTTGACTGAGACTGCCACTGCTCCAGGTGTGAAGTAATCAGTGTGTCCATGTTGGGTCCTCCTGCTTCTGTTGCCGCTGTTACAGGTCTGGCCTTTGCTGTCCTGGGTGTTGGTGCTGCTGCTATGGTACTTTGGGCTATGTGCTTCCCTTAGTATTACATAGGATGGATCTTTCTACTAGGACTCTGTTGGGTTGCCTTTTTTTGAGGGGTCCTTTGGCCAGTGAGATGAGAATATTTTTGTTTTCTTTTATTTATCTGTCTACACTCATTGGAGGTTCCTGATTACAGGCCTCTCCAGAACACAGTATGGGATATATGGAAAAACCTGGGCAACTCACTATGGTGTCATTATTCAAGTCCTAAAGTTTCTGGACAGTCTGACTTCTTTTCTCCATCCTTCAGGGTCCTTTTATGATTGTTTGTGAAATAATTTCCAAGGTATTTAGGCGTATTTAGAGGGGAAAAGCAGGGAAAAGTGAGTTTACCCCGTGTTTTTCTGGTACTCGAAAACCTATGCCTTTGGCCAGGTGCAGTGGCTCAGGCCTGTGATACCAGCACTTTGGGAGGCCAAGGCTGGCGGATCACCTGAGGTCAGGAGTTTGAGACCAGCCTGACCAACATGGAGAAACCTTGTCTCTACTAAAAATACAAAATTAGCCAGGCATGGTGGTGCATGCCTGTAATCCCAGCTACTCGGGAGGCTGAGGCAGGAGAATCACTTGAACCCGGGAGGTGGAGTTTGCAGTGAGCCGAGGTTGCACAATTGCACTCTAGCCTCGGTAACAAGAGTGAAACTCCATCTCAAAAAAAAAAAAAAAACAAAAAACTATGCCTTTTATGATGTTTTATAACAGGAGGGCTTAAGTATAAGAGTATATAAAACTAACCATGTTGGAGCAAGATATTAAAAGTAAATATCTGCACTCCTTTCTCCCTTCAAAAGTAATAGTGTAATTGTGAAGAGGATTAGAGATTTGTTTGACTTTTATTTCTTACTAATGGGGTATCAATTATTTGCAATGAAGATCCATACCCACTGGGTATATTAGCTTCCTTTCAAAGAGGAATGACACATCAGTTATCATTATTGTAACAAAATGGGGCATTTCTTTTCATTTTATGAGATTTTTCTCATTCATTTTTGCAGAGATGTTAATGTTTGCATTCTAGACTTTGATATTAAATTATACAGCAGGATAACAGATGATAATTTGGAGATCCTAGACAAATGTCAGTTAACACAGAGTGAACAATTATATCAATAGTCAGTGAGGTTTTGATCCACTAAGTTTCTAAGACATTTGCCTATGATTTTGATTAACATGAAAAGATACAGAATTTAATTAAACATAGTATTTTTAAAGGTCATTCTTTCAGTAAGCTTTCATCTTAGTCTTAGCCTTCCTTATCATTATCCCCATTGTTTCCATCAAGTAGATAGATATAGATCTAGAATTGCAGTTGATGAAATATAGTGCAATAGTAATTTAACTAGCTTTTAAATTACTTGGGCTATTTTGAATAGTATGTGGCCTATTTTAACCCAAAGACTACTTACTTATTTAAATAGACAGAGTCCACATTTTATTAAAAGTAATGGCAAAAACCACAATTACTTTTTGCACCAACCTAATATTAGAAACCTATATTCTGAAGAAAATATATTTTAGGCTATTTTGTAAAGAGACTTCTTGTAAGAAAAGGATATCTTATGTCTATCTGTGTTCCAGGCACTTAGCTCACTGCCTTACAACTACAAAGTATTCAATATATGTTTGCTCTTGATGATATTGATGAAATTGTCATTCCCACAAAGGATACCCTATACCCTTTGAAATGCAGCAAATACACCATCACCTTGAAATCTTTGCAGGAAAAATGCTTTTAAAGTGACAAGTACAAGTAGGAGCTCTCTGAGTGTTTGTTAACCTTTACCATGAAAGCAGATTAAAATTCTCCAGAGTGTAATAAGTCGACTGTTCCACTTGTTACAAATTTCCTTCATTTATCTCATTACCCAAAATGACATTTAACATCTTGCTCAGTTGGAATAATTTGATCTAATGCACATTATCTTTCTATGAATGATGATTGTTCTAGTAAAAGATGAAAGCCCAGTTATAACAAGATCATTTGGTCAAATGTGCACAACGCTGCTAAAAATTCAGATAATAATTTAAAGACGCTTTTTAAATCCAGTTTGAACTACCAGGTTATTTTTCTAAGGCTCTTTTCAGTCTATTACCTTCAGGCTATTTCCACATAATGAGTATCTTGACTCTCCTGTCATCCCTTTTTCTGACCTTGTTAACTTTCTTGACTTGATGCTATGCCGTATCTGACATCTGAGCTGATGAGGTCCAAGATCTGTTATAAAAGAGGCAACAACTTGAGGTCTACTGTGGGAATTTGTCCAGTCCTTATTGTATTACACTCTGGATGCTAAACTGTGTTTCTAACAGCCACATATTTGATTATTAGTTTTAATATTCTCTTTGAATTAATATCCAATTATCTACATTCCTGATTCTAGCTGGTTAACCACCGTATTTCTTGACTGGAACCCGGCTGTGCCAGTATACTGGGCATTTACATATCCTTTATAAAAATTGTTTAAAATTAGAAGTATACTGTCTTTCTAAAAATTGTTCGAGGAATACATGCTTTTCCTAGAAGAGCCAAACTCAGTTTCTTAGCTGCCTAGAGCTCTACTTTATGCTCTGGAGCTTCCTCAGTATTTTCAGTACTTGACTATCTCAGTTTTTACTAACCTCACAGCTTTTGTATATGGCCAAAGAATGTGAATACCTCTAAAACCAAATGCAAAAAAAAAAAAAAATCTATTAACACCCTAGATTTAGCCTAGAGAACATGGCATGCATCCTCTCCACATGAGGTTAATTTTATGTGTCAACCTGGCTAGGCCATGGTACCCAAATACTTGGTCACACATTAATCTAGATGTTTATGGGAAGGTATTCCAAAAACAGGATTAATATTTAAATTAAATTAGTGGACTTTGAGTAAAGCAGATTATCTTCTATAATGAAAGTAAGTCTCATCCAATCATTTGAAGGCCTTAACAGAAAAAGACTGATCTCTCCCAAAGAAGAGGAAATTCTGCCAGAAGACTGCCTTCAGACTGGAACTTCAACTCTTCTCTGGGTGTCCAGCCTGCCAGCCTACCCTGCAGATTTTGGATTTGCCAGCCTCATGATCACATGAGCCAATTCCTTAAAAGAAATCTCTCTCTCTCTCTCCACATATCCTATTAGTTCACTTTCTCTGGAGAACCGTGACTAATGTACTGTACAACCAGTGGGGATTAAACCTGCTGAGATAATTACCCCATTGTTGAGAAGGAAGAAGCCACATACTTCTCTTTCTATTCTGATATTTTCAATGATATTGCTGAAAATAAAACTAGCATTTTAAAAAACTTTGCTATGTGCCACCTTGCTTGTTTTTTTTGTTTGTTTGTTTTTGGTTTTTTTGTTGTTTTGTTTTGAGACAGAGTCTCTGTCGCCCAGACTGGAGTGCACTGGTGCAATCTCGGCTTACTGCAACCTCCCTCTGCCTCCCAGGCTCAAGCGATTCTCCTGCCTCAGCCTCCTGAGTAGCTGGGATTACAGGCACATGCCACCACTCCCTGCTAATTTTTTTTTTTTTTTTTTTTTTTGTATTTTTAGTAGAGACAGGGTTTCACCACATTGGTCAGGCTGGTCTCAAACTCTTGACCTCAGGATCCACCTGCCTCAGCCTCCCAAAGTGCTGGGATAACAGGTGTGAGCCACCACACCTGGCTGCCACTTTGCTTTTTTAGGCACCAACCTTCTGAGGTAAGCAGTACCATCCCACTTGACATTTGCAGAATCTAAAGCTTGAGGAGTTAAATTATTTTGCTCCATGTCACCCAGCTAGGGAGTGCTGGAGTCAGATTTCAAGTTCTGTTTTGTCTGGCCTTAAAGTTCATGTTGCTCCAATTTGACCCACAGATTTCACCCACAGATTTAACCTCTTCTGTTGTAAAAATGATTAATTCACTTGTTCCTTATACAGAAGTCTTGGATGATAGTGATGGAGAAATTATACCTAAAATCAGATTTTGGTCCAGATGCCGTAAGAATTTCATCCTTCAAGGAAGATTCAGTAATCACATATATATTTTGTGTCAAAATCATGAACTAGTACCAAACCACAGGAATTAGGCAAGCTGTGGCATAAGGTTTGCCTGAGATGCTCCCGTTTCTAGCACTGAAAGTGTGACGTCCTAGGAAACCTCTCAATCTCCAGCAAACCAGCAGAGTTGGTCACCATAGGTTAATGAAACTAACCCTACAGAAAGTAAAAAAGACAATAGAGAAGAGGCTTTTCTGCAACGAATTAACCAAATATTTATGTGTAATTTAAGGCAAGCCTATGGACAATGAAAATACTCTGTTCATTTTTCTTAATATTGGTCTATTGCTATTTTGATGCTATATTTGACTTCTTGGATTTCTACTGTTCTGAATTTTAAATTTGTAGAATTAAACATGTGTAATACTATTAATCTCAAGGAAAATCAACCTGCTTAATCTGTTATGACCTACGTTCTTTTTATTATTTATAAAAGTTAGACTTTGCAAATCCTTTTTAAAAACTTAGGGTCAAGGCCAGGCACGGTAGCTCACATCTGTAATCCCAGCACTTTGGGAGGCCTAGGCAGGTGGATCACTTGAGGTCAGGAGTTTGAGACCAGCCTGGCCAGCATGGTGAAACCCCATCTCTACTAAAAATGCAAAAATTAGCCGGGCGTGGTGGGGCATGCCTGTAGTCCCAGCTACCTGGGAGGCTGAGGCAGGAGAATGGCTTGAACCCAGGAGGTGGAGGTTGCAGTGAGTCGAGATCATGACATTGCACTCCAGCCTGGGCAGCAGTGAGACTCCGTCTCAAAAAAAAAAAAAAAAAATTAGAGTCAAATGATCTGTGAAATTTGACATTAAGCATTTTTTAAAAACCCAGTTTCATTTTTTATAATTGCACAGCATCTAGACTTCCTTCTCAGTCTTGTTAAATTTCAGGGAATGGGCTCCTTACAAGTAAAGTAATTTTGAGAGTCAACACTCCTTATAAGTAAAGTAATTTTGAGAGTCAACAATCACAAAATGTATGACCTTGATAGAGCATCAGTCTACCTGCACTGACAGGACATCAGAGCAGCTAGCTGAAAACAGAACGATTTAGTAAACAAAAAAGTTTGCTCAAATGTCAAAGAACCAATTTGTTGTGTTTAAACATTTTCCTTCCACTTAACACAGCAAGAATACATTTAAGGTAAACTTTTATCCCATATAATTTTCCTACTATCATAAACTGAATTTTCTTCAAAGTCCGGGTATTATCACTCGAAATAGTGTCAGTATTTTTGGAAGAACTTTGATCTAAAGAACAAGCAAAATTACAAAGACAAAACTTTTCTTACAATCTTTCTTCCCTTTAGGTCTTTTCATTACTGAAACTGGAAAGGTTCCCTTGTCCCCCTCGCAGGGCATGTGACAAGGGGAGTGGCTCGCTTCTTCAGTGCCCTGCTGCTCAAACCTCTAGGGGAGCATACAGAGGGGCAGGCTGTGGGGCGCCAACCCCACAGCAGCGCCTAGGGGTGAATGTTTACAACTTCTGAAGCCCCAGTGAGTGTGCGTTACAGGGTGCTCTTTTAGTTTAGCCATCCGTTGGTGGCTTGTGTTTATCAGCTCAATTAGACCCCCTGCCTTATCACGAGGACAGGGTGCTGTCTGTATGCTTGGGTTTCTTGCCTTGGTATACCGGAAAAACTGAATCACACCTTGGCTTGGAGAATGAGTGCAAGGTTTTTTTTTTATTGAGTGAAAGTAGCTCTCAGCAGATGAGGAAGCCAGAAGGGAGATGGAGTAGGAAGATTTTCCCCTGGAGTCGGGCGGCCCAGTAGCCAGACTCTTCTCTGACCACCTGGGCCAAACTCCGTGTCGTTTCGCCAGTGGATGGCCTCCTGGTGTGCTGGCGTCTGCTGGTGCCTGTCGGCATGCTCTTCAACTGCTGTGCTCCTCTCCACGTCCAGCCACTTGTTCTCCTTCTGCTGATGTGCATCTCTTGACGTCCAGCCGCTTGTTGTTGTCTGCCCGCTAGGATCTTGGGGTTTTATAGGCACAGGATGAGGCGTGTGGGCACAGAGTGGTCTTGGAAAATGCAACATTTGGGAGTGAAGGCAGGAGTGCCTGTCCTCACCTAGGTCCGTGGGCACAGGCCCGAGGGTGGAGCCCTAGCCAGGGACCCGCCTTTCTCTACCCAGCACTTTGCTGCTCCCCTCCCATATCATTAACACTTTGACTACCCTTACTTTATTGATTTATCCGTGGAGAAGACATGAAGAGGACCTCTAAATTTAAGGAAGGTTTTTTTTTTTTCTCGAATGACTCCTTTCATAGTGCTCTGCTGTCCACCCATGGTATCATTATATTCCATCCAATATACTTACATATAGCCCCATCAAACTTGAATCACTTCTAATCCCAAAGTGACTGTATTCAGTGCCATGCTATGTTCTCCATCCTCCTCAGACACAAACTTGTTAGATCCATGTATTACAGCAAATCATATCTTCTAAACTATTCTACAATATTTTGAGTTATCCTTCGGTATTTTTCTTTTTTTTCTTTTTTCTTTTCTTTTCTTTTTTTTTTTTTTTTTTTTTTTTAGACGGAGTCTCGCTGTCCTCCAGGCTGGAGTGCAGTGGCATGATCTCGGCTCACTGCAAGGTCCACCTCCCGGGTTCACATCATTCTCCTGCGTCAGCCTCCCTAGTATCTGGGACTACAGGCGCCAGCCACCATGCCGGGCTAATTTTTTTTTTTTTTTGTATTTTTAGTAGAGACGGTTTCACCATGTTAACCAGGATGGTCTCAATCTTCTGACCTCGTGATCTACCCGCCTCGGCCTCCCAAAGTGCTGGGATTACAGGCGTGAGCCACCGCACCCGGCCTGCCTTCCGGTATTTTTCTATTCCTTGTCTATGGATCATCACAGAGGAATAGGAAACCTGGAAGATTTAGAGTATTTGTCCAGACCAGGTAGGAGACAGAATTCTAAGCAATGGGAATGACACACATAAAGAAAGTAGGTAGAACAGAAAAGGTCACCATCACTGGGTTATAGATAGCAAGGTGACCAATGTCATAATAAGGCTAGAAGACTATGTAATTTACTTATTTCTTTGAAATTGTACATTTCAAGAAATGTCTAATTTAGTAGAGACATGAAGTCAGGAGTCTTTTATTCATGGTTTTTCTTTTGAGCTTATGAAAATAGACAGCTATATTGAAAACTTCAGATTCACAAAAGCGCTTTTGAAGACCCTTTCACTAAATAATACTTTCTTTGAAGGCATCTGGATTTCCTTATCCATAAGGGATATCACTGTATATCTTAAGGGCAAAAAAGCCTGGAGGATATTTTTGAGCTTGACTTCTTTGAAAATATCCAGGTGCTAGAGACAATGTGTGTTTGAAGGAAACCGCAAATGTAGAATTTTTTTTTTTTTTTTTACATATTTCAAACTTCATTTAGAATCTGGATGCTATTTGAGCTGGTGTCAACGATGCATGAAATTAAATTTAGAAAATCTCAGCTCTAAGAAATGCCAATATTTTTCCTGCATCAGGTAGTTAGATGCTAGGTAAGAATTAAAACTGGATGTTTTCCCATGGAAATGAATGACACCGGTGAGAATATTTTCACAATTTTGCACATCAATAATATACTGATAATTTAAGGGGCTGAGGGCAGACTCAAGGAATCTTATAAAAAGGAAAGGGGAAGATCTGTGGAATGGAAAAGGACCTTATGGGAGTTTGCTACTTTTTGACTAAAAAGCAAAAGTCAGATTTTTAAGAGCATCTGCAAAAGTCATTCTCATAGAAAGTATATTTTTAAAAGAATGATAAAACATTTTAAAAATAGTATTCGACTAAGTGTTTAAATTTAAAAGACTAGAAACCCATTTGGTATATTTTATGAATAACTTAGTGATTAAGTACTGAAGTTTTCAAATCAGAATATATTTTACTATTACATTTGAAAACACATTAGGCTGTTTTTCATACACATCATTTTTATTCACATGAATGATACTGATGTGAGATATTTAAGAGCTTTATTAAGCAAAAATTATTATTTCATTTTATACATGTTTTATGATATGAATTATAAAATTGAACAAACGTCACCTGTGTTTGTTATTACATTTTTTAAACATGAGGTTTGTATTAGTCTGTCTTCACGCTGCTGATAAAAACATACCCGAGAATAGGAAGAAAAAAAGCTTTAACAGACTTACAGCTCCACATGGCTGGGGAAGCCTCACAATAATGGTGGAAGGCACAGAGGAGCAAGTCATGTCTCACTTACATGGATGGCGGCAGGCAAAGAGAGCTTGTGCAGGGAAACTCCCTCTTACAGAACCATCATGTCTCATGAAACTTATTCACTATCACGAGAACGACACAGAAAAAACCTGCCCCCATGATTCAATTACCTCCCACTGGGTCACTCCTGCAACACATGGGAATTCAAGATGAGATCTGAGTGGGGACACAGCCAAACCATATCAAGGTTGTTTTGTGTAGTGAGGATTTTCTTCTGAAAGCAATAACATTTACTTTTCCCTATATTGCAAAGTTTTTAAATTCTAAATCAAACAGTTCTTTCATCACAGATTCTCTGCATGATAAAATTGTATATTGTGAAAGTGCTTGCCTGCTTACCGTTCTCTTTTGTCATTTGACCCTTTCAATAATTCTATTAAATATTTAGAAATGATATTGTTAATCACAAATGAGGGAACTAGAAATCAGAGAGATAAAACTTAACTAAGTTTTACATGGCTAATAGGTTGCAGAAGGAGAACTAGCACTTGGGATTCCTGGCTCCCAATCCAATGTTTTTTCCATCATGTTGTGTGGTCTGTTCTTAATCAGACCACTTAGTTCCACATAAATATTTTCCCTAAACCCAATAAAAATGATGCTTATTAATCATGCTACTGACTTGTATGCTTTGTATCTGAAAGAAAGGAACGGATGGATCATCTGAAATGTTCATGAAATAGTGAGAGCATTAGTGTGGCAACACTTTTCTACTTAACAACTTTAGTTTGATAAAGTTGGACAGACAGCAGGGTGTCTTTCATGATTCTTTCATGAATGGCTTAAATGAGAAACTACCACTTACTACTCACAGATTCACTGTGTTAGCCACAGTGAATAATACAGAGATGATCTTTGGCATTCATGGCATTTTCATTATAGGGAAAGAGGTAGACAAATAAACAAGCAATTAAAATAGAGATTAATGTTACAATAGAGGAAATAGGTGCTATGACAACATATAAAAGGGACATCAAACCCTAATTTAGGGACTCATGGAAGGCTTACTAAAGAAAGACATAAAAGATGAGTAAATAACTGGGTGATGAGTGTTCCAAAAAGAGGAAAGAGCATGGACTGAGACCCAAAGAACATAAAATGTTTGAAAAACTAAAATGAGTTCATTATGGCTGGCATAAAAATCACTAGAGGAGAAATGATGATCAAGGAAGTATTTTCATTATCTTAGAAGAGGCTGAATGGAAGGAAAGTCTGAGAGAAGGAACATGGAAGGAGGCAAACAAAGCACCAAAGACTATAACCCTGACCCATCTTATTCCAGGTTCCAGGTTTCTTATTGCTACCAGGAGATTGTCTCCCATCCTTCACAGTATTATTGTGGCCTTTAAGCAAAAAAAAGCTAGTGTTTATTAAATGCCTACTATATGCCAGGCCATTTTCAATGTGCTATCTCTGAAGCCTCATGGCCCTTGAGGCAGATACTGGTACCCTTATCTTACAGATGAGGAAACTAAAACTCAGAGAGGAGATGAAAATTGCCCAAGGTCGCATGATTAGTAAGTGACTGTGCAAAGACCTTAGTCCAGGTCTCTCTGCTTTCAAACCCAACACTATTTGACTGTATTCTATTGTCTCCTTAGATTTCAGTATGATAATTATGGTTCTTCTACATTATTACTGCTTGAATAGAACAACTTAACAGAAAATTATTTGGTTTATCTCAGTTAAAAATAACTTCTCCTAACACCATTAAGTCAGAGTATATTTCCTGAATGAATGGATTTGAGGGCTGACTAGTCATGCAGACATGACTAGGAGACTGACAAGGACTTTAATAAATTTTTTGTGTGTAAAATTCCATTCACTCTCAGACCCCAAAGAGAGACTCCCCTAAAGCTTTTACAATTTTGTAGAAATCTCGGGTTGAGACAACCACCCTAACAATAATAATTTTAAAAAAGGCACCTGTATCTGAGAAGATTCTGCCTTGATAGATTTTTTTGAATGCAGAGTAGGAGGTGGTAGGATGCAAAACTGATTGGGAGCTGTTCCAATTTAAGCAAGAACTTACATATGTGAAATCTAATATTGGAGAAACTGACTTGGCATACAACAGTCTGTTATAAAGGACATGCCCTTCCTATGTATTTTTGTAACAGCTCTGGTCTTGCATTAAAAATGGCATCTATTTTAAAATTGCTAAAAAAGTAGATTTTTAAATGTTCTTACCACAAAAAAAATGATAAGCATATGAAGTGATGGGTATGTTAATCAGCTTGATTTACTCATTTCATGAAGTACACATATATCAAAACATCACACTGGGCCAGGTGCAGTGGCTCACACCTGTAATCCCAGGACTTTGGGAGGCGAAGGCAGGTGGATCACGAGGTCAGGAGTTCAAGACCAGCTTGGCCAAGATGGTGAAGCCCCGTCTCTACTAAAATTACAAAAATTAGCTGGGTGTGGTGGCAGGTGCCTGTAATCCCAGCTACTCAGGAGGCTGAGGCAGGAGAATCACTTGAACCCAGGGGGCGGAGGTTACAGTGAGCCGAGATTTTGCCATTGTGCACCAGCCTGGGCAACAGAGTGAGACTCTGTCTTAAAAAAAAAAAAATCACACTGTACACCATAAATATATATAACGAAAAAAACCTGCATCTGGCTGGGCATGATGGGTCATACCCGTGATCCCAGCACTTTGGGAGGCCGAGGCAGGTGGATCACCTGAGGTTGAGAGTTTGAGACCAACCTGACCAACATGGACAAACCCTGTCTCTACTAAAAATACAAAATTAGCCGGGCGTGGTGGTACATGCCTGTAATCCCAGCTACTTGGGAGGCTGAGGCAGGAGAATTGCTTGAACCTGGGAGGCGGAGGTTGTGGTGAGCCAAGATCGTGCCATTGCACTCCAGCCTGGGCAACAAGAGTGAAACTCTGTCTCAAAAAAATAAATAAATAAATACAAATAAATAAATAAATAAAAAATTGAGGGCCATGAAAACTGTTCTTTTGGATATGAAATAAAAAATTCTCAGCTGGTCGCAGTGGCTTATGACTGTAATCCCAGCACTTTGGGAGGCTGAGGTGGGCAGATCACGAGGTCAGGAGTTCAAGACCAGCCTGGCCAACATAGTGAAACCCCACCTCTACTAAAAATACAAAAAATTAGCTGGGCATTGTGGTGGGCACCTGTAATTGCAGCCACTTGGGAGGCTGAAGCAGGAGAATCGCTTGAGCCCAGGAGGCAGAGGTTGCTGTGAGCAGAGATTGCGCCACTGGGAGCCAGGGCAAGAGTGTGAGACTCCATCTCAAAAAAAAAAAAAAAAGAATTCTCTCATGTTCAAAGTATTGGGAAATGGCACCTTGCATTACTTTTGGATTGACATTTTAAATATAATGCTTTTGTTAGATGTCTACATAATGATTGATTTTAATGTATGTGCAAATTGTATTTTTTAAAAGAAAATAATATTTCTTTTATACTTTAATATGGCTACCCATATTTTAATAAATTCTAAACACAAAGTTCTTTCAGTTTCTTTTTGGCAGTAAAATAAAGAACATTTACAATTCATTACTTAACATATCACGTATGATATTCATTATCTTCATGTTTTGTTTGAAATTGGTTAAAATTGATATAGCCTCTGCAATAGCAGAAATCAGTTGCTCTACTGAGTATAAATCCTATGATGAATACAAATTTGAACTTTTCATTCACAAGAAGGCACCAAATACTGTGTTACTATTCCATTTTTTTTTTTAACCAACTGTAACCCAAGGTTGTTACTGGTGCCTGCCCCTATGCACTTTGAGATACTTAAGTTGAGATTGTTTCAGGTTGGAACCTCTAAGTAATGTGTAATAAACTTTCCTACATTAACCTGATGTGAGAAATTATTTTTAAACAAAGGAACTTTCGTGAAGCAATGCTTTGCTTCTCCTTAAGATAATAAGAAAATAAGAGTGCTTTGCTTTTTTGAATAATTTTAATGGACTCTGGTTTGAGACTATCATTTATAAAATCGAATATCTGGTGAAAACACTGGGCTAACTTCCAGATAAAAGGAACTGAAGATACTGAGGACAGTGATAAATAAAAATAGAAGCAAATACATGGAATGTCTTGAGCTTTAAAAGACCGTCTTACTTCTTAATTCCTATATCTTAGGAACTGTGGCACAATAAAATAAGACATCAGTATAAGTGGCCAGAAGAATTTCTAGCTTAAAATAATGCCTGATTAACAGCCCATAATTCAGACTTTCCTAGCTTCCTGCTAAAATACCAAATAAAGGCATACATTAATGTTAAATCTCATGCCACTATTGAAAACAAGCACTGACCTAATGCTAGACTGTGGAAGAAATGTCTATTAACTATAAGAATCTGGAAGTGGATTAAAAAAAAGACTTCAGGTCTTGCTTGCTGAGCTTTCTATATTTCACTCCATGAAACAGCTTTTCTCTAAAAGTCAAGAAGAAACAAGAAGGCTGAGTACAGCTTCTCTTCTCATTAAAAACATTCAGAAACGGCTATAATCAAAATATAACAGGACAGGAACAAAGGGAGATGGTTCCTAGGGATAAAGTTTTTTGTGAGGAGAGGTCAGGGAGGAATGAGAAAGACACAGAGAGAAGTCTTGGAAGCAGTATACTCAATTTTTCTGAAAACCAGGCAAAGTGGTAGAAAATTATCCCACTTCAGAACATCAAAGTTGTACTGATTGTTGCTAAAAGTGGGCTTGGGATGAAAACTAAGTGCATCAACCTGCCCCCAAATATTGATTTTAGAAGTGAATTTATCTATAATTTAAGTAAATAAAAGGCAGCTCATAGGCTGTCAAATAAGTCCAAATAAAGCTTACTTCTTTCAAGAAAAAAACAGAAGAAAAACATAAACCACCACCACCACCACCGCCACCACCACCACCACAAGCACTGTGGGTTTATGGGAAATGTTCAAGAATAAAGAGTAGGAATATAAACTCACACTTTCAAAGGAAGCATATATATTTGAAAAATAAATGACCTCCTGAATAATTCTGAGGAAATTTCTAAAGATGTTGCATATCTTCAATAGACTGCAAGGAAGTATGGTATTTTCAAAAAAGGAACAGAAAATTATAAAAAGAAACAAGCTCAGATGTAAATGATAATGGCTGAAATAAGGAAGTATTGCAAGGATACTATACTATAATAATAGAATTAACAGCCACATTTGAACTGAGTAAAAGAAATAGTTAAGACTGTCAAAAATTATTTCAGCCCCATAAGTGAAAAGAGTAATAAACTGTGTCAGATAACAGAGAAAAATGGCAAAGACAAATAAATACTGTAAGATTACAGTGGAAAGGGAATAGAAATGCAATCTAAAACGTATAGGTGTTTCTGAGGAAAAAATAGGAAAAGTAGAGTCAAAAGAAATAATCATTTATCTTTTAAATCTGAAATAAAGAAAACTTGTGTTTACGGATCGAGGGTCTCACAATTTTCCTGGCAAAATAAATGAAAAAAATCCATATATATATACATCTCGGATTTCTTAAATAACAAAGGTATATAACTATCTGACAAACATCCAAGAAAATTTCATAGTTCTCTATAACCTGGGAAACCAGAAAATCTGAGACAGGTCTCAGTTAACTTAGAAAGTTTATTTTGCCAAGGTTGAGAATGCTCCCATGACAGCCTCAGGAAATCCTGACGACATGTGCCCAAGGTGGTCAGGGCACAGCGTGGTTTTATACATTTTAGGGAGACATGAGACATCAATCAATATATGTAAGCAGTACATTAGTTCGGCCGGGCACGGTGGCTCAGGCCTGTAATCCTAGCACTTTGGGAGGCTGAGGCGGGTGGATCATGAGGTCAGGAGTTTGAGACCAGCCTGACCAACATGGTGAAACCCTGTCTCTACTAAAAATACAAAAAAAAAAAAAAAAAATTAGTCAAGAGTGGTGGCGGGCGCCTGTAATCCCAGCTACTCAGGAGGCTGAGGCAGGAGAATTGCTTGAACCCAGGAGGTGGAGGTTGTGGTAAGCCGAGATCGCGCCACTGCACTCCAGCCGCGGTGACAAGAGTGAGACTCCAACTCAAAAAAAAAGAAAAAAAAAAAAAGAAGTATGTTAGTTCCATCCAGAAAGCCAGGGACAACTCAAAGAAGGGCCCCCCCTCTCCCTTCCGTCCCTGGGGCTTCCAGGTCACAGGTAGGAGAGAGACAAATGGTTGCATTCTTTTGCATTTCTGATAAGTGTTTCCAAACGAAAAAATTAGAATATGCATCTATCTCTGTGAGCAGAGGGATGACTTTGAATAGAATGGGAAGCAGATTTGCCCTGAGCAGTTCCCAGCTTGAAGGGGCCCAAGATATTTTCCTTTCACAAACCCTAATTAAAAAACAATTTTTTTAGCAAAGTTATTGTGTTTTCAGAGACATACCATATGGTCTATCTTTAGTGGATGCTAAAAAGAGTTGTAAAATTTAACATCCATTACCAATATAAAAAATTCTTAGGAATATCACAACATATTACTGACCAATATGAATTATAAATATAGATGCAAAAATTCTAAATAAAATATTAGATAATGGAGTCTAGCATTATATGGTAAAAGATTAATGCACCATAACCAATATGGTTTATTCCAGGAATTCAACAATGATTCTTTGTAAGGAAATCTATGAACAAAAATCATAACAAAAATAGATCAAATAACAGGTGTACACTGATCTATATAGTGCAGAAAAGGTAGTTGATATAAGGCAACACTTATTCCTGATAGCGACAACATTTTAGAAACCTAGAAATGAAAATCTTTCTTAATATCTTATTGAATATGTATTTCCAACTAATAGCTTCTGTGATATATACTGTTAAAACTGTAATCACATTGAAATAGGAATAAGGCAAATCCTCCTACAAACCTACTTATTTTTCATCCTTCTGGAAGTATTATTTAATACATTAGAACATGAATAAAAAGTAAAATTATAGCTTTGGGGATGGAGAAAATAAAATTATAATTATTTGGAAATGTGTTTTACTAGTAAACTCAGGGCAAAATAACTGAAAAATGAATAGATATTATAAGGTACATGACTACAAATTTAATATATGAAATCATTAGTTTTCCTATAAAACTCAATACCAGTGAGAACATATAATAATAAAAATCACATTCATCGTAACAACTGTGAAATACCTAGAAATAAACATAAAAGCAACTGTATAGTGTAAATCTATCTATCTCAATCTATCAGTATAACTTTACTGAATGATCCAATAAGTGAAGAGTAGTATATTTTTAGATAAAACGATGCTATACCAAAAAGATATCCATTCTCCCCCAGTTAATCTGCATACTTATTAAAATTACAATAAAAATTTCAATAAATTTTTTTTTTTGAGACAGAAAAAAACTGTCGCCCAGGCTGGAGTGCAGTGGCACAGCCACGGCTCAATGCAACCTCGGCTTCCTGGGTTCAAGTGATTCTCCTGCCTCAACCTCCTGATTAGTTGGGATTACAGGCACGTGCCACCATGCCTGGCTAATTTTTGTATTTTTAGTAGAGATGGGGTTTCACCATGCTGGTCAGGCTGGTCTCGAACTCCTGAACTCATGATCCACCCACCTTGGCCTCCCGAAGTGCTGGGATTACAGCGTGAGCCACCGTGCCCGGCCAAATTTCAATGGATTTTTTATATTGACAAAATTATTCTCAAGTATAATAAAAGAGTAGACGCATGAAAATAGACACTTTTTAAAGGTTAACATAGGGCTTCTTCAATCAAATCTGAACACAATAAAGCAAAACCAATGAAAATAATATGGTATTTTCACTAGAATTGAAAAGTAAATCAATGAAGTTTTTTGCATTTGTAATAAAAGTCAAACTCTTTATTGTGATTCAAAATGTCTGTGTGATCTAGCCCTTACCTTCTTCTCCTACCTCAGCTTGGGGTGCTCTACAGACACACATTATTTGTTGCCTCAGACCTTTGTACATTCTGCTTTCTCTGTCTAGAATACTCTTATCCTTTCTGTCTCCACGAGACTCCTGTCATCCTACAGTCTTCACGTTGAATTGTGTCTTCTTAGTAAGAGATGACCATGATGAGAATATATATTTTGAAATTATCTATATAGAGATGGTGATTAAAGACACAGGTTGGATGAGGATACTCAGAGTGTGTTGTAGACATAAAAGAATGTAAGAATCTAAGCTCCTTGAAGTCAAGGTTTGTTTATCTGTTTTAATCATTGCTTCTTCTCAGTTCCTATGACAGTGCTTAGCACATAGAGGTGCCTAATAAACATTTCCAACATGCAGAGAGGAGGGCCTAGGACAAAGTCTTACGGTTAAAAGCATTTGAAGAAAGAGAAGAACATGAACCTATAATAGCTACTAGAAAGTAGTGCCCAGACATATAGGAAGAAAAACCTTAAAATATGATGTCTAAGATAACAAGACTAAGAGTCCTTTTTAAAAGACCAAGATAACCCATGCTCAGTACTGATAAGGCACTGTCAAGATACAGACTAAAAAGCATCCCTTGGGTTTAGTGGCACACAGTTCATTGATGCCTTCAGTAAAAGAAGTTATGGTAGAATGATGGAGGCAGAAGCCAGACAGCAATGGATGTATAAACAGGGGGTGAGGAAATGGGTTGAATACAAACGGTTCTAAAAGAAAGGGAGTGTGGAGTGTTTTAAACAGTAAGTGCACTGAGGAGAGGATTTGTGTAAGATGAGAGAGGCTTATATATGTAAAAATGAGTAGAGTCAGAGAATGAGAGTTACTTGTAAGATTACAGAAACCTATAAAGGAATATACTGTAAAGTCTAATTGAGCAAATCAGTTAGAATTCTCTATTAAAGGGAATGTATTTTTCTAGATTTTAATGTCAGGAGAGACAGGACCATCTGAAGAAATATTAAAAAAAAAAAAAAAACTTTTTAAATGGAAGCAATATCTAACTGAGTGTCAGATGACCTGGATTTCAGTTCCAGGTAAGTAACATTGACTATCACTTTTGCCTGAGTCTCAGTTTTCTAATCTGAAAAATGACTATATTCTATTTAAGAAATATTTACAAATTTACAAGAAAAAAACAAACAACCCCATCAAAAAGTGGGCGAAGGACATGAACAGACACTTCTCAAAAGAAGACATTTATGCAGCCAAAAAACACATGAAAAAATGCTCACCATCACTGGCCATCAGAGAAATGCAAATCAAAACCACAATGAGATACCATCTCACACCAGTTAGAACGGCAATCATTAAAAAGTCAGGAAACAACAGGTGCTGGAGAGGATGTGGAGAAATAGGAACACTTTTACACTGTTGGTGGGACTGTAAACTAGTTCAACCATTGTGGAAGTCAGTGTGGTGATTCCTCAGGGATCTGGAACTAGAAATACCATTTGACCCAGCCATCCCATTACTAGGTATATACCCAAAGGACTATAAATCATGCTGCTATAAAGACACATGCACACGTATGTTTATTGCGGCATTATTCACAATAGCAAAGACTTGGAACCAAGCCAAATGTCCAACAATGATAGACTGGATTAAGAAAATGTGGCACATATACACCATGGAATACTATGCAGCCATAAAAAATGATGAGTTCATGTCCTTTGCAGGGACATGGATGAAATTGGAAATCATCATTCTCAGTAAACTATTGCAAGAACAAAAAACCAAACACCGCATATTCTCACTCATAGGTGGGAATTGAACAATGAGATCACATGGACACAGGAAGGGGAACATCACACTCTGGGGACTGTTGTGGGGTGGGGGGAGGGGGGAGGGATAGCATTGGGAGATATACCTAATGCTAGATGACGAGTTAGTGAGTGCAGCACACCAGCATGGCACATGTATACGTATGTAACTAACCTGCATAATGTGCACATGTACCCTAAAACTTAAAGTATAATAAAAAAAATTAAAAAAAAAAGAAATATTTAAGAAATAGTTTAATTCTAAAGGTCTTTGGAGCTCAGCGGAAGTATTTCCTGGTAAAGTTCATGGCTTGGTAATGTGGGTCACTGCTACAGAGACCTACATTTGAAACCAAAATGAAGGGCTCTGGGCCACATGAAGACAATAGTTATGAAGGAAAATAAGCATGGTTTTGTGCAGTAGGGGCGAGATGAAGAAACACTGACAATTGTTTCCTACTTTGTAATATTTTAGGGGGCAAGCAGTGATGTGCACTTGTTGTTGACATCTCCAACTTCTGTTTTGATCTCCAAGTACAACTCTCACAATGGGCGTGTTGAATGTTATTTTACTCAAATTACCAATAGAATAAAATAGGTTAATGAGGTCATGAAAGAAAATGCTTAATGTTTGCCAAAGAATCCCTGAAAAAAAAAACAAGACTGACTATAAATGAGTAGAACAAATTCCTATTAAATACATATTCATTAAAGTTTATATTCACTTGCAGAACATAGGTTCAGGTGTAAGAAACACTAGATAATACATAAGATCTTGTGTTTAATAATAATAGTTATATAATTAACTAATAAAGAGTTATTTTGAAGTAATTATAAATACAAATTACAAATTTCTGGCAGTTAGAATGCATGTCATTACTACAGAATCATTAATAAGGAGTACATTTAATGCTGAGGTTTCATGCATTTATAATTTTCTTAGAGTAAAAGAAATCAACAATTGCAATATGCACTTAAAATTATAAGATATATATACATGTATATTTTATGTTCACATTGAAATTGAGCAGAAGATACAGAGATTTTCTATGTAATCCTCTGTTCCCCAACTCATGCATAGGCTCCCCAATTGTCAACATCTCCTACCAGAGTGGTACATTTGTTACGATTGATGAACCTTACTGACACATCATTATCTCCCAAAGTCCACAGTTTACATTACGGTTCACTCTTGGTGGTATATATTCTATGGGTTGGGACCAATTTGTGATGGCATATATCCACCATTATAGTATCATACAGAAGAACAGATTTACTGCCCTAAAAATCCTCTGTGTTCCATCTATTCATCCCTCTGTCCCACCTAACCTCTGGAAAGCAATGATCTTTTTACTGCTTCCATAGTTTTGCCTTTTCTAGAATGTCACATATAGGCATACCTCAAATATACTATTAACTCAGTTCCAGATCACTGCAATAAAGCAATATTGCAATAAAGTGAATCACACAAAGTTTTTTGTTTCCCACTGCATAAAAAGTCATGTTTACACTATATTTTAGTCTATTAATTGTGCAATAGCATTACATGTAAAGAACAACATACATATCTTAATTTAAAAATACTTTATTGCTAAAAAATGCTAACAATCATCAGAGCCTTCATCTTTTCACTGGTAGAAGGCCTTGCCTCCATGTTAGTGGCATCACCTTTTTTCTGGTGGAGGGCCTTGCCTCTATGCTAATGGCTGCTGACTGATCAGGGTGTGGTTGCTGAAGGTTGGGTGGCTATGCCAATTTCTTAAGACAACAATCAAATTTTCCACATTGATTCTTCCTTTCACAAAAGAGTTCTCTATAGCATGCGATAGTGTTTGATAGCATTTTATCATAGCAGAGTTTCTTTCAAAATTGGAGTCAATCCTCTCAAACCCTGCCACTGCTTTATTAACTAAGTTTATGTAATATTCTAAATCCTTTGTTTTCATTTCATCGATGTTAACAGTATCTAACCAGGAGTAAATTCCATCTCAAGAAATTATTTTCTTTGCTAATCTATAAGAAACAACACCTTCCCCCATTTAAATTTTATCATGAGATTGCAGCAATTCAGTTACATCTTTAGTGATGGATTTTAGTTTTCTTGCTATTTCCATCACATCTGCATTTATTTCCCCCACTGAAGTATTGAACCCTTCAAAGTCATCCTTGTGAGTTGAAATCAACTTCCTCCAAACTCCTCTTAATGTTGACATTTTGACCGCTTCGCATGGATTACAAATGTTCTTTTTATTCTATTTTCCAGGGTACATGTACAGGTTTGTTACATAGGTAAATGTGTGCCATGGTGGTTTGCTGCACTTATCAACCCATCATCTAGGTATTAAGCCCATCATGCATTAGCTATTTTTCCTGATGCTCTTCCCTATCTGCCCTCCCCTGACAGGCCCCACTGTGTGTTGCTCCCCTCCCTGTGTCCATGTGTTCTCACTGTTCAGCTCCCACTTATGGGTGAGAACATGCAGTGTTTGTTTTTTTTGTGCCTGTGTTAGTTTGCTGAGGATAACGGCTTCCAGCTCCCTCCATGTCCCTGCAAAGGACAGGATCTCATCCCTTTTTATGGCTGCATAGTATTCCATGGTGTATATGTACCACATTTTCTTTATCCAGTCTATCATTGGCAGGCATTTTGGTTGATTCCATGTCTTTGCTATTCTGAATAGTGCTGCAATGAACATACATGTGCATGTATCTTTATAATAGAAAGATTTATATTCCTTTGGGTACATACCCAGCAATAGGATTGCTGTGTCAGATGGTATTTCTGGTTCTAGGTGTTTGAGGAATCACCACACTGTCTTCCACAACGGTTGAATTAATTTACATTCCCACCAACAGTTAAAAGCATTCCTGTTTCTCCACAACCTCACCAGCATCTGTTCTTTCTTGACTTTTTAATAATAGCCATTCTGACTGATGTGTGTGAGATGGTATCTCATGGTGCTTTTGATTTGCATTTCTGTAATGATGAGTGATGTTGAGCTTTTTTTCATATGTTTATTGGCCGCATGAATGTCTTCTTTTGAGAAGTGTCTGTTCATGTCCTTTGTCCACTTTTTAATGTGTTTTTTTTTTCTTGTAAATATGTTTAAGTTCTTTGTAGACTCTGGATATTGGACCTCTGTCAGATGAGTAGATAGAAAAAATTTTCTCCCATTCTGTAGGTTGTCTGTTCACTCTGATGATAGTTTCTTTTGCTTTGCAGAAGCTCTTTTGTTTAATTAGATCCCATTTCTCAATTTTCGCTTTTGTTGCAATTGCTTCATCATTGTCAGTGCCTATGTCCTGAATGGTATTGCCGAGATTATCTTCTGGGTTTTTTATAGTTTTGGGTTTTACATTTAAGTCTTTAATTAATCTTGAGTTAGTTTTAGTATATGGTGTAAGAAAGGGGTCCAGTTTTAATTTTCTGCATATGGCTAGCCAGTTCTACCAGCACCATTTATAAAATAGGAAACCCTTTCCCCATTGCTTTTGTCAGGTTTGTCAAAGATCAGATGGTTGCAGATGTAGTGTCTTATTTCTGAGTTCTCCATTTTGTTCCATTGGTCTATGTGTCTGTTTTTGTACCAGTACCATGCTGTTTTGGTTACTACAGCCTTGTAGTATCTTTTGAAGTCAGGTATCATAATGCCTCCAGCTTTGTTCTTTTTGTTTAGGATTATCTTGGCTATACAGGCCCATTTTTGGTTCCATGCAAATTTTAATAGTTTTTTCTAAATCTGTGAAGAATGTCAATGGTACTGTAATGGTAATAGCATTGAATCTATAAAGTACTTTGGGCAGTATGCCCATTTTCACAATATTGTTTCTTCCTATCTGTGAGCATGGAATGTTTTTTCATTTGTTTGTGTCCTCTCTGATTTCCTTGAGCAGTAGTTTGTAGTTCTCCTTGAAGAGGTCCTTTACTTCCCCTGTTAGCTGTATTCCTAGGTATTTTATTCCCTTTGTAGCAATTGTGAATGCCAGTTAATTCATAATTTGGCTCTCTGCTATACAAATGTTCTTAATGCTATCAAGAATGGTGAATGCTTTCCAGAAGGTTTATCAATAGACTTTTCCCAGATCTATCAGAGGAATAACTATTTATGGCAGCTATAGCCTTGCAAAAATGTATTTTTTTAAATAATAAGATATGAAAGTCAAAATTGATTCATGGGATGTAGAATTAATGTTGTATAGCCAAGCATGAAAACAACATTAATCTCTTTGTACATCCCCATCAGAGTTCTTGAGTATTAGGTACATTGTCAATGAACAGTAATATGTTAAACGAATTGTTTCTTTCTTTTTTCTCATCAGCGGGTCTCAACAGTGAACGTAACATATTCAGAAAACCATGTTGTAAACAGATGGGCTGTCATCCCCGCTTTGTTGCTCCATTTATAGAGCACAGGCAGAGTAGGTTTAATATAACTCATAAAGGCCCTAGGATTTTCGGAATGGTAAGTGGACATTGGCTTTATTGTAAAGTCGCCAGCTTTAGGCCCAACAAGAGAGTCAGCCTGCCCTTTGAAGCTTTGAAGTGAGGCATTGACTTCTCCCTTTCTAGCTCTGGAACTTCTGGATGGCATCTTCTTCCAATATGAGACTGTTTTGTCTACATTAAAAATCTGCTGTTTGGTACCACTTGCTACTTCTTCTTGCACTTTTACGTTATGGAGACAGCTTCTTTCCTTAAACCCCATGAACCAACTTCTAACAGCTTCAAACATTTCTTCCTCCGCTTCCTCACCTCTCTCAGCCTTCATAGAATTAAAGAGGGCCTTGCTCTGAATGAGGCTTTCACTTAAGGGAATATTATGGCTAGTTTGATCTTTTATCCACACCACTAAAACTTTCTCCATATCAGCAATATGGTTGTTTCTCTTTCTTATCGCTGGTGTGTTCACTGGAGTAGCACTTTTAATTTCCTTCAAAAACTTTTCTTTTGCATTAATAACTTGGCTATTTGGTGCAAGAAGCCTAGCTTTCAGCCTATTTTGGAATTCGACATGCCTTTCTCACTAAGCTTAATCATTTCTAGCTTTTGATTTATAATGAAAGATGTAAAATTATTCCTTTCACTTGAACACGTAGAGATCATTGTAGGGTTATTAATTGACCTAATTTCAATATTGTTGTGAGAACAGAAAGGCCCAAGGAGAGGGAGAGAAACAGGGGAGTGGTGGGTCCCTGGAGCAGTCAGAATACACACAGCATCTATGGATTAAGTTTGCTGTCTTATTGGGTGCAATTTGTGGTACCCCAAAACAATTACAATAACAACATTAAAGATCACTGATCACATGTCACCATAACAGATATAATAATAACGAAAAATTTTTATACATTGCTAGAATTATCAAAATGTCACACGGAGATATGAAATGAGCACATACTGTTGGAAAAATGGAGCGGATAAACTTTCTCAATGTAAGGCTACCACAAATCTTCAATTTGTAAAAAAACACAATATCTGTGAAGTTCAATATAGCAAAACACAATAAAACAAGATATGCCCGTAATTGCCAGCATAGAGAATGTAGCTTTTTCCGACTGCTTTGTTTTACTTAGTAATATGTATTTAAATTTCTTCCATGTTTTTTTCATGGCTTGATTGCTCATTTCGAGTGCTGAACAATATTCCATTTTCTGGAAGTATCACTGCTGATTTATCCATTCACCTATGATATCTTGGTTGCTTTCAAGTTTTGGCAATTGTGAATAAAGCTACAATACAGATGCAAGTTTTCAACTCCTCTGGGTAAATACCAAGGAGCACAACTGCTAGATTGTATGGTAAGAGTACGTTTAGTTGTGTTAAGAAACTGCCAAACTCTCTTCCAAAGTGTCTGTACCTTTTTGCATTCCCACCAACAATAAACGAGAGTTCCTGTTGCTCCACACCTTCGTCAGCATTTGGTGTTGTCAGTGCTTTGGATTCTGGCCATTCTAATAGATGTGTAGTGATATCTCACTGTTGGCTTAATTTGCATTTCCCTGATGACATATGATATAGAGAGATGTAATTAACCATTTTTAAGTGTATAGTTTAGAATTGCTATGTATAATCACAATGTAAAGTGTCTTTCATATGGTTGTGAAACAGAGCACCAGAGATTTTCATCTTGCAAATGTGAAATTCTACAACAATTAAACAATGATTCCTCTTTCTCCCTTCTGCAGCTCCTGGTAAGCACTGTTCTACTTTCTTTCTTTATAAATGTGACTTCTCTAGGTACCTCATATAAGTTTTGTCATGTACGTTATAAAAGTGTAAGTATTTATATGTAATATATGGATATATAATTTAGAAACATATAGGTATATGTGTGTGTAAGTGTATATAATAAGTGTATTAGTATAAATATATAAGTGTATAGGTACATAAGTCATATTAGTGTCTGTTTTTCAGCATTATAGAGTTATAATTAACAATTAAAAATTGTATATATTTAAGGTATGCAAACTGACGTTTTGATATACATATGCATTGTGAAATATGTATACATATAATTACCACTATCTAGCTAATTAACATATATCACTTCATGTAGTCACTTTTTTGTGGTGAGAACATTTATGGTCTACTCTTTTAGCAAATTTCAAGGATACAATACATTATTGTTAACTATGGCCACCATGCTGTACATTAGATCTCCAGAACTTATTCATTCTGCATAACTGAAATTTTGTATTATTCGACCATCTCCCCATTTCCCTGACCCTCAGCTCCTTCAAAATACAATTCTAATATCTGCTTCTATTAGTTCAACTTTTTCAGATTCCAAATATGAATGAGATAATGTGATATTTGTCTTTCTGTGCCTGGCATGTTTTACTTAACATAATGTCCTCCAAGTTCACCTATGTTGTCATAAACAAGATTTCTTTCTTTTTGAGGCTGAATGGTATTCCATTGCATATATATATATCCCACATTTTCTTTATTCATTTGTCCATTGATGGACACTTAGATTGATTCCATATCTTGGATATGGTGAACAATGATTCAAAGTACTTGGGGATGCAGCTATCTTTTCAACATGTTGATTTCATTATCACTGGATATATATGCAGAAGAAAAATTGCTTAGTTATATGATTGTTCTGTTTTTATTTTTTGAGAAACTTCCATACTGTTTCCCATAGTGGCTGTACAATTTACATTGCCACCAACTCTATAGCAAAGTTCCCTTTTCTCCGCATCCTCACCAACACTTGTTATCTTTCATCATTTTTATAACAGCCATTCTAACAGGTGTGAGGGTGTGAGGTAATATTTTGCTGTGGTTTTAATTTGCATTTATGTGGTGATTAGCAATGTTAAGCATTTTTCATATAGAAGTTATCCATTTGTGTGCCTTCTTTTGAGAAATGTCATCAGGTTTTTTGCCCATTTTTAAAATCAGGTTATTTATTTTCCTTCTATTGAGTTGTTTGGAGCTCCTTACATATTTTGGACATTAATCCCTTATCAGATGTATGGTTTGCAAATTTTTTGCCCATTCCATAGGTTGTCTCTCATTTTGTTGATTCTTTCTTTGGCTGTGCAGAAGCTTTTGAGTTTTATATAATCCTATTTGTCTAATTTTGTTTTTGTTGCCTGGGCTTTTGGGATCTTATCAAAAAAGCAATTGTCCAGACGAATATCATGAAGCTTTTTTCCTATGTTTTCTTCTAGTAGTTTTAGTTTCAGGTCTTACATTTAAGTCTTTAATCTATTTTGGGTTGATATTCATATACAGTATACGATGAAGGTCTTATTTCACTCTTGTGCATATGGATATTCAGTTTTCCCAGCACCATTTATTGGAGAGACTGCCCTTTCCTTATTGTGCATTCTTGGCATCTGTCACAAACCAATTCATTGTAAATGAATGCATTTATTTATAGGCTCTCTATTCTGTTGCCTTTGTCTGTGTGTTTGTTTTATGCTAGTACCATGCCATTTTGATTGCTATGGCTTTGTAGTATATTTTGAGATCAGGTAGTGTGATGCCTCTAGCTTTGTTCTTTTCACTTATGACTGCTTTGGCTATTCAGTGCTTTTTGTACTTCTTTTAAAATGAATGCACCAAGTCAAGTATGAAGCTGGTTTTTATAAATTCATACTAATATATGATTTTATTCTGAAGTTATTTAAAAATGAAAATTGAAGTTAAATATCTATGTTATAGTATACATGCATTTTATTCTGGAAATAAATTTGAGGAAGGTTGGGTAGCAGAAATAGGGATACATTTTAGGCAATATGAAATTTGTTACTGTGCTCAAGTTTGTTTAAAATTTAAAATTCTGGCCCTCTACATGATGGCTAGTCTTACATTTTTAAAGCTGTACCTAGATATCGTTGGTTTTAATATTTTCTCATTATTATTTCCAGCACATGCTTTTATTTTTGCAAGGAGGTTTATATCTATGAAATGTTACAAATAATTCAGTATCATTTTAAAACATGCAGTGTCTTTTAAAGAATTATCAATCTGTGTTTTACAAACCTCAGCAGATATGATTACAGTTTGTTTAGAGCTACAGTTGATGAGCTCTACTTCACTCCAAAGATGTGTAACTATCCTACAATCTTGATTAGTAGAATCTAACATTTAATGCTTGATGATTTGGAAAAGTACAAATGACATCAACCTTCAGAATATCCATTCACAGCTGGGCGCGGTGGCTCATGCCTGTAATCCCAGCACTTTGGGAGGCCAAGGCAGGTGGATAACAAGGTCAGGGATTCAAGACCAGCCTGGTCAATATGGTGAAACCCTGTCTCTACTAAAAATTAAAAAAAATAAAGAAAATAAAAAATTAGCCGGGGGTGGTGGTGGGTGCCTGTAGTCCCAGGTACTCAGGAGGGTGAGGCAAGAGAATCGCTTGAATCCAGGAGACAGAGGTTGCAGTGAGCCAAGATCACATCGCTGCACCCAGCCTGGGTGACAGAGCGAGACTCCGTCTCAAAATAAATCCAATAAATAAATAAAATGATAAAGAATATCCATTCACAGTATTAGTTGAAATTAAATATAGTGGTGCAAATTAGTTGTCACCTTGACTGGCTCTCACAGGCTAAGAATACTATGGTCACAGTCCAATCTTCATGCTGAGTGATCTGCTTTGCACAGTGTGAATGCTCACCTGTGGCTGCTGTTACATAAGTTTCAGTTATCCAGGAAAAAATGGAAAAAGATATAAATAGTTGGGTGAAGCTGAAGGTACATACTCTTAATAGAGAGTACATGAATAGTTGTTACCATTTTCTTTTAAAATTATATTCAGTAAAACCACCTCAAATTACTTTGGCTAATTTTTTAAAAATACAAAATGGATTTTTTTCCACAGTATGCTACAAGTGAATCAAATTAATCAGCTGTATTGAGAAGCTAAAGGTCAGATTGTATGTAGCAGAAAGACATCCGTTTGTGATTACTTGGTTACCTTATCAGGATATTGAGTCTATGACATACTTTGCTGACAAAAACTTGAATAGGTCTAGAAATTCATTAGCTGTCTTTGTTAAGTTGAAAATATTAGTGGTGATTTGTGAGACTTTGGTGCACCCATCACCCGAGCAGTGTACCCTGTACCCAATGTGTAGTATTTTCTTCCTTGCCACCCCCCTACCCTTACCCCTAAGTCCCCAAAGTCCAATGTATCATTCTTATGCCTTTGTGTCCTTATAGCCTAGCTCCCACATATGAGTTAGAACATACAATGTTTGGTTTTGCATTTCTGAGTAACTTTACTTAGAATAATAGTCTCCAATTCCATCCAGGTTGCTATGAATGCCATAATTTCATTCCTTTTTATGGCTGAGTAGTATTCCATGGTATATATACCACATTTTCTTTATCCACTCATTGACTGATGAGCATTTGGGCTGGTTCCATATTTTTGCAATTGCAAATTGTGTTGTTATAAACATGTGCGTGCAAGTATCTTTTTCGTATAATGACTTACTTTCCTCTGGGTAGATACCTAGTGGTGAGATTACTAGATCAAATGGCAGATCTACTTTTAGTTCTTTAAGGTATCTCCACACTGTTTCCATAGTGGTTGTACTAGTTTACATTCCCACCAACAATGTAAAAGTGTCCCGTTTTCACCAAAAACACACCAACATCTATCATTTTTTGATTTTTTGATTATGACCATTCTTGCAGGAGTGAGGTGGTATTGCATTGTGGCTCTGATTTGCTTTTCCCTGATAATTAGTGATGTTGAGCATTTCCCAATATGCTTGTTGGCCGTTTGTATATCTTCTTTTGAGAATTGTCTATTCATGTCCTTAGCCAACTTTTTGATGGGATTGTTTGTTTTTTTTTTTTTCTTGCTGATTTGTTTGTGTTTCTTATGGCTCAAAGGAAAAATATCAGTATATATTTCAAACCTACATGGTCATAGTATCCCCTTTTTTGTATCTTTAAATAACTTACCACCTATTTGTATGTTGAGCCAAAAGCCGAACATAGCTCACTCAAATCATCCTGTGTGTGTGTTACACCTATATACATATATATGAAAATATAAAAATAATAGAGAAACTTCTGGTTCAAGATGGCTGACAGAATATATATATATGTGTATGTATATGTGTATATATATGTGTGTATATATATATATATTTTTTCCTCTCCTCTTCTCCCCAAATCCCATTGAAATGACAACAAAAGTGTAAACATTTATTTATATGTGTATATATATACACATAACATCGTATATTTAAACGTATATATCATATATAGATGATGTCCAATGGCAATGAATTAGAAATGAAATCAAACAGAGCTGATAAACTTTTCCATATATGCAAAGAGCTGAGACCTCTAAAATATGGAGTTTCCCAAGATAGGCCACAGGAATACAGCTATACTGTTATCAGAGCCAGTGGAGGCTGGAAGAAGAAGGGTGACTTCGATATTTAAAGACAGATGGAACAGCTATGCTAGTCCCCTACGAGCCTGAAAGATTTAGGCACCTACCACCCATGTAAAGCATGCACAGAAAGCCAAAACAACAATAAGTATTGTGTGTTCACTCTTTACTAATTACTGTCCTGAGCACTTTTATATTTTAACTCATTTTACACTTATAACATTCACATGTAATTGGTCACATTAATCTCATTTAAAGAGTGAAGTATCTAAATTGTAGTAGTTATTTGCCCAAGGTCATATGAAGGGTAAAAATGTCTGAGCCAGGATTCAATGTCAAGCAGCAATATCCAGAGTCTATACTCTTATTCAATATACTGTGCTGCCTCATCTCTCATACAATCAAATATATCACCTATCATAATAACTAAGAAAAGCTTCCTATTAAAAGAAAGTGAATAACAAGTTCTACTTCCAACTATTATGGAATAAATGTTATCAGATTTGCCATACCCTGTAAACAGCTCTAAAACTGGACAAAATATATGAAGCAACTCTTTTAGGCATTATATACCAGGCAGAAGAGGACTACATTTTTTTTGAGAGAAGGGATTCTAATGAAATGAGCCCCAAGTTCAATTTGAATTTCTTATTGGGAGACCTTTTCTCATATGGCTTAAGTCAGTGGATTCCAATTGGAGCATTTGCCTTGAGGAATTGAAGAAACACGGAACAAAGTTAAACGCTGCTGAAAAAGTTGAAATTTGCTTGCAGAGTACTAAAAAAGAGGAAATTATGACATTCCAAAATGGTCACAACTTAGCAGTAAAGACCAGACCCTAAAATAAGAGCAATGCCCTAGGACTATGGATAAAACTAATAGTCTTGCCCAAATAAAGAATAAAACCTAGAATTACAGGATAAAAAGAGCAGAAGGTAATTTAATTTCCTGACAAAAACAAAAGTTAAAAGCCTTTAATGGACGATGATATCATCTAGACATCTTAAAAACTATCATTTACAATACAGTATTCCTTGATATCTCCTGGGAATTGATTCCAGGACCCCTGCAAATACCAAAACTCACAGATGCCCAAGTCCCTTTCATAAAATGACAGTACAGTCAGCGTCCCCATATCTGTGCATTCTACATCCACAGATTCAATCAACTGCAGATAAGTTTTGTTGGTTGAATCTGAAGATGTGGAACCTGCAGATACAGAGGGCTGACAGTGTTGAGATATTGAAAATTTTTAAGTCATAAGAAGTATGATAAGATGGACTGTAATTTTAAAAATGGACTGAAATAAGCCTGAGTTACCAGATAAAAGTTTGAGTAACTATTATAAATATATTCAAAGAATTAAAAGGAAATGGATATAATTGGTAGCAGATATGTAATCTCAGAAAAATAGTAGAAATTACATAAAAGAAACACGTAGGAATAATAGATATGGAAAGTATTATATCTTCAATGAAAAACTCACTGCATGGAATTAACAAGGACCATAGACAATGAGAAGCCTCTGGCACCAGTTTCTACTGCAAACATTAAACTTAGCCAAACTTCTAGATTTATTAACCTAAAATCTCACATCAAAGACTTTTATCTCAGTTTCGATTACATGAAATGTCAGGTCTGGCTTTGAAGAAAAAGGTCACAAGTCATTCTAAAAGGCAAGACAAAATACAATCTGAAGAAAGAAAGCAAACATCAGAATCAGATTCAGATATGATACATATTTCATTATTAACAGGCAATTCTAAATAATTATGATAAATATGTTAAGGGATCTAATAAAGTAAGTTGACAACAAACAAGAACAGATTGAGAATGGAAGCAGAAAGAAGGAACTCTAAGAAAGAATCAAAAGGAAATGCTAGGAATTAAGAGTGCCTCTGACAGGCTCATAAGTCAACTGAATACAACTGAGGGAATAATTAGAGAGCTAGAACATAAACAAATGACAGCATATCAGTATCAAATGTGAAGAGAAAAACACAAACAACACCACAGAATATTGAAGAACTCTGGGACAATTATGTCTTCTTTTGAGAAATATCTGTTCAGGTCTTTTACACATTTTTAAATTATGTTATTTGCTTTCTTACTATGTAGCTGTTTGAGATCCTTATATATTTTGGATATTAACCTCTTATCAATTTTATTATTTGCAAATATTTTCTCCTAATCCATAGGTTGTTTCTTCACTCTGTTGTTTGTTTCCTTGGCTGTCAAAAGATGCTAATATCCTCTGTGGAGTAGGCTCCTGGGGATAATAGTGGTTCTAGCCATATGACTGATATCAATAGTTTCCTCATTTCTTTGTTCCTAGGCAACTCCTGCAATCTCAGGAAGGCAGTCTCATCAGCAATCCTTTCTGGGTGGATAATCCCCATTGTTTTTTCTAGACTTTGTTGCTATAGATTCTTTAGTGGGGCTTCAAGCCTTCTCAGGGCTATTTCATTTTGTGAATAGCTCTATCTTGAGAGGTGGGAGGGTAGAGAATGAAGGCTCCTATCTTCTACTCTGTCGCCTTGGTGATGTCACTCCTCTTCCTAAGTTTTGAAGGACAATTCTGCCATGTATCTAATTCTAGTTGACTGTTCTTTCTTTCAGCATTTTAATATATCCCTCTTCCTTCTGGACTACAAGATTTATACTGAGAAATACACTGAAAATCTTATTAAGAATCCCTTTTATGTAATGAGTTGCTTTTCCCTTGCTCCTTTCAAGATGTTCTATGTCTTTGGCTTTTGACAATTTGATTAGAATGTATCTTGTGTGGGTCCCTTTGGCTTTATCCTACTTGGAGTTCATTGAGTTTCTTGTGTTTGTAGAGCCATATCTTTCATCAAATTTGGGGAGATTTTAAGACATTATTTCTTTAAATAATTTCTTCCCCTTTCTTTTTGTCTTCTTCTGAAACTCTCATAATGTATACATTGAGCTTCTCGATGACAACCCGTAACTTCCTTAAGTACTGTTTACTTTTCTTAACTCCTTTTCTCTTTTTGCTCCTCAGAACCAATAATTTTAAATTTCCTGTCTTCAATTACATTATTCTTTTTTCTTCTATCTATTTGATTCTGCTGTTGAATTCCTCTAGTGGATTTTTCAGCTCAGTTATTGTACTTTTTTGTTTGAGAATATCTGTTTAGTTCTTTTAAATAATTTATATGTCTTTGTCAATATTCTTATTTTGTTTATATATTATTTTACTGAATTCCCCTAGTTATTTTTACATTGTGCATTATCCCTTCAAGTATAATTAAGACAATTGTTTTAAAATCTTTGTCTAGTAAATCCAATGCCTATGTTTCTTTATGGACTATTTACACCACACTACTTTCTTTTGTTGAATGGGCTCTGTTTGCCTGTTTCTGTGCATGCCTTGTGATTTGTTATTGTTGTATTGAAAATTGTACGTTTGAAAAAAATTACCACCTCTAAGGTTTATTCTAGGATATTAGGTCATGTCTTGAGTCTTGGTACCAGGCTGGAGGGAAAGCCTAAGGTCTTTTCAGGTCTTTTCTGGTTATGCATCTTTTTTTTAATCCCTGTGTGGATTTTTCAATTTTCCTATATATATGAATGCTTTCAAATGTCTTAATTTCTCAGGAGTATCACTTCATCTTCTCCTTGGAGCCTAAAATGTTCTATTGTATTCCTCTACCTGTAATCTCTTGCCTCAGACATGTGGGTCTGTAGTACAGTTCACATAAGCTGTGGTTGCTGTTTTTATGACTTTCCTTGCCTGAGATCCAAGATATGCTGTTTTTTTTTCCCATCTGAGCTCTGAGTCTTGGCTCAGGAGAAAGACACATGAGGTCCTGAGGCAGTTCCCAGACAGAGCAGAATATTGCTAATGTGTCCTGTGACCTCTGGTTTGAGGGAGGGAATTTGGAACTGAATTGTTGCTTCCTTCTGACCAAACTGCCATGTGCCAGAAATGGCATGGAACAAGGGTAAGTAAAAATGCCAGCCAGGCAGGGTGGCTCATGCCTGCAATCCCGGCACTTTGGGAGGCCAAGATGGGGACACTGCTTGAGGCCAAGAGTTTGAAACAAGCCTGAGAAACATAGCAAGGCCCCCTTTAGACAAAAATAAGCAAAAAGTAGATGGGCATTGTGATGCATGCCTGTAGTCTGAGCTCCTCAGGAGGCAGAAACAGAGAATTACTTGAGCCCAGGAGTTTGAAGATGCAGTGAGCTATAATTGTGCCACTTCACTCCAGCCTAGGTGACAGAGTGAGTCCCCGTCTTTCTAAAAAACAAAAAGCCACAAAATGGTTCTGTTGTCTTGAATGTGGCTTTTTTATAATCAGGCATTTTTTTATTGCTGCTGATCTTTGACTATTTTCTAGAGCTTCAATAGAGATTTTAGTGAGTCTTTTTTTCGTTTGTTTTTTAATGTTTCAATGTGGGGGACTAAAGGCCTGGAGCTTCCTAGTCAGTTATCTTGCTGAAATCACACCCTTCTACCTAATTTTTTAAATACTTATTCTCAGATTTTATTTTAAATATAAATGTGTAGTTTACAGTTGATAAATTTAAAAGTATGAAGTATCAGTAAAGATAGATGATAAAATACTACAAATAGAAAGAAGACATGGCAATATGAATAAATAAAGTATAAAAAAGGTGAAAATTGTGTTCTCTAATTTGTAGTTTTTTGAAGGAAGAGCACCTGTGTGTGTGTGTGTGCGTGCGCATGTGCATGTGTGCTTAAGAGAAAGAGAGAGAGATTTAGAGTGTATTATTTAGAGAAAATGTGCTGTTTGATGCTCTGGATACATTTTTCCCAGAGGTCAGCCCCACTACAGATTTTACATTGTTTGTTCACATGAGTTAATAAATTCCACATTCTTGCTTAATGTAGCTGTGTTAGTCCCTTTTGTGTTGCTATAAAGGAATACCTGAGACGTGGTTATTTATAAAGAAAAGTAGTTTATTTTGGCTCATGGTTCTGCAGGTTGTACAAGCATGACGCCTGCATCTGCTTTGCTTCTGGTGGGGACTCAGGAAGCTTTTACTCATGGTGGAAGGTGAAGGAGGGGCCAGTGTATCACATAGTGAGAGAGGAAGTAAGAGAGAGAAGGAGGTGCCAGGCTCTTTTAAACAACCTCTCACATGGACTAATATAGAGGGAAATTGTTCATCACCAAGGGGATGGCACCAAGCCTTTCACAGAGGATCTGCTCCTATGACCCAAATATCTCCCCCCTAGGCCCCACCTCCAACATTGGGGACCACATCCAAACCATAACACTAACTTAAATTGGTATGCAACTAGAGTCCTGACTAAGTACACAAATTATAAACTGCCTAAGATAAATCTAACAACATTTGTGTAAGTTCTATATAAAGAAAACAGCTTTTCTTAAACACATGTAAGTGAGCTTGAATAATTGAGATACAAAATATGTTCCTGGATGGAAGATGCCAATTATTCCTAAATCTATCTATAAATTCAATGCAACACCTCTCAAAATACTAAAAGAAGTGTATTTTTATCATGTTTCACTAGAAAAAAGTAATTTGATATCTTAAAATATGTTGCAGTCTGTAGTTAATTGTGTTGTTTACCACATTTCTTATACATTTGAGATTTTAGAAAATGTTATGATAAAAATCATACATAACTCAACATCATTATATTTACCAAGTGACAGACCGCATAAGAATCTTTGAATTCATTTTGTAGTATGATTTCATTGACTCATACTTTTCTACCTATGAGTATATAGAAGACAGTGTCTTCAAAGTTTGTTTTTCTTGATAGTAAGCAATATCTATGTGTTTTTCACCTATTGCATTTTGTTTGAATTTCTATATGAACAGTGATTATTTTAATTTGTATATATTTGCATCTTTATTTTCATAGGGTACAATATTGTTACTGAGACTTAGGATATTCCAAACATGAATAGAAATTGGACCTTTATAATTTTGATCCAGCCAAAGAATACCCTATTCATGTTGTATTTTCCTTCTATTAGAAAAATTCAGTTGGATAGAAAATAGACCTGATCCTTACTTCATATCTGTGGCACTTCTCAGTATGGAATCCATCTGCCAGAGGACACAATTCATGGTCACCCTTTTGTATGAGAGCTGCTTGGTTGCTTCTGAGCAGCATGGTGTCCCTGGTAAGAACTTTATCAATCAAGGTTCTCAAGCTTCAGGGGTCCTTGCGTGGCTGAGTCTGTAATTCCAGACTTTCAAGAGGATATGTAGAGCTTATGATCAGAATCAACTTTTCCATCTTAGATAAATTACATAATATATTTGAAAGAACACCATGGGGAGTAAAGCAAAATAGCATTCCTTCTTGGCCTGCATCTGTTGTTATTTTTGGATCACTGGTGACAGTTTTATTGATTACGCATTTTTAAAATAGCCTGTGGAATTATAATGATAGAAAGAACTCCTTGAGAAGAGATCAACATATATTCTAAACCTGGGTTTCCAATTTGTTGGCTTTCCTGTTATACTAGTAGAAGTGGGATGACGAATATGTAGGTCTTTTTTGGGGGATTTTCTGTGAATGTAGTTAGGCCTCATCCTCATTTGCTTATAACGTGTAATAACGCTCATCCCAATTCTTTTGTTCTTTGTCTTCATGTCACTCCCCTCGTGTAAGGAAAATGTCTTACAGCTTCTCACCAGAAGCTTGTTATCATAATACCTGTTAAAGCATAGGATTCAGATAGAGTAGAGACCCAGGGATTAATATTACCGACAAGTTAGTGCTAAAATAAACACACAGATGCAGTCCACATATTATTTTATACAATCTTCTCTTGTTATTTTTATTTTTATTGTACCCGACCAATGTACCTAACCTTCTTTTACAATTATTTTTACCTATTCATTGTATAAATTGAGACAACTATCTTAGAATATGAAACTGTTAAGGATCAGGAGCAAACTGAGTTAAAAGCCTGGTAGGCTACTATGGAGCCTAGTATGTACTGTGGTATCATGCTAATTCTACAGCTTTTTACTTACTGATTTGTGTGTACCTAATTTTTTGTGCTATATCATGTAATAATAAATAATTGAATAATACTCCCTGGCATGTCTATACATTTTAGACAAGCATAGAATTGTTTTTCTTCAATTTTTTTTTTAGTTTAGTTGCACTTTCCATCCACATTTGGTTGTTTAGGAAACTGAATTTTGCTTTAGCACAATGCTTAGCTTGAAACTCTGCCAATTTCTTGCTCTTCCACAGTTTATGATGTATTCAAACTAGAGGTTAGGTATTCATCTATCACTTTTGTCAGACCAATCTGAGAATCTGCCTTTTTTTGATAAGACGGATTGCTAATTTAATGTTGATTACAGCCCCCGCAACCTCCAATCACAGTTCTATCTACTCCATTTCCAACACTGCTGTCAGAATTAGTCATACTGTAAAATAGCAGCATTTAGCTTTTGAAGTTTTTGAAGCAAAGTAATTAAATTGGACCGTTTACCTTTGCCCAGTCCGGATTTTTTTCCAGCAGTTTTGGATGTTTTTGATGCCATAGTTTTGCTGTTGCTCTAGATGTAGCGCTCTTTCTTTTGCAAGCTGACAACCAGACTCTTTGATGATATAGCACTTTCATAAAAACAAATTATTCAACCTGTGTTGCCTTATGCAATGCCTGCAGTCAATATTTACTTGAATGACTTTTAAGAGTTACTGTGTCTTCATGAAACTGATATTGCACAAAACCTGGCTTGATGGTGGAACAACTACTGAGATTGGTTACAGGCAAGCGTTGTTTCCGGCTCTAGCATTGTTCTCTACACAACTATCTAACTGCTGGGCTGAGTTGATTATCACCCTCAAAGATCAGCAAAAGTAACATTTTCTCTTCACAAGTACCAAAATACAGTGAATTACTCACAGCTGCAACAGGACAAAACATAGTAACAACAAAAGCATGCACATGTTATTTATTGATCTCTTCTTTTGCTTGGGCTCTTGCCTCAGCTCAGATGCTCAAGGATTTATCTATGTTCTTTTCTTATACCTGGTGCCAAGTACAGGGCTGTGTTGTGGATCATAAATATCAGTGAGTGGTGAAGAGTACAGTTAATCGTTGGAGATACATGTGTGAAAGCACAATACATATAGTGAAATGGGAAAAGTTCCCTTGTCCCCCTCCCAGGTCATGTGATGGGGGTGTGGAAGACTTCTTCAGTGCCCCACTGCTCAAACCTCTAGGGGAGCATACAGATGGGCAGGCTGTGGGTCTCTGACCCCAGGCAGTGTCTACGGGTGAATGTTTAAAGCTCTTGAAGCCCCAGTGGGCATTTGTTACAGGGGTGCTTCTTTAGCTTGTCATCTAAAGGCGGCTTGTGTTAGCTCAGTTAGACCCTCTACCTTGTTGTAAGGACAGAGGGCTTTTTGTATCCTGGGTTTCTTGCCTTGGTGTACCGGGAAGATTCGAAAACACGTGGGCTTGGAGAATGAGTGCAAGGTTTTATTGAGTGGAAGTAGCTTTCAGCAGATGGTGGAGCCAGAAGGGAGATGGATTTCCCCTGGAGTTGGGCCGCCTGGTGGCCCAGGCTCTTCTCCGACTGCCCCAGCCAAACTCCGCATCTTTCTGCTGGTCAGTGGCCTGCCAGCATGCTGGCTCCTGTCGGAGCGTTTGTCGTGGGAGCATTCCTCTCCACGTCCAGCCATCTGTGTGTTCCTCTGCTGATGTGCTCCTCTCCATGTTCAGTTGCCTCTATCTCCGCCTTGCTAAGGTCTCCGGTTTTTATAGGCACAGGATGGAGGTGTGGCAGGCCAGGGTGGTCTTGCGAAATGCAACAAAAATGCCTGTCCTCACCTAGGTCCGTGGGGGTGGAGCCCTAGCCAGGGACCACGCCCTCCTCTACCAGCACTCCCATATCAATAGCAGTAAGTCAGGTGTGTCTTTAGCCAATTATACTAATTATCTTGGGCTAAATCTAAAAGAAGTCAGGCAAGATTTGCAAAAAACATGAAGATTTCTTCCTTTTTTTGAGTTTTTTGAAAACTTTAAATTACAATTATTGTTTTCATTTCCTGGTATAGAAAATGAAGCTCAGGCAGTTTCAGAATTATATAATGTGTCTCTATTCAATTACTCCTGCATAGTCAACCATTCTAATTAATGTGTTTTTTTATTCTTACAAAATGCGCATTTTTTATGTGTACATGTATTTGAAGTTTAAGTATATGATATTGCATTATATATCTCATTTTTTCTTACTATTCCTACCCAGAATTATGTTTATGTGTACATCTAATCCTTTATTTCCACATAGTATACAATACTCCAGTGTGTTTTTCCACAATTTTACACTAGCTCTGATGACGTCCCTTATTTCTCCAGCTTTCTGCCATCAAAAACAATGTATGTCATCTTAAGGACATATGGCATAATTTCCTAGGAATAATACTCAGGAATAGAATTGATGGATCACTGGGACACATCATTTATGATTACTTAAGGCACAGACACAAATTATTCCTTAAAGGTTTTGTCAAAAATCTGCTTCTAGAAGAGTTTGTCTTTCTTTGATTGGATATGTGATAAAGGAAGTAGCATTTCCATTTAAAAATAATTGTTCATTTACATTTTCTATTTCTTTTGGAGTTGTTTTATTTATTTCCTTTCGCCAGCACATCAGGCTCCAATTTTCTCCTCCTTTTTGCCAACACAAGCAGCCTTTTTCATTTGGATGTGTTCTTACAAAATGATTAGTGTTGTTGTATACATATTTTCAATTTACCTATGTGGTTTTTTATCTCTTTTTAACATTTTTTTACTAAGCAGTGTGCATTTAATATTAATATCTGTTTATGTTGCTATGTATACATCTAATTTGTTGCTTCTAAATGCAGTATCATAGTTTATGGTGGGCATCCATCTCACTTTACCTATCTACCCACCCAATAATGGATACTTAGTTGCATCAGGCTTGCCACCACCACAAATAATATAGCAAATTATATACTAGTATATGTCCTTTTATAAATCTAGGTGAGAATTTCTTTGTGTTATATATACAGGAGTATAATTGCTGAATCATAGCATATACACATAGTGCTAGATTATTTTCTAGAATATTGTACCAGTGTACTCTCACACTAGCAGTAATTGAGCATTTCTGTATTACCACATTTCTGCAAATGTTTACATTTATCCAGCTTTCTACTTGTTTTCAATTTAATACATGTTAAGTGATACATCAGTTTTAATTGGGATTTCTCTGATTATTGATGTTAGAACATTACCTTGTACATTTGTTAGCTTTTTAAGTTTTCATCCTCCCCATGTTTATATTATTTGCATAGTTTTTCTACTTTTATTCCTGTCTTCTTATGATTGAACTGTAGGACAATCATGTATACTGTAGATATTAATCCCTTGTTAGCATTAGGCATTGCAAATAAATCCTCCTGTCATCTAACTATAAACTTTTTCCATAGTATCTTACACTAAACAGAAATCCTAAATTTTTGATGTCATCCAATTTATAAATTTAGCTTTATTGTATGTGCTTTGGATTTTTTTTTTTGTGAAAGATCTTCCCCAGATTTAGAATACAAAAATTGTATCCTACATTGTTTTATTAATTTTGCACTTTTTGATTTTATAGATAGACCTCCAGTGAATCTGGAGTCCATCACTTTAAGTGTAGTCTGAAGAGATACAGGATTTTCTATTTATAGTAAGATAGATTTTCTCACGTAATCTCAAATACCATTTTTTCTTTTGATTTTAGGTATCAATTTTGTCATATATTTTCTTATACACATGTGAATCTATTTGTCTCTGAGTTTCTCATTTGGTCCATTGGAGTATTTGTTAAATATGTGTTCTTGTACCAATACCACACTGTGTTTGTTACTATGATTATGTAGTCTGTTTTGTTTAAATATATCAGAAAGCAAGAATTCTGTTTTTCTTTTTTTTTGTGGAGACAGGGTCTCCTATGTCACCTCAGACTGGAGTGCAGTGGCTATTCATAGGTGCGAATGCAGTGCACTGCATCCTCAAACCCCTGGCCTCAAGTGACCCTCCTGCCTGCCTCAGCCTCCTGCGTAGCTGGGAATAAAGGCATGCACCACCATGCCCAGTTTATTTTCTCCTTTTTAATATTGACTTAGCTACTTATAAATCTTTATGTTTCCCTAAACATCTCAGAGTAACTTTATTGTTATTAAAACACAACTGCAATTTTTATTTAGACTCTACTTTATACATTTAGTGAGAATTGACTTCTTTTTAATATTGAACTATCTCCTCCAAGAGCATGTTTATGTTTTTCTCTCTATTTAGATTATCTTAGGGCTTGTATATTCTTGTCTAAGTCCTAGATTTTTTATAAATTTTACTACCAATGTGAATTATATGTCTGAATACATTTACTAATTCATTAGTGCTAAAATGCTATAAAATGTGATATTAAAAAATTTTTAATTATTTTTAAAATTTTTTGTGGGTACATAGTAGGTGTATATATTTATGGGGTACATGAGATGCTTTAATACAGGGAATAATGTGAAATAAGTACATCATGGAGAGTGATGTTTATATTTGTTTGTATGTTATATCATTTTCTAAGAAGCATACATTAAAATCTTCAACTACAATTGTTGCTATATCTATTTCTTGAAACTGCTGTTTCAAAGCCTCCTAACTTCTCAACCAATATACAAGTATAACTTGACTGTTGGTTCACCTCTGTTGGCACTAACAGAGTAATTCTCGAAATTTTGTAATGCTTTCCTGACAACATTTTTTTCTTATTTTTTTGAGACATGGTCCTGCTCTGTCACCCAGGCTTGAGTGCAGTGGTGTGATCTGGCTCACTGCAACATCTGCCCCCCAGGAGTCAAGCGATCCTCCCACCTCAGCCTCCCAAGTAGCTGGGACTAGAGGTGCACGCCACTATGCCAGGGTAATTTTTGTATTTTTTGTGGAGACGGACTTTCGCCATGTTGCCCAGGCTGGTCTCAAACTCCTGGACTCAAGCGATCCACCCGCCTTGGCCTCCCAAAGTGCGGGGATTACAGGCATGAACCATCGCACCCAGCCTAACAACGTCTTTTAATCTTTTATTTTGAACTTGTAAACTTACAGAAAAGTTGCAAAAATAATACAGCGCTCCTATATAACATTTTACCCAACTTCTCCCAATGTTATTGTTACATAATCTTAGTATAATTATCAAAATCAGGAAATTGACATTAGTAAAAGATTATTTACTAAATACAGACATTACTTCAAAATTCACAAGTTTTTCCATTAGTGCACTTTTTCTCTTTCATAATCTTGCTCAGGATCCTGCATTGAATTTACTTACTATTTCTGCTTTGTCTTTTCCAATCAGCGACAGTTTATCAATCATCTTTCCTTTTCTTTCATTACCTTGACACTTTTGAGAAGCATTGGTCAGTTATTCAGATAGAATGTCCCTCAATTTAAACATTTTCTGATATTTTCCCATAACTAGATTAAGATTATGGGGTTTTTCCCAAACATATCACAAGATGGTGTTGTGACCTCAGTGTGTCATATTAAGCAGCTCATGATGTCAATAGTCTTATTATTGTTGTTGAACTTGATCACTTGGTTAAGTTGGATTTTGCTGAGTTTCCCCGTTGTAAAGTTACTATTTTCTCCCTTGCAATTAATAAATGTCTGAGGGAGACACAATGAGACTATGCAAATATCCTATTTCTCCTCAGACTTTTCTCACACTGATTTTCACATCCATTTAGGGAACTTGCCTGCAGATGTTACTATTTCAGTGTTTGCCTAATGATGACTTTTTGTTGACCTTATTCCTTTTATGCTTGTTAATTGGAATTGTTTTGCAAGAAATAATTACCTTATTATTTATTTATTTATTCTGTTATTTACATTAGTATCAACTCCTGAATACTTATTTTATTCTATGGGCTGACATTTAACACAACCATTGTTTATTTTCTTGCTCAATTTTGTTTCAGCTTCCACCTTTAGGATTTCCTTCAATTTGGCCCTTGCGTCCTTTTGACAAATCCCCATTTTTTTTTTTTTTTTTTTTTTTTTTTGGTCACTTTCTTATTTTCTGGCACCATAGGATTTTCCAGGATCATCATGGTTTTCCTTGTCCCAGCTTTAGGTTTAATACATCTCCAAGGAGAAAATTTTGCTTATTTCTGGTATAAACAAAAAGTAATTTCTGAATTGCTAACCCAAACCCCTGTGTGAAACATATTTATTAACTAGATTACAGCATTTATGACATTCTTTATGTCCTTTTTTTTGGGATTCTGAAAAAACAGTATCTGGTCAGGATAGTTTTCCAGATTGGTTCTTACATTAGTTCCTTTCTCCCTCACCACTAGTGTGGTTAACTTATTTATTTTTGATAGAGGTAGGTTGGGGTTTTTTAAAACTGTCTATATTCCATTTTGGTTTATTTTCATACTTTGGTTTTAATTACTTGCTTATTAATATTTTAAGTTTATGTTACACATTAATATAATTCTGAGTCTGAGATATAAAACAGTTATAGTCAGAGAAATGTCACATCCTTCTCATCATTATTCCCCTGTATCCTTCCTCCTTTTATTACGATCTCTTCCTCTTTTTCACATAACCCCAGGCTGAGGCTGTAATCCATCTCTTTACTGTTCATTTTTAACCATTCCTGTGTTTCTTTTGCACCAATACTCAGGGATGTGCGTATCTTCTGATATGCAATTCTTTCTTACATGAAGGGTGGCATACTAAAGACTTTTTTTGTGCTTTGCTTTTTTCATTTACCACTGTTTATTGTTATGACTCATATACCTGGTTTTGATGCCATCCTATTTATTTTTATTTGTAATATATGGTTTTCATTATATTTGCTCTGCTCTTTCTCTATAAGATATGTACTGTATGTTTATGTGTGTGTACATTTCATATTGAGAAAGATTTGTTTTCTAGTGGCTGCCTTTATTCTTTTATCTTTGTATGTTTTCACTAATAAAATTTTTATTTTGGAAACATTGTGTATTTACAGAAAAGATGCAAATATAACATTGAAAATTCTAAAATCCTCACCCAATTTCACCTAATGCTAACATCTTACATGCTGACATTTCTAAAGATTTGTCAAAACTAAGAGACCAACATTGGTACATAATTGCCTAAACTCCAAACTTTATGAGAATTTCACTTTTTTTGTGTTTGTTTGTTTGGAGACAGTCTCGCTCTGTTGCGTAGGCTAGAGTGCAGTGGCACAATCTTGCCTCACCACAACCTCTGCCTCTGGGGTTCAAGCAATTCTCCTGCCTCAGCCTCCTGAGTAGCTGGGACTACAGGCAAGCACCAGCATGTCTGGCTACTTTTTGTATTTTTAGTAGAGATGGGGTTTCACTATGTTGGCCAGGCTAGTTTTGAACTCCTGACCTCATGATCCGCCCGCCTCGGCCTCCCAAAGTGCTGAGATTACAGGTGTGAGCCACCGTGCCTGGCTGAGAATTTCACCATTTTTTATACTAATGCCCTTTTGTTCTTTTAGGATCTAATCCAGCCAGGGGCCCACCTTGCATTTAGTCATCATGTCTCCTCAGTCTACTATATGCTGTAATAATGTCTCAGTTTTTTCTTGTTTTTTATGACCCTGACAGTTTTGGAGAGTACTATAAAATACCTTGTAGAATGTCCCTCAGTTTAAGTTTCTTTGCTGTTTTTTTCACTATGAGATGAGGACTATGGGTTCTTGAAAGGAATACCACAGAAGCAAAGTTAACTTCTCATCATATCATGTCAGGGAAAAATGATGTCAACATAACATTGTTGGTTATGTAATATAAACATAAATATTTTCGTATATAATATGTTACTTATTTCATTGTTCTAGTTTTGCTATTGAAAGTTCTTTCCGATTGACTCTTGTGTCTCTTTGGCATGCTCTCATCCTGTTTCTTGAGCACAATCATGCTTTCTGGTATAACAAGATGCTCCAAGCTCATTTTGCCTTTCACCTTCTCCAGTCTTAAAATCAGTCATTTTTCCATAGAGCTATGGTTTCTTTCACTAAAGAGAAAGAGCAGTCCTTAGAAACCAAAATCTCGCCACAGAGTGTGCTTTGCTACTGAGTTGTCATCGTGGCTAGGTCCTCTTAACAAACAGAACTAGGAAACATTTGTATGTATAGTAACCGATGCGTATATCTTCTAAAAAATATGCTTAGTCCCCTGTTTTTTAAACTAAGCTTTTATTTTTATTATCTGGTTTAGTATCTTTTGTGTGTTTTGTTTTGTTTTTCCTTAATGTTATTTGAAACCCATCTTTACAACTATCAGCATTTTCTATTTTTTCTTTTTTCTTCTCCCTTTTCTTTACTTTTTAAAGATGCATTATTTTTATTTTGTGGCAATATATAACATTTGTAAATTAGATTTCTACCTTCACCTCCACTTAGGTTTTAGTCTTTTTTTTGTTTTTGTTTTTGTTTTTACAGAGTCACTCTGTCACCCAGGCTGGAGTGCAGTGGCATGATCTTGGCTCACTGCACCCTCCACCTCCCGGGTTCGAGCGATTCTCAGCCTCCTGAGTAGCTGGGATTACAGATGTGTGCCACCACGCCCAGCTAATAGTTGTATTTTTAGTAGAGATGGGGTTTTACCATATTGGCCATGCTGGTCTTGAACTCCAGACCTCGTGATCCACTCGCCTTGGCCTCCCAAAGTGCTGGGATTACAGGTGTGAGCCACTGCGCCTGGCCGGTTTTAGTCTTATGTGTACATTTCTGTTTTGAAATGGTCAGCATTAGTCTTTTTGCAGAATTACCTCTGTCCTCACTTGTATACTATTCATCCTCCAGCAAATTCCTCAAGAAAGGATAATGGGTGATTATTTCATTAAGTTCTTTTATGTTAAAACTTTTATTTTAATACCATTGATATTTAAAGGACACCTTGGGTGGATATAATATTGGTTCATACTTTTTGTTCAATAGTCTAATATTTTAAGTCAACTTTCCATTTTATAGTAGTTTTAGATTTACAGCAAAATTGCAAAGATAGTAAAGTGTTCCTGTAGACCCCAAACCCAGTTTCCTTTGTTATTATATCTTTTAGTAGCCTGGCATATTTGTCATGTTAATACTCCCATACTGATGCATTATTGTTAATCCGCCTCCTGGGTTCAAGTAATTCTCCTGCCTCAGTCTACCAAGCAGCTGGGGCTGTAGGTGCATGCCACCATGCCTGGCTAGTTTTTATAGTTTTAGTAGAGATGGGGTTCCACCATGTTGGCCATGCTGGTCTTGAACTCCTGACCTCAAATGATCCGCCTGCCTCAGCCTCCCAAACTGCTGGGATTCCAGGCATAAGCCGCCATACCCAGCCAAAAGGCATTTTCTTAATAAGTGAAATAAAAATTGCATTTTCCGAGGCAGGGGTCCCTCCCTCTGACTCACTGGTTAAGTCAAGGAAAGGCAGAAATTCAAAGGAGGCCTCATTTATCCGGAGGACTAATCTGTTTGACAGCTTTACTAAGAAAAAAGGGTATTATGACCCTGTGATTAGGACTCCTTCGTAAATTTTGTCAAGAGTCATAATTTAGAGATTAAGAAGAAGTTCTTATTTTATTTAGATTTCTTTAGTTTATATTTAATACCCTTTCTGTGTTCCAGGATCACATCCAGGGTGTCATATTACATTTAGTTGTCATGTTTCCTTAGGCTCCTCTTGGTTGTGATAGTTTCTCAAACTTCCCTCATTTTTGAGGACTGTGACATCTGGTCTTTTGATGAGGACTACTGGTCAGGGATTTTGTAGAATGTCAGTTGCGATGTGTCTGATGTTTATCTCATGATTAGATGGAGGTTATTGGTTTTTGGTAGGAAGATCACAGAGATAAAATGCCATTCTCATCACATCATATTAATGGTATATACTAACAATATGACTTATAACTCTTGATATTAACCTCAGCCTCCTAGCTGTTAGTTTTTGTCATGTTTTTCTACTGTAATATTACTCTCTTTTTCCTTTTTAAAAAAAGGAAAAAAAGTTACTATGTGCTGCTCACACACAGGAGCAGGGAATTATGGTCCACATCCTTGAGGGTGAAATAGCTACATTAATTATTCAGAATTCTTTTGCACAGGATATTTATCTCTTATCTTACATTTATTTATCCAAACATTTATTTATATCAGTATGGACTCATGGATATTTACTTTGCACGTTGCATTATAATCTAATATGGCTTCATTTATGTTGTTGCTCAAGTTATTTTGGATTTAACCACATTGATCTTTTTCAGTTGGCTCCTGTGTCCATTTGCATATCCTCATCAATGTGTGAGGGTGTGTGTGTGTGTGTGTGTGTGTGTGCACATACATGTGTGTTTGCGCGATTCTTTACTTTCTGGCACCAAAAGATTCTGCAGGTTCATATTGTACATTTTATATCCCAGCCCTACAATAAAACATTTTTCCAAGGGCCCTGCTTTCTTTTACTGGAGAATGTTACTAGACACCAATTTCTGCGTGCTAGATATACTCACTGCTATTGGGTATCATTGCTTCTAGGCCCTCTTAGTGGACAGATCAAGAATATGTATATTTTTTATATTAATTCATGCATATATGTATACTTATAAAGATTTCTACATGTAATTGCCTGGATCTATATTAAGCTAGGTATGACTGCACAATGATGTCTCCAACTCTAATCCATTACCACATACATAATTCTAGCCTTCTCCCTTTGCTGATCTGTAACCAACAAAGAGAAATTTGGTTCCTACCATCTGCCATTTATTCACTGATGTTAAATTCCAGTGTACATGAATGTAGTTTCAGAATTGTTAACCTATTTCCCCATGAGACAACTTTATTAACTAGACTACAGTGCCTTTGTACAATTTCTTGTCTTCAGTTTTATTGACTCCACTCATTTGCAAAGTTACCTAGACTAGCACTCTACCCTGCTCCTTCAGTGAAGTTGTATCATACAGTTGTAATAAATTTAGATTATAGTCTCATAGTCTGCATTCCATCCTGGAATTCCCCAATCTTTTAAATAATTTTTAAAATTTTATACATTACAGTTTAATATTTGTGCTGTAAAGTTCTGAGTTTTGAAAAAGGCATACTATCATTCATCCACTATTAAAGTTCCATATATAATAGTTTAAATGCCTACAAAATGCCTGTGATTCACTTATTTAACCCTCCCCACACTGAACCCATGGCAAGCACTGGTTCGTTTACCACCTCTGGAATATAGCTTTTCCCCAAATGTCATATAAATGGAATTATATAGTATGTAACATTTTCACATTGTCTTCTTTTACTTCGCAATGTGCACTTAAGATTCATCCATGTTTCTGTGTATTGTGTACCTTGATAGATCCTTTCTTTTTATTGCTGAATAGTAGTTCATCATCTAGACATACCAAATCATTTACCAATTAACCTACTGAAGGATATCTTGGTTGACGCCAGTTTTTGGAGATTTTTAATATATTTGCTATAAGCATTTGTGTGAAGGTTTTTATGTAGACATATGTTTTCAAATAAGCTGGGTAAATATCTAGGAGCATGATTTGCTGGCTTGTATGGTAAAACTGTGTTTAGCTTTGTCAGAAATTTCTATACTGTTATTTAAAGCAGCTGTATCATTCAATTTTGCATTCCTAACAGCAAATAGTGAGATTTCCTTATTTGGTTTTGTTTTCTTGGGGGTTTTTTTTAGTTTAATTTTTTTTCACATCCTTAAGTACTTTAGTATATTAATTCTTTGGAGTGTAGACTTACAGTTTTATTCTGCTTCAAAGTTATTTTTCAGAGTTGGTCTTCAGTTGATATGAATAAAATGTAATTTTCTGATATCATAAGTGTTTTTCTATGAACATTACTTTCCTCCTGTTCATTTTTATGGCATTGGAGTAACTTATAGGAGTCCAAGTTTAATGGTGCCTTTACTGTCAATTTATCAAAGTCCAGGTTTTTTGGTGGTGTTTCATTTTATTGGGTTTGTTTCCTTTATTTTGGTTGTAAGGGAAGAGTTACAAATTTTTGACTTTATATTTAACTTTTATTTTGCAGGACTTTAAATTTTCTATTTTTTCTACTTTCTCCCTTCACTATCCAATTCCCATAGACTGCCTCCTCCTCCTTTCAGCCTTTATTCTCCTTCAGAAACTAAAGGCTTGTAAAATTGTCCCTTTAAATTTCATATAGCCCTATAAATTCTTTCTGGACCTTTAAATCAAGCTTATTTGGAAATTCCTTACCCGTAGTCCTGAAGCAGGAGATGTTAAACCAAATAAACAAGTTTTTTACTAGGGTAACTCACTCCAAGGTCCACCGATATACAGCAGAGCTCTGGCAGGGCTTTGATAACACTATCTGCAGAGCTGGTGCCCTCAAGAGATGGACTCCAGAGCCCCCTCCCTCCCATTTCAGCATAGGGATGAGAAAACAAGTTTTTCTCCTCTCCCAACTTCCCCCTCCCTTTTACCAATCCTCCCTTAGTAAAATTCATAATTATTCTGCAAGGTTTTGTACGTTCCTGTTTTTCCTTCTGTGCAGCAAGGTCACAAGATATGCTTAAGTTACGAAACCTGTCACTATTTGATTAACTGCCTTTGTTCTGCTTCTGTAAGCCTGCTTGTCCGGCCTCACAGGTTTCATGCCCTCAGTTTCGTGCCACACTATTCAAACCATCCAATCCCCTTTCAGATGTATGTATAAAAGTCAAGCCCTGTCTTTGTTTGGGGCTCAGCCTTTGGATGCTAATCTGCTGAGCTGGTGTGCACCTTAATAAATTCCTCCTGTTCTACCCATTGGTCTCTCTGGTCCCTTAATTCCTGCAACATTTCATACTCTGATCTGCCTGGACACTTTCCCACTATATTTAGATTTAGGGTTGGTTTAATCTTTTGGGTACACATTGCAAATCACCCTTGGTCCCCTTTGTTAGCCTCAGTCTTCTTCAGTTTTCCTCAGGTTGTAGTTGCTCATCACAAAACTCTGGAGCAGGGCAGAGGTTAGGGGCATGAATGTTAGAAATTCTGTGCTCTCAGTTATTTGCTCCAGCATTTGTTGTATTGAAATAATGCTGAGGTGTGGTTTTTGTGTAAAATGTTTATAGTTTTAAAATTATTTCACATAGTTTGGAAAGGAAATTTTGAGAATTGATAACTACACGTTCTTTTCAGCTATCCAGAAGTTCCAGCTTTCTTTCTTTAATATTCATTACAGAATACTGCATTTTTTCAGAGATAATTATAAGATAAAGGGAGTATTTTGGTAGTTGTGAGTACAAGCTTTGGATTCAAACCTGAGTTGTAGTTTTGGCTTTTCAACTTTTCTTGGGCAAATTGTTTAACCTGTTTCAATCTCAGTGTATTTGTCCAAATATGGATAGAGTAAAATGTTTTTTATAATGTTATTGTGAAGATTAAATTAGAAAACAATATGAGAAGTGCCAAATGTATCAAATCTCAATAGCAAAGCATCAGTATAACACAACGATTATAGTGGGTTTGCATTTCTTCTATTTTGGGATTGTTTCTGTATTAAAAAATTCACTCACAAGCTCCATTTGGTAAATTCAGTCATCAGTAAAATATGCTAGAGTCCAACCTGCATGTTGCATTGTAGACAGAAAACACTATAGACTTGTAGCCCATAAAAACTTGGCATTTAAATTTAATTTTATAGACTAAAAATACAAAATAATAGTAATAATCTTATATTGCCATGAGAAGTAAAATGTGGCAAAGTGAAACTTTTTCTAGTAGATGCTTAACTGGAAAAATATGAATAGATTATTGAGATAAACCATTTATTATTAATTTTCATTCTATGCCTTTGCAATTAACATTTACAGAAAAATTGATCAAGAGAAAATATTAGAACCTCTTATTTGATTAATGTTCTGGGAATGAAATGCTATAATTTTTACAAAGTGCTCATTAACTCATTTCCTGTGCATAGATACATTTATTCCTACATTTTTTTCCTCTAGATTACTTGAAATTATCATCATTTTGCTCAACTGCTTTTATTTATTCTTTTACTTATGTAGTAAGGAAATAAGGAAGAAATATTCTAGTTCTACAATTTTGCTTTTGATTCACTAGTATTTTATCCATTAAAATATTTGTCATCACAAATCCAATATTTTAATTAATATAGCAGAATTTTAAATTTATCTATTGTTGGTTTCATGAATATTTACTTTGGGCAAAATTGATAATGTAGGTCAGTTAGATTGTTTATAGATAGAAAACTAGATGAAGAAAAAATTTAAAACCAGCTTTTTTTTTTTTTTTTTTGGTGGAGTCTTGCTCTGTCACCCAGGCTGGAAATGCAGTGGCACATCTTGGCTCACTGCAACCTCTGCCTCCCAGGTTCACATGATTCTCCTGCCTCAGCCTCCTGAGTAGCTGGGATTACAGGTGCTCACGACCACACGACCACGCCCGGCTAAATTTTGTATTTTTAGTAGAGATGGGGTTTTGCCATGTTGGCCAGGCTGGTCTCGAACTCCTGATCTCAGGTGATCCACCTGCCTCGGCCTCCCAAACGGCTGGGAGCCACCGTGCCTGGCCTAAACAAGCTTTCAAACAGTCAACCTTTTTGTTAAATTTCCAAATATTTTGATCATTCTAAATAACATTTGAATTGAAATACCTATCTATTATCTATCTGTATCTGTATCTATATCTATCTATCTATCTATTCTGTTTCTCTAGAGAGCCCTAATACAGATATTATATAATGATAAAAGGGTCAATTCACAAGGTAGATATAATAATTATGTATCTACACTGAGTCCCAGGGCATCCATATATATGAAGCAAGGATTCACAGAATTGAAGGGAGAAATAGACACTGACACAGTAATGGTAGGATATTTTGACACCTTACTTTCAATAACAGATCAAAAAAACAGACAGAACATCAATAAGGAAACAGAGGATCTTAACACTATAGACCAGTTGGATCTAACAGACATAAAGAACACGCCATCCAACAGCAGCAGACAACACATTCTTCTCAAGTGCACACGGAACATTCCCAAGGATAAATCACAAATAAAGTCACAAAACAAATCTTAACAAACTTAACAAGATTAAAATCATACCAAGTATTTATTTCTGAATACATTGAAATGAAACTAAAAATCCATAGTAGTAGAAAAACTAAAAAATTTACCAATATGTGGAAATAACACTTTTTTTTTTTTTTTTTGAGACAGAGTCTTGCTCTGTCGCCCAGGCTGGAGTGCAGTGGCACAATCTCAGCTCACTGCAACTTCCGCCTCCCGGGTTCAAGCGATTCTCCTGCCTCAGCCTCCCCAGTAGCTGGAACTACAGGCACCTGCAACCATGTCCAGCTAATTTTTGTATTTTTTAGTAGAGACAGGGTTTCACCATGTTGACCAGGCTGGTCTTGAACTCCTGACTTCAGGTGATCCACCTGCCTCAGCCTCCCAAAATATGGAGATTACAGGCGTGAGCCACCACGCCCGGCCCAGTAACATATTCTTGAACAACCAATGGGTTAAACAAGAAATCACGGGGAACTTAGAAAATATCTTGAGACAAATGAAAACAAAAACACATATACAACAACTTATGTAATGCAGCAAAAACAGTACTAACAAGGAAGTTTATAGCAGTTAAATGCCTACTTTTGGGAAAAAAAGGGAGCTCTCAAATCAATCTAACTTTAAATCTCAAGGAACTAGGAAAATAAGAACAAATGAATCAAAGTTAGCAGAAGGAAGGAAATGATAAAGATTAGGGCAGAAATAAATGAAATAAAAAATAGAAAAACAATAATAACAATACTAAGAGTTGGTTTTTAGAAAAAAATCAACATAATGGACAAGTCCTTAGCTAAATTAACTATGAAAAAAGAAAGAAGACTCAAAGAAACAATTTCAGAAATGAAAGAAGAGACATTAAAACTGATGTCATAGAAATGAAAAGGATTATAAGAAACTACTATGAACAATTACACTCTGACACACAGGTAACCCAAAATAAATAGATAAATTCCTAGAAACATACAACCTATCAAGATTAAAACATGAAGAAGTAGAAAATTTAAACAGACCTATATGTAGTAAGGTTTAATCAATAATCAAAAACTTCCCAACAAAGAAAATATTTAAAGAACTGACATAATTCCTTCTCAAACTCTGCCAAATAGTGAAGAGGAGGGAACACTTCCATGCTCATTTTATGAGGTCAGCATTGGTCTGACACCAAAGCCAGAAACACAACCCTACAAGAAAAGAAAACTACAGGTCAGTATTCCTGATGAAGGTCGATGCAAAAATCCTTAACAAAATACTAGCAAACTGAATTTAATAGCACATTAAAGGGATTATACACCATGACTAAATAGGATTAATCACTGGAATGCAAGGATGAATCCACATTAAAAAAAAAAATCAATGCAACATGCTACATTAACAGAACAAAACGTAGTCACATGATCATCTCAACAGATACAAAAAAAAGCATTTGGCAAAATTTAACCCCTTTCCATGATAAAAAAAAAATTCAACAAACTAGGAATAGAAGGAAATTTCCAGCATAATAGTGACCATTTATGAAAAGCCTACAGCTAATATTACAGTCATAAAGACTGAAAACTTTTCATACAAGATCAGGGAAAACATAAAGATGCTCACTCTCACCACTCCTTATCAACATAGTACTGGAAGTTTTAGCCAAGCAACTAAGCCAGTGAAAGACATAAAAGACATCCAAATCAGTAAAAGAATAAGTGAAATTGTCTCTGTTTGCAGATGACGTGATCTTAGGTATAGACAACCCTAAAGACTATATAAACAAAAAATTATTAGAAAAAATATATGAATTCAGAAAAGTTGCAAGATACAAAATCAACACACAAAAATCAGTAGCATTTCTGTATGCTAACAATAAATGATCTGAAAAGAAAATTAAGAAAAAAATATATTTGCAGTCGTACCCAAAAGAACAATATATGTAGGAATAAACCAAGAAAGCAAAAAATCTATCCATAGAAAATTAAAAAATGTTGAATGAAATTAAAGAAGACACAGATAATGGAAAAACATCCTATGTTCCGGAATTAAAAGACTCAATACTATCAAAATGTCCAATGTACCCAAGTGATCTACAGACTCATGACAATCCCCATAAAAAACCCAATTGCATTTTTCTCAGAAATAGAACAAAAATCCCAAAATTAATATGTAATCTCAATGGACACTGAATAGCCAAAAAATTCTTGAAAAGGAAGAACAAAACTAGAGGACTTTCCTGATTTCAAAACACATTATAAAGTTACAGTAATCAAATCAATGTATTATTGACATAAAAACAGAAATGTAGACCAATGGAACAAAATAGAGAACAGAGAAATAAACCTTCATATATTTGGTCCACTAATCATCAACAAGGGCTCCAAGACTACACAATGGAGAAAAAATCATCTTTTCAACCAATAGTGCTTGGAAAATCTGGAAATCTACAGGAAAAAGCTGAAATTGAACCTTTATTGTATACAGACGTATAAATTAATTAAAAATGGATTAAAAGCCTGAAAATAAGACCTGAAACTATAAAATCCCTAAAGGAAAACCTTGAGGAAATTATTCCTGACATTGGACTGGGCAATTATTTATTTGGATAAGATGCCATAAACACAGTTAACAAAAGCAAAAATAGATAAACAGGACTGCATCAAACTTAAAATTATTTGCAGCACAGGAAACAATCCAGAGTGAAAAAGCAAACTACAGAACGAGAGAAAATATTATCTAATAAGGGGTTAAAATCCAAGACATACAAAGAACTCTTACAACTCAATAACAACAACAAAATGAAACCTAGTTAACAAACAGGCAAATAAACTGAATAAGAATATATGTTTCTCCAAAGAAGACATACAAATGGCTAACAGGTATATGAAAAAAGATGCTCAAGATAATTAATTATCAGAGAAATGCAAATAAAGACCACATGAGATATTACTTTACACCCATTAGGATAGACACTATCAAAAAATAGGAAATAACAAGTGTTAGTGAGGATGTAAAGAAACTAGAACCCTTGTGCATTGTTGGAATTATAAAATGGTGCAGCCACTATGAAAAATAGTTGTAGTTTCCTCAAAAAATTAAAAGTAGAACTACCATATGACCCAGCAATTCCACTAGTAGGTATATACTCAAAAAATTCAAAACAGGATCTCAAAGAGAGATATTTGTACACCCATGTTTATTGCGACATTGTTTACAATAGTCAAGATGTGAAAGCCACTTGAGTGTCCATCAACAGATGAATTATTAAAGAAGATGTGGTATATACACACAACCACATGTTATTCAGCCCTAGAAAAGAAGGAAATCCTGTCATATGCTATAGCATGGATGAACCATAAAGACATTAAAAGTGAAATAAACCAATCACAAAATAATACTGCAGGATTCCACTTGATACTGCATGAGTTATCGAAAGTAATCAAATTCTTAGAAGCAGGAAGTAGAATGGTGATTGCCAGGAGTTGGGAGAAAGGGGAAACAGAGTTGTTTTTCAATGGGTAAAGAGTTTCAGTCATGCAAGATGAAAAAATTCTAGAGAGATCTTGTACAACAATGTGCATGTAGTTAATAATACCATAACGTATGGTTTAAAATTGTTAAGGTAAATTTATGTTAATACTTTTTAATCACAACACAAAAACACAAGGCAAATATTCAAAATGTGTGACATAATTAACTTTACCCATTACCAGAAGTCTTTCTGTGATGACACTGGAATGCATGTATGTTGTTATGTTGTGGAATCAGGCACTGGTTGATATATTGCCCCCACTCCAGGATTGTTCAGTCAGTGCTCTGGGCTGGGAACATTCCCTTCTGTGGAGATTGGATGCCTGAGCTGTCCCAGGCTCCAGATTCTTCTTCTTTATTAGGAGAAATCTTCCCCTGTTCTGAGTACACAGTTAACTTCCTTGTACTGCTTAAGCATGTGCATCTTATGGCACCTGGCCAGCCTGACTAGTGTATCTGCCCTCAATAGGGAGAGAATGAGTCTTCACCTGTAGCAAGAGGAGGGGTGTGCTGTCCATCACTCTGTGTCACCTATTGGGAGGAACCTTCCACCCATGGGAGACTGACACACACTAAATACACTGATCTTTCTATACCTTTTTTCTTTTCTGGTGGTTGGCATGGTTATGATCTTTGCCATCTTCCATATGGTAGAAATCCTCACTAAAGATTGGTTGCTGGACCTTCCTATTCGATAATATCAATAACTAAAAAGAATGTATTGAGTTTGGATGTATAAAATTAAAAACTGAAGTGTGTATATGTATTTGAAAAGATTTATTTTGAATCTATGCTGAATCTCAACTAAGTTCTTAGGTCATCTTCTGAAGACTAGCTTCTGAAATACCGGTTTGTTAGAATGTATTTTTCCAAGTATTTTTAATATAAAGGGAAATTGGCGGGAGAACCAACACATGATATATGTTCTTTTCTGCTCTATGAGGTAGTAATATGTGAAGGAACATAATGCTTTGTGAGAAGATGCGTTTAAAGAGGTAAATGCACACTGTGTACTTGATTTACATTCCCTTATCTACTAGGGAGAACATGGATATTGTGAAATGCAGTCCTTAATGGCTTATGCATAAACAAAGTCTTTTCCCTTTATAAATCATAAAGATATGAAATTCAACAGTGAAATAATTCAGGATTATAATCAGCCAGGTCCTTCTGTACTCTTCCTCAGGCAGTCTTTACTTCTATGACTGATTCAGTTTATTGCAAAATTTAGTTTCTCATTTTTCATTGATGTGTAGTCTATTTATTTATATTTCACTTTATTTCAGATTTATTGATGTATATTTACAAATAAAATTGCATATATTTAAAGTGTATAACATGATGATTAGCTGCGGCAGTATACACTAAATGTTGTGTTGCTTTTCCACTTCCCGTTTTAACATAATGAGTTTGATGCAACTATCATCACAATTATTATTTCTATATTAAATGCTTTTGCAACTATCATTTCACAGTCATCACGTGGCCTCATTTTCTTTCCTTTTTGTAGAAACATTATTCTCCCACATACTCTTGCTTATTTATTTATATATTTAATTTTATTTCCTCTCTCTCCTTATGAATGTAATTCTCATGATAGCAAGTGCCTTATGTCTTGTTCAGTGTGTCATATACTATAGCTGTTGAATAAACATTTGTTGAATTAATTTTTTAAATTATTTGCTGCAAATTATTCATTGACTGAAAGTATTCATCCCCTTATTTGGCACTATTGTATGAAGCATTTTGTCAGCACCTTCAATTTTAAATTTGCGGTTACAGTGTGAACTAAGACACAGAGAGTTTATTTTCTGCTATGGAGTACTGAGAATTTAAAGGTGGAAACTAAAAAGAATGGATGCATGTGCAAGAATGAACTGAAGGAATTGACAGGTCTGAGTAGTTTAATAAGGGGTGAACAGGATAAATTAGTTTCCCATTCTTATCTGAGGGAGTTAGTATGTTAAGGGAAAAGTAAGAAGGAAACTAGGTAACTGAAGGACATTCATAGAAATGTTCAATAGGCAATTTACATCAGGGAACTTGAGCGCTGATGTTACGATAGGTTAAGCCTAAAAATCTAGAGAAGGTGATTGAAGGTATAAGATAGAATTCACCAGAGTAATAAGTTTAGAACAGTAATTCCAGGGTCAGGAAGTGAACCTTAGTAAATTCTTACATTTGAAAAAATTTGGAGGAAAGCTAAAAACAATAGAGACAAAGAAATGGTAATTAGAAAAGTAGAAGATGAAGCTGAATAATAAAATATCTTGGAAACCAAAAGAGTAAAAGTGCTCCAAGCCAGCCTTGAGAGACCAGTTAACAGTGTCAAATGCTACAGAAAAACTGAGATAGAATACCAAAAAATTGACTGGATTTTGTAGTTATGACATTAATTACCTTCAACAAAGCAGTTTTGGGGAATTGGGAGGCTAGAAAAAAAGACGATTTTATGAAATTAAAGAGTGAAAGAGCTGTGGCTTAATGAAGATAAGTAATATAATTAATTCCTATAAGAAATAGATATTCACCAAACCATTCATTCAACAAGTACCTGATCGTCCGCTATGTGCCATGCACAGTACTACATGCTGGGCACATGTGATGCCTACACTTAGATGGAGACACATATTTTAATCAAATATTTGTACATATAAACTAATGTGAATTATAAAACTCTGATAAGTGGTATGGGTGAGGAGTATTTGGTTCCAGAGAATGTCAGGTATGAAGATGCGAACTAGGCTTGGAATGATACTGTGAGAAAGTAGTAACAGTCTTCAGGGCAGTGTAGAGTATGAGGATGAAAGAGGAAACAGCAATGCCAAATGATTTTATTTAATTTTTAAATAAATATTGGAGAAAATTATGCATATTTAAAGGCAGAAGAAAAGGAGCTATGGTAATATAAGTGGAAGTGGGTATGTGGGTTGTGGGGGGTGGACAATTTTACTGTGTTTAGAAATGGCCTCAAAAAGTATCTGTATTCTGACAGGATTTTCACAATTTCAGAGTTATAGACTTATTTAGATCAATTTAGCAGATGAGATTTGACTCTTGGGTATTGCTAGCTATACTCTTAAGAGAGTGATTTTTAAAAAGCAAAAAACATCAATATATGTGTTAACACTAAGCAATAAAAGTGCCAAGTGGAACAGAAGCTTCCTATTGACTAACTTGCACGCCTGCCCAGTAGGGAAACCAAGTCAATATCAGAGAGTTGCTTGATGAGAGGTCAATGCAGTGATTTCAAGACAGCGTTGAAGTTAGAATTACCCATTGTGAAAATAAATCTCTAGAGGAGGTAGAAAGAATAAGAGAGGAAAAGGTTTTGTGGAAGAGTTTAAGAATGCTATCAATAGATTGGTTATACTACAGTATGATAAGCTGAAATTTGCCTTTATTTTCAGTGCTGAGTAAAAGCGAATATGAAATTGAGAAGACAGGCTCATTGAAAAAGATTTTCCCAGGGCAATAACTGAATATCAGTTTAGTAAATACCAAGGTATTTGTAACAAATTTAAATTTTTATAGTGCTGTTCAATTTGAAGTATTCACATGAAGTACACATTTATACAGATTTGTATACACTCACACACCCCTACACATTCATTCCCACAGAATGGCCATAGAAGAAAAATTATTAATCGTTTATCTGAATATCTTGAGATTGCTGTTCTTTGCAACTTTCATAAACTATTCAGCAGCCTCATGACCTACCTAGGACAGAATCAAGTAAACTTAAAATGTTAAGAAATGCTTGGAACCATTTTTCTATTTTCACATGGGATATCTCATCACTGTCCCCTATCCTGACTCTCTATTTTTAATCACATGTATACCATAAGTCAAATTAAATCTACTCATGGCTTTTTTTCCATCTGTTCAATTTCTGAAACATGTGTCCGACAGGAATCATGTTTATTCGGAATGCGAATTTCCCTAAACATACCATATAAGTAGCGGGTTACAATTGAAGGGTATGTTTTTCCAGTTAGATTTACTCTATCTTATATTTCCTAGTCAGTCAAAATTCTCTGAGCTTCTTTAGGCTTTCAGACCATATATAGCCCTCTTTTATTCTAGCAAAGATATGAAAACATGTCTTTCCTTATTACTCCAGCAAACACAATATTGAAAATGTTTTAAAAACAGAGAAAATCTGTACAAAATTTGATTTGATGATATTACAGAAGTCTCCGTGGTACACCTTAGGTAGAATAGAGTCTTTAGTTCTTTTCTCATCCTTTAACCTTGTCTAGGCTGTGTGCAAAACATAAATAATATAAATTGTCTGATGGAAATATGGGCAAACCCCACTAGGAAGGCTGGTGGGAGCCACAGATTCCCCCAGAAGCTGTTTACTCTTCATCTCTTCATGAGTAAACAGGTGAAGGATCTATATTAATTTTGCTCTGCAGATGACCTAATCCCTTACAAGTTCTGCTTCAGTCTCAGATCTTTCACTATTAAGCTGCAGAAGGCAGCTTTGAATCTGATTTAGAAAATCACCTCCACTCAGTTTCACATTGCCCTAATCTAATTTTTGGTGTACTAGCTTTTCCCCTTTTGTATGGGTCCAGTGTTATGTTAATGTGATCTCATCCACAGATCATTGTTTTTGACAATTCAAATAAAAATAGAGAGCAATGTGCCTCAAAATGTGCTCCACAGGCCCTGCAAGAGACACAATTGGCATTCTATTCAGATCATCTTAGATCTATCTCTTCTCCTCTGCTTGAATGTGGGTTTGTTTATAAGAACCTGCAGGAAAAAGTCTTCTTTGAGAGACTGACTAGGTTACTATAGCCACACACTCAGACATATACATGCAGAGCCAGAAGTACCTGGGAGTTAACAACTCAGCCTATGACTTACAGTTGAGGCAGGGTATAAAAACCTACCTCCTTTGACTCAAGTTGGGACTGACTGAATTTGAAATTTATGCCCTTAACCTCTCCAGAGGATCAGACCTGAGGCTGAGACTTTGCCCAAAATGTCACTCCTGTTTGGCTTCTTTGCATTTTCTCTACTCTGTTTCCTTTCCTTTATTATTTTCTCCTAGGAGCATTTTCTTAATAAATGAATCCTTATCTTAGGGTCCACTTTTGGGGACTACAATCTAAGATATACCTCTTTATCGGAGTCACCTGTGATGCCTGTTAGAGTTGTTGATACCTGGCCCAATCCCAAGGAGTGAAATCTGCATTTTTATTAAAAAAACTCGGAATAATGTTTATGCATAGCAAAATTTAAGAGCCAATGGTTTGAGTCACAATTATTAGCCAGTTATTGGTGATTCTAAACCTAGGTTTCTTTCTTAGTCTGTTTTGTGCTGCTATACAGAATGCCTGACACTGAGTAACTTATAAGAAACAGAAATGTATTTCTCGCAGTTCTGGAGACAAGGAAGTCCAAGATCAAGGCATCAGCATCTAGTGAGGGACTTACTGCATCTTCACATAGTGGAAAGCAGGAAGGTAAGAGGGACAAACTCCCTCTGTCAAGCCCTTTTACAAGGGGCATCTAATCCCATTCACCAGAGAGAAGCCCTCATGGCCTAATCAACTCTTAAAGACTCTAATACTATCTCATTGGCAACACCCGAATTTTGGAGAGGATACATTCAAACAACAGCAGTTTCTATCCAACCTACTTGCTTAGCCCCTCTAAATGATCAATACCATCCTCCCTTGATACCTGCCTTCTTCACATCACCTCCCTCCAATATCCAGAATGACAAAAAGTAAATAGACATTTTGTCATTTATTTTCTTTTACAAAATAAATTTTAAGCTTCAAATAATTTGTACATGGCAGAGGCTTCATAAATAAAATGTAGCCAGATGGGCACAGTGGCTCATGCCTGTAATCCCAGCACTTTGGGAGGCAAAGATGGGAACTCGCTTGAGCCCAGGAATTCAACACCAGCCTGGGCAACATGGTGAGATTCCATCTGTACAAAAAATGAAGAAAAATTAGCCAAGAATGGTAGCACACATCTGTTGTCCTAGCTACTCGGGCAGCTGAGGTGGGAGGATCACTTGAGCCCAGGAGGTCAAAGCTACAGCGAGCTATGATTGTACCACTGCACTCCAGCCTGGGTGACATAGGGAGACCCTGTCTTAAAAAAATAATAATAAAATATTCACTCTTTTGGGAATGGTCATAAAAGGAGTTAAAAATATTTACTCTTGAATTTTGGAGTTTATATAAAGTTATGAAAAATATTGACTATAAAACATGAGTAAGTCTAATTTTGATTTTGAATGTGTTTTCAGAATAAGCTGTAAATTCCTGAGCTTAAAATTCAAGTTCTTCTATAATCTAACATTAAACTACACTGACCTTGTTCATTAATCTAATTGTGTGTTACTTTGTATTTTTAGAGACAACTACTGGTCTCTAATGACATAAACTGTGTTTTTTATAAAATCTCTTCAACTATTATTTACATATAATAACATCACCACCCACAAATTTCTCCAATAAAGCCCCGGAATGTAGAAAGAACTTGTCTCAAATTTGAGAAGGCAGGATGATTCACAGGAACACACATTATGTTTATACCTGCTAGATTTAATTTTAGGTGAAGGTGGAGATGTATGTTGCTTTTTGTCTAAATGTGAATCTGTACATCATTTTGTAGGGTCACAAGGCACTTTAGTGGAAGAAATTGATTTGCTAGCTCTCTCCCCTTTTCAGTCATATAACCAATATTCTTTGACGGAACAGAACTCTCACATCCCATAAGGCTTGAAATTATATTTATAATCAACGCTTGTTATTGCACTGAGCCTATTCTATAGCCTTTGTATTTTTATCACAATGATTTTTCTTCTTCAACTTGTTCATGTTTTGGATTATATTGACTGATTTTCAAATGTTGAACTAGTCTTGCATATCCACAATAAATCTCACTTGGTCATGGTAGATAATTCTTTTTATACATTGTTGGATTTGATTTGTTAGTTTTTTGGTCAAGTATTTTTGTATGCATGTGTATGAGATATATTGGGGAGTAGTTTTCCTTTCTTGCAATGTTCTTATCTGGTTTTGGTATTAGGGTAAATCTGGCCTTATAGAATTAAATAGAAAAGGTTTTCTCTGCCTCTGTTTTCTGGAAAACATTGTGGAGAATGGGCATCATTTCTACCTTAAATGTTTGGTAGAATTCATCAGTGAAACCATCTGGGGATGGTGCTTTCTTTTTTGGAAAGTTATAAATTATTGCTTCAATTTCACTAATATATATGGGTCTATTCAGATTCACACAGGTTTCTGTTTGTGTGAGTTTTGATAGTTTCTGTTTCTTAGGGAATTGATCCATTTTATCTAAGTTATCAAACGTATGGACAGAATGGTTTGTACTGTCCCTTTATTAGCATTTTAATGTCTTCAGGATCAGTAGGGATAAGTCCTCTTTCAGTTCCAATATGGAAATATGTGAATTTTGTTTTCTTCTTGAGAAGCCTGGATAGAGATTTTTGTTTGTTTGTTTTTTTCAATTTTATGAAACTTTTTGAAGAACCAACTTTTGGTTTTGTTGATTTTCTCTGTTAATTTCCTGTTTTCACTTTCATTGATTCCTATTCTAGTTTTTATTTATTTTTTATTTATATATATATTTATTATACTTTAAGTTCTAAGGTACATGTGCACAATGTGCAAGTTTGTTACATATATATACTTGTGACATGTTGGTGTGCTGCACCCATTAACTCGTCATTTACATTAGGTATATCTCCTAATGCTATCCCTACCCCCTCCCGCCACCCCACAACAGGCCCCGGTGTGTGATGTTCCCCTTCCTGTGTCCAAGTGTTCTCATTGTTCAATTCCCACCTATGAGTGAGAACATGCGGTGTTTGGTTTTTTGTCCTTGCGATAGTTTGCTCAGAATGATGGTTTCCAGTTTCATCCATGTCCCTACAAAGGACATGAACTCATCCTTTTTTATGGCTGCATGGTATTCCATGGTGTATATGTGCCACATTTTCTTAATCCAGTCTATCATTGTTGGACATTTGGGTTGGTTCCAAGTCTTTGCTATTGTGAGTAGTGCTGCAATTATTTATTTTTTCTGCTTGCTTTACACTCAAATTGTTCTTGTTTTTTTTTTTTTTTGGTTCCCTAAAGTAGCTCAGATTATTGATTTTAGAAATTTCTTTATTTTAAATATATACATTTAGTGCTATAAATTTCCCTCTAACTCACACTTTTGCTGCATTCCACAAATTTTGATAAGTTGTATCTTCATTTCATTTACTTCAAAATATTATGAATTTCCTCTTGATACTTTTATGTGGCTTATGTGTTATTTATAAGCGTGTTGTTCAATCTACAGATATTTGCAGATTATTCAGGTCTTTCTGATATTCATTTCTAGTTTAGTTCCCTTATAATATAAGAACATAGTTTGTATTGTATCTATTTCTTTTAATTTGTTGAGGTGTGTTTTATGGCCCAGAAAATGATCAATGATGGTGAATGTTCCAGGAAGCTTAAGAAGAACATATATTCTGTTGGTATTGGATGGAGAAATCTATAAATATCAATTAGCCCTCTTTTATTGACAGTCCTGTTACGTCAACTATATGCTTGCTGATATTCCACATGCTTAATCTATTAATATTGAGAGAGGGGTACTGAAGTTTCCAACTATAATAGTGAATTCATCTATATCTTCTTGAAGTTCTGTCAGCTTTTTCTTCGTGTATTGTAATGCTCTGTTATTAGGTGCATACACATTAAATATTGTTATGTCTTGCTAGAGAATTGACCTCTTTATAACTATACAATTTCCCTCTTTATCCTTGATAACTTTCCTTGTTCTGAAGTCTGTTTTGTCTGAAATTCACATAGGAACTTTATCTTCTTTTCCTTAGTGTTATCATGCTATATTGATATAGCTGGATTAACATATACCATGTTTGTTATTTTCTATTTGTTACACTTGTACCTTGTTTCTTTTTTGCCACTCTTTTTCAATGTTCTCTGGTTTTGAATATTTTTATGACTCCATTTTATTATTAGTTTTACTTTTAAAATTTTGGTAATTGATGTTTACAATACATATTCACAACTAATTAAGCCCACTTTTAATAACACTATTCCACTTTACATGTGGTGCAGCTACTTTATAAAAGGGTATTAGGAATTTTTTCCCTCCTATTCCATATTTTATTGCTATCATTCCTTTCATTTATTTATATGCTATTATCATTCAATATACTGCTACTTTCAGTCTTTTAAACAAAGTTATGTTTTTGATCAATTAAGACTAAGAAAAACAAAAGATTTTATTTTACCTTCATTTCTTACTTCTCTAAGGCTTTTCCGTTGTTTATGTAGTTCCATATTTGTGACCTCTGTCATTTTCCTTCTGCTTATAGAAAATGTGTTAATTTTTTTGCAGGAAAACTCTGCTAGTGATAAATTCCCTTTTCAAAATAATAGATTTCATTTTTTAGAACAGTTTTAGTTCCACAGCAAAATTAAGAGAAAAATATAGGTAGTTCCTATACACTCCTATCCCCACAGGTACACAGCCTCTCCCACTATTAACATTCTGCACCAGGCCGGACACAGTGGCTCATGCCTGTAATCACAGCACTTTGGGAGGCCAAGGTGGGCAGATCACGAGGTCAGGAGCTTGCAACCAGCCTGGCCAGCATGGTGAAACCCCGTCTCTACTAAAAATATAAAAATTAGATGGGCATGGTGGCATGTGCCTGTAATCTCAGCTACTCAGGAGGCTGAGGCAGAAGAATCGCTTGAACCCAGGAGGCGGAGGTTGCAGTGAGCCGAGATCGTGCCACTGCACTCCAGCCTGGGTGACAGAGGGAGACTCCATCTCAAAAAAAAAAAAAAAAAAAAAAAAAAAAAAAAAATTCTGCACCAGAGTGGTACAATTGTTACAATTAATGAACCTATTTTGACACACCATTATTGCCCAAAGTCTATAGTTTACATTAGGGATCACTCTTGGTGTTGTACATTCTATGGGCTTTAACAAATCTATAATGGCATATATCCACTATTATGGTATCATGTTGAATAGTTTCACCACGCTAAAAATTCTCTGTACTCTGCCTATTAATTCCTTCTTCCCCGTAACCCCTGGCAACCACCGATCTTTTTACTTTTGCCATAGTTTCCCTTGTTCCAGGATGTTACATGATTAGAATCATACCATACGTAGCCTTTTCAGTTTGGCTGGCTGCTTTCACTTGATAGTATGCATTTAAGGTTCTCTATATCATTTCACGACTATATATATATTTTTAACCTATGTCATTTTCTTTCTGCCTATAGAAAAATGTGTTAATTTTTTTGTAGGAAAAGTCTGCTAGTGATAAATTCCGTATATATATATATGTAGGGCTGAATGCTATTCTATTGTCTGGATGTACCAGTTTATCAATTCACCTACTGAAGGACATCTTCATTGCTTCCAAGTTTTGGCAATTATGGATAAGCCTGCTATAAACATCTCTACAGGTTTTTGTGTGGATGTAGTTTTCAACTCATTTGGGTAAATACCAAGGAGTGTGATTGCTGGATCATATAGTATAAATATGTTTAGTTTTATAACAAACTGCCAAACTGTCTTTGAAAGTGGCTATATCATTTTGCATTCCCACCAGCAATATATGAGAATTTCTGTTGCACCATCTCCTCATCAGCATTTGGTGTTGCCAGTGTTTCAGATTTTTGTCAGCCTAGTAGATGTTTAGTGGTATGCCTCCACTTTTGAAGTATAATTTCACTGGATATAGAATTCTAGTTTGTGGGGGCTGGGCCCGGTGACTCACACCTGTAATCCCAGCACTTTGGGAGGCCGAGGCAGGCAGATCACCTGAGGTCAGGAGTTTGAGACCAGCCTGGCCAAAATGGCAAAACCGCTTCTCTACTAAAAATACAAAAATTAGCTGGATATGGTGGTAGGCGCCTGTAATCCCAGCTATTCAGGAGGCTGAGGCAGGAGAATCACCTGAACCCAGGAGGTGGAGGTTGCAGTGAGACAAGATTGTGCCACTGCACTCCAGCCTGGGCAACAAAGAGATACTTCATCTCACCAGAAAAAAAGGAAAAGAAAAAAGAAAAAAGAAGAAAAAAAAGAATTCTAGTATGTTGGGTTTTCTTTTTTTCTTTCAACACTTTAAATATTTCACTTCACTCCCTTCTGCTTTCATGGTCTTGGATCAGAAGTCTGCTGTAATTCTTATCATTTTTTTCTGTATAAGTAAGATGGCTTCCTTCATCCCCACTCCCCAGGCTTTATTCAAGTTTTTTTTAATCTTTGTATTTTTGCTGTTTGAATATGATATGCCTATCTGTAGTCCTTTTCGTATATATTCTGAATGGTGTTCTCTGTACTTTCTGTATCTGTGGTTTGTTTTGTGTGTCATTAATTTTGAAAAGTTCTAAGCCATTCTCCTTTATTCTGAATAAGCACATATGTTGATATTATTCTACAGTTCTTACATATTCTTTTTTATTAATATTTTTTCTTTTTCATTTCAGTACAGGAAGTTTCCACTGACTTATCTTCAAGCTCACTGATTCTTTCCCTGCCCTATTCAGTCTATTGATGAGACCATCAGGGGCATTCTTCATCTCTGTTTTAATGCTTCTAGCATTTACTTTAGATTTTCCATGTCTCTGCTTACATTAACATCTGTTCTTGCATGTTGTAGATTTTTTTTTTCATTACATCCCTTAACATTTTAATCATGGTTATTTTCCAACGTCTCTGCCATATTTAAGTCTGGTTCTGATGCTTGCTTTTCTTTTCAGATTGCTTTTTTCCTGCCACTTGGCATACTATGCAATATTTTTTAAAGGCTAGATGTGTTGCATTAGGTAATAAGAGCTGTGGTAAGTAGGCTACTAGTGTGAGAATTTATGTTAATTTACCTAGGAGTCAGTTTTTGTTTAATATTAGCTGTAGCTGTAGTTACCAGATGCTTCAGATTCTTCCAGTGTCTTATTTTTGTCACTGCTCTTGACTATGGTATTCCCTAAGTATTCCTAAAATGAAGCTTGAGTCTTGCGGTTCTTTCAGCTGTAATATATTGTTATTATACTGGTAATCATGTCAAAGTGTGGAAAACTAGTCCTATATAATCTTCCACTTAATTCTCAGTCTTTTAGTGGCTATACATTTTGGCCTGTAACCTTTATAAATATTTTTTCTTGTATAGCTTAGTTTTTCTTCTATCTTCCACTTTAGATGAGACGCCTCTCTCACCTAAATACTAGAGGAGGCTAAATTGAAAAGAATGCCATCTTCTCAGGGCTCTGGGGCAAAGCTCCGTTAATTATTTTCCCCTGGAGAATAGGTCTTTGTTATGGAGAATGCCCTAGAAATGTTTCATAATGTTACCTTTCCTCTCCTCCTACCAGAGCCCTGCCATCTGTCTTGGTTCTTGGCAGTGAGAACATAGAAAACTTCCTGGAGGTAAAGTCCATGAAAGTGTGGGGGCATCCCTAAGACTGTGGCCCCCAGGAGTCTCTCATTTTCATGTTAGCCTACACTCAGTCTTCAGCAATTAGTTAAAATTACCATTTAGGTGTCCCTATCAATTTATGTATGGCTCTAGAGATTTATGCTCCATTCAAGGAAATTACAGCTGGGACTCAATGAATTTGCTAGTCTTTCCAGATTTCAAAAGGGCAGTTTGCTCTGTGATTTTACTTCTCTTCTGGGTTGAAGAAAAGTCATTCATTTTCAGTTTGTTCAACTTTTTTCTTATTGTAAGAAGAGTACTGATTACTTCTAGATTATTTACTTGTTAGAGCTGAAACCAACAAAAAGACGTTGTTCTTTGTATTTGAGTTTATTCTTTGATTAATTTGGCTTCAGCCCTCATTGTTTGTGGCATATCAGGGCCAATACAATTTATATTCTTTTCTTACTCCTCTTATCAAACAATGCCCTAATCCATGAACACTCACACTGTATCAAGTAAGATTCATTTTAGCTGCTCATAATGAAAAAAACCTAAAGTAACAGATTTTAAGGTGATAGAAGCTGTTTCTGTCTCATGTAAAGGAGGTTTGGAGATAGGCATTCCAGGCCGGTATAGAGATACCTTGGGGACATAGAGATTTAATTTCTTTATTTCTTCTATAACAGCCTTAACATGTAATTTCCAGTTCAGAATGGCTGCTGAATCTTCAGCCATTAACTTTCCTGTCAGGAGAAAGAAGACAGGAGGTTAAGGGAAAACAAGGGCATGCATCTGCCCATCTTTTAGAAACTTTCAAAATACTTTCATCCTATAACTTCTACATACATCTTAGTCTTAATACCACACCTAACTGTAAGAGAACCTGGGAAATGAAATCTTTTTTGCTGAGTGCATTGGAATCCCAATTAAAACAATAGTTAAGACACTAAGCAAAGAGTAATAATGCATATTGAGTTGACAAATAATAGACCCTGTCAACAAGATTCAAAATCAATAGAAATTGAAAGCTAATAGCAATTTGACTCCAAGTTATCTTTCTAAAACCAAAATTAAAGTGAACACACACACACACAACAACTACATTTGACCTTGTTTTCATTGGCTGATGGAGTAAAAATTCACGATGATACGGCTTTGATGACTGGCGGAACGCCAGGGTCCTTGGTTTTGCACCGACTAAGATAAAACGAGACCATCCTGGCTAACACGATGAAACCCCGTCTCTACTAAAAATACAAAAAATTAGCCGGGCGTGGTGGCGGGTGTCTGTAGTCCCAGCTACTCGGGAGGCTGAGGCAGGAGAATGGCGTGAACCTGGGAGGCGGAGCTTGCAGTGAGCGGAGATTGTGCTACCGCACTCCAGCCTGGGTGACAGAGCGAGACTCTGCCTCAAACAAACGAACAAACAAAAAAGATAAAACGACACAGACACACGTGGAGTGGTTTTAACAAGCGGAGAGTTTAATAGGCAAGAAAGAAGGAAAAAGCTCCCCCATTAAGAGACAGAGGGAGGGGGACTTCAATGAGTAAAACAAATCACTGTTTAAAACAAATTTCTAATCAGATCTTGCTTTGTGTTTCTGGAGATGGAATAAATATATTCCTATGATGGTTCACTTTCACATACTGGCTTGATTATTAGGCAACAACTGATGAACACAATTGTTGGATTTTTGGAAGAAGAGAAGAAGTGCCATGTGGGACCGCCAGTTTACTGAGAGGGAAAGTTGGGTTGGGGGAATCAAAGAAATAAGAAACAGCTATTTCAGCCTGAGCATTGTGCTTTTTATGTTTGATTCAACTACAGAAGTTACAAAGATAACATTTCTTTTTTATCAACAAAGTGGGGTGAGACATCACCACTAGGCCGTTATCTAATTGTTAAATTCAGCTAAAGAGGTGAAGGCATCACAGTTCTGTTTCCAATAGTAGAAACATTAGTCTAAAATTGGTCAATTCCTCCACAAATTTTTGAAAAGTAACTATATAGCAAATTCCTAAAATAAGAACTCACTTGATAGGTTCAATACCTGAATGTTTTTCTAATTTTCTATGTGATGCTACTTTAAATAAAACTGTAATTATGGGTTTAAACTTACACGTACTAAATTTTGAGACAAGTGATCAGGTTTAGGACATCATCAGCATGTTTACCAGATGATTTTCTATAGTTTCTGTGTTTTAATTGAAGTGCTTTGACACTGAGAAAGAAAGGAGAGAAAACAGTAAGGATTTAAATAATGTCAATTTCTACAGTTAAAAAAACGCTAATGATTGAAATGGATGAGCTACTGACATTGCCATATTTAAAGTGTTTATAAATAATTTTACATACTATATTGTGAAAATTATGACCTAATAAAATATAAACAAATTGATGATTTTTTCTGAAATCGAAAGAACTTAGGTTCAATCAGTTTCTTACACATCACTTATACATCACTGTGATGTTCGAGATTTACTATGATATCCCTGAGGTCCTGTAACTAGATCACAAGGTGCCTTCTCAGTAATTAAAGAATATAAATTGTGTTCAGTGTTGCCTACAGTGAAATGTCATTTTGTTGAAAAGGGGTAATTCATATAAAGTATATATGTTAATTGTCAGTGAAATAGAAGAACAAATGAACTGAATCATCCAATTAACCACCCGGACAAATGAAGATTTATTTGGGTCAAATAAAGGTACTCAGCTCAGTTTGAGGAATCACTTAAAGGGAGTTTGCTTACTGTGGTGTAAACGAACATTTAATACTTTTAGAGGTGCCCGCCTGGGCTGATACCCAAGCTATCTCAGCAAGGTCCTATTTCTCTATTGCTTGACTCATATGACTAAAATCTCTAAGAAGTAATTTCTCCTGAATTTACAGAATATGTATTATCATCTATGTTAAAGCAAGGTTTTTAAAAACGGAGTTAAGATTTTCATTTCCTTCATTATATTATCCTGTTTTTTTAAGCATCTGTCAGCCTGTGTAAAGCAGGGAAAATGGTGTAGTATTTTAAAATGTATGTAGGACTAAATGTAAAATCAAATAATATCCCTTTATAGCCAACTGTTATGATAATCTCTTTACAGCCAACTGACTGTTATGGTAATGTCTCAAACTCTAAATAAATAAACAAACTAAAAGCAAATAAACATAGCATGAATGATTGATTGCAAATGGAAAATAATTTTTAACAAATTGACAAAACAATGCAGTTTAGGGAATTATCTTCTTTCATCTTCCTCAGAATTTATAGGTTGACAAAGAGTGATTACTTTCATGATTGAGTTATATAAAATAATTTTACCAGTCTTTGTACAAATCAAAAACTTGTCATCCCTCAGACTCACAGTGCTTTTTTTTTTTTTTTTTTTTTTTTTGTTTGAGATGAAGTCTCGCTCTTGCCCCCCAGGCTGGAGTGCAGTAGTGTGATCTCGGCTCACTGCAACCTCCACCTCCTGGGTTCAAGTGATTCTCCTGCCTCAGCCTCTTGAGTAGCTGGGATTACAGGCACCTGTGACCACGCCTGGCTAATTTTTGTATTTTTAGTAGAGACAGGGTTTCACCATGTTGGCCAGGCTGGTCTCGAACTCCTGACCTCAGGTGATCCACCTGCCTCAGCCTCCTGGGATTACAGGCATGAGCCACCGCACCTGGCCCATAGTACTTTTTAAAAATAAATATGTTATTCCAGAATCAATTCAAGTACTATGAGATCTCTTACTTTTCTGGCTATGGACTGAATTTTGCTCCCCGAAAATTTATATGTTGAAGTCCTAACCTACAATGTGATGGTATTTGGAGATGGGGTTTTTGAGAAGTAATTAGGTCAAAAGGAAATCACTAGGATGGGGTCCTCATAATGGGATTAGTGCCCTTATAAGAAGAGACAAGACAGCACTCTTTCCCTCTCTCCTTCTCTCTCCAAACCTCTCCCTCTCTTTTTGCCATGTGAGGACATGGCAAGATGATGGCCATCTGCAAACCAGGAAGAGGACTCTCACTAGGAGCCAAATAAGCTGATACCTTTATCATGGAGTTCCCAGCCTCCAGAACTGTGAGAAATAAAGCTTTCCTCTTCCCTGGTTCTCCCACTTTTTTGTTTAAGCCATCAAGATTAACAGGAAAGCCCTGTGAGATGATTGTTCTTCCCTGGAGAAAATGGATAAAATATAGAAATCCTACTGTATCTGATAGGTTCGTCTCATTTTCCACAGTTCCTGTTGATCCTTCTTGGACCAGTACAATAGACATTCTAGCTGAGTGTCCTCCAGAGTTTCAGAAATTGGTCAGTATAGGAACTTAATTAACTCTAAGGGCTCCCTATTCCTGAAGCTGAATGTTTATCTCTTATTTTTTAGTTCAACTAATAATGTGTAAACCTACACTGTCCTACCTAATTCTTCAGAAAAGGTTATAAAATGAGTAGCACATTGTAGAAGAGCTCATATCAGAGGCTGATATGGGCAGTTGGTATAAGGTAGAATGAAACCTGCACAATACTGTTCACTATAGCCATGGCTGGAATCAGAGTTCAAGTTGAGATTATGTGAGGTGACACAAAAGAGATGACTGACACTACCATGCCCTCCATTAAGTGGAATAAATCTTGAAGTTGATGGCCAGTCACAATCTTTATGATAGTCTTAATACAGAAAGGTTAGTGGAAGAAGGTTAGTATCTGCTTGCTATTACTGATTTGGAGGCATAATTGATATTCATCCCCATCCTTCAGCATGTCACTTTACATGGTGATTAACAGTAAATAAGAGGGTGCATTTTCCAAACTCTTACCAATAATAGATATTGCTAGTAAAAACAAAAGTTACAATATCAGATGAAAAATTGAATCTTGTTCCTTTAATTTTGTTGCTTGATTTACATTGAATTTAAGCATATTTTACAGTGTCCTTTTACATTTCTTCATTTTTGAGGAATATATTCTTTTTTTTCTTATTTTTCTGTTGAACCTTTCTGTAAATTGTGTTGATTTTTAAAAGCTCAGGTACTAAGTTATACTGTAAGTCTGGAAAATGTGAATCACTCTTGGGAAACAGATGTGGGGCAATGGCAGTTTCATATTGGCTTTTAAATTGTACTGAATAGGTTGTTACTTATTCCTCTGCACTAATTGTAAAATAGACTGATATAATGAACCAGTTTGAATCACTAAACTTGAGCTTTAACCTGGGATTATGGTGAGTAGGTCATTCTGCCTACAAAAATTAAAAGAAGGGTACTTTTAAAGTGTATGCTATATTGATATTTCTGGATTCAGGTGTCATTAATTATTTGAACATATTTTCTAGCTCTGTTTAGATAATAGTGTGTGAATGAGATATGCTCATGCCCATTACTCTAATTTTCCCAATTGGTTATTACCAAGGTAGGGTATCAATTGAGTTTGCAGGTTTATCAGTCACCTGCAGCACTGTTTATATTATGTTGGCTTCTTTAAAACTCATGTCATGGAACCAATTTAATTTTCTACTCAAGAGCGCTGTTTAATTTACATTCAGTGTGTTCTGTTGTTTGAGATTTAGGCTTTTTCAGAAAATAGTTTTAGCAGAACACTTCCTGAGGCAGGTAATAAATTCTAAGTTGCAGAATGTCACTGAAGAAATTTATACAAGTGCCTGTTCATTAACTAAGCTCATTATGTAAATTAGCTTTTGAGTGGAGGTTACAGAAAGGCAAGTTTTGGTTCAAAACAAAGAATATTTAATAATTTTTACTGCTTAAAATTGGAGAACATTATTTCAAGATAGTGAGTTCTTAGTCATTATCAGTGTTAAATGTCCAGAGACTCAATTGTTTTAGAGGGAGACCCTGCTAGGAGTGAGGATTGACTGACTCACTGGTGTCTGTATAAGGATGGTCTAGGTTCAGCCACATTAACAAATAACCCTAAAGGAGGTTTAGAACAACCACATTTTCTCATATGCTAAAATCCAAAGAAGTTGAGAGGTGGAGCACAGCTGGCTCTGCTCATTCCCCTTGCTTCAGGACTCAGTTTGACAGAGGCTTCATCTTGAAATGAGCTTCTGTTCTTACTAGTGTATAGAAAAAGAAAGGTGGTGAACAAAATAATGGCTCTTAAAGGTTTCTCCCGTAAATGACACTCTATTTTTTTGGCCAAATATTATTCAGCCTTGAAAAAGGAGGAGATCCTTTCATTTGCCACAACATGGATGGACCTGGAGAACATTATGTTAAGTGAAATAAGCCAGAAAGAAAAAGATGGCATGATCTCAAAAAAGGTCAAATATATAGATAGAAAATAAAATAGTGGTTAGTAGGGTCAGGGAGGGGGTGGAAGGATGAGAATGGGGAGATGTAGATCAAAGGATACAAACTGGCAAATATGTAGGGGAAACAAGTTGAAAGATCTAATGTACTAACTATATCTAATAGTAGTGTATTATATTCAAGATTTTTTTCTAAATGAATAGATTATAGCTGCTCATGCCATGGGGGTGGATGGGTAACTATGGGAGATGATGGATATGTTAATTAGTTCCACTACAGTAACCATTTTACTGTACACATATGTTTCATAACATCATATTGTATACCTTAAATATGCACAGTAAAATTTATTTTAAAAAAGACAAACAAATAAAAACACATCGCTTAACTTCAACAGCTGCGAGTGCCATCCTACCACATTCCCATACGGAAACCAGATTTGTGAACAGCTCTACAAGCAACCAGAGTCTCCAATTGTCATTCATTTGTGAAATGACTTTGAGTCCAAATAGCAGAAAGCCAATTATAGGATATGGAAATAGATCCTCCTTTAATACAGCAGACTCAACTTTTCTGCATTCTCTGTGCCTTTGAAAGGGTTTCATAAAAGCAAACAGTAAGTACAAACAAAAATTGAATGACTGTGGTTTATTGCCATATATCATATCTGCATGAATATTGCCTTTTAAATTTTTTATTTAAAATTGTTATGGATACATAGTAGCTGTACATATTTATGAGGTACTAGATATTTCAATACAAGCATACAATGTATAATGATCAAATCAGAATAATTGAAGTATCTACTACCTCAAGCATTTATCATTTCTTTGTATTAGGAACATTCCAATTCCATTCTTTTAGTTATTTTGAAAATTACAGTAAATTATTGTTAACTGTACTTGCCCTATTATGCTACTGAACACTGGATCTTATTTCTTCTATCTGTATTTTTGTGTCCATTAACCATCTCCTCTTTATCTCCCTCTCCCCACTACCCTTCCCAGCTTCTGGTAACCAACATTCTACAGCATAAGTCCATAAGTTCATTTTTTTTTTTTAACTCCCACATATTATGGAGAAAGTGCAAAGTTTCTCTTTCTGTGCCTGGCTTATTTCACTTAACGTAATGACCTCCAGTTCCATCCATGTTATTAAAAATGACAGGATTTCATTCTTTTTTATGGCTGAATAGTACTCCATTGTGTATTTGTACCACATTTACTTTAACCATTCATCCGTTGATGTTTGATTCCATATCTCGGCTATTGTGAATAGTGCTGCAATAAACATGGAAATGCAGATATTACTTTGATATACTAATTTCCTTTCTCAGTGGGATTGCTGGATCATATAGTAGCTCTATTTTTACTTTTTAAAAAAATTTTGAGGAATCTCCATACTGTTTTCCATAGTGGCTGTACTAATTTACATTCCCACCAACAGTATGTAAGGGGTTCCCCTTTCTCCACATTCCCCACAGCATTTGTTGTTGCCTGTTTTTTGGATAAAAGCCTTTTATTTCTTTAGAGACAGGGTCTTCCTGTGTTGCCTCGACTGAATTCAAACTCGTGGATTCAAGTGATCCTCTCACCTTCACCTCCAGAGTAGCTAGGACAGTGCCTCGCCTAAAAAGCTATTTAACTGGAATGAGATTATAGCTCATTGTAGTTTTGATTTGCATTTCTCTGGGGATTAGTGATGTTGAGGTTTTTTATATACCTGTTGGGCATTTGCATGTCTCCTTTTGAGAAATGTTTATTCATATTTTTTGCAAATTTTTAAGTTGGATTATTTGGTTTTATTCTTATTGTGTTGTTTGAGCTCCTTATATATTCTAGTTATTAATCCCGTCTCAGATTAGTAGTTAGCAAATGTTTTCTCCCATTCTGTAGATTCTCTTTTCACTTTGTTAATTGTTTCCTTTGCTGTGAAGTAGCTTTTTATCTTGGTGTGATATCATTTATCCATTTGTGCTTTGATTGCCTGTGCTTTTAATGTCTTACTCAAGAAATCTTTGCCCAGGCCAATGTGCAGGAGTGTTTGTTCAATGTTTTCTTCTAATAGTTTTATAATTTGGGGTCTTACATTTCAGTCTTTATTTTTTATTTGATTTTTGTATATGATGAGAGATGGGATTCAGCTTCATCCTTCTGCATGTGGATATCCAGTTTTTTCTACACAATTTATTGAAGATGCTGTTCTTTCCTCAGTGTATGTTTTTGGCGCTTTTGTGAAAAATGAGCTGACTATAAATGCATGAATCTATTTTGGAGTTCTCTGTTCTATTTCCTTGGTCCCTGTGTCTGTTTTTATGCCAGTACCATGTTGTTTCGGTTACTGTAGCTTTATAATATAATTTGAAGCCAGGTAATGTGATTCCTCCAGTTTAGTTCTTCTTGCTTAGGATAGCTTTGGCTATTTTGGGTCTTTTGTGGCTCCACATAAATTATAGGATTGCTTTTTCTATTTTTGTGAAGAACATTATTTTGATAGAGATTGCATTGGATCTGTAGATTCTTTTGGGCTGTATAAACATTTTAACAACATTGATTCTTCTAACCCATGAACATGGAATATCTTTCCATTTTGTTGTTATGTCTTTAATTTCTTTCATCAACATTTTATAGTTTTCATTGTAGAGATATTTCACTTCTTCGGTTAATTCCTAAGTATTTAATTTCATTTGCAGCTATTGTGAATGGGATTACTTTCTTGGTTTCTTTTTCAGATGGTTTGTTTATGGCATACAGAAATGCTACTGTTTTTTTTGTGTGGATTTTTTATCCTGAAACTCTACTGAATTTGTTTATCAGTTCTAACAGTTGTGTGGTGGAATCTTTAGGTTTTTCTAAATATGAAATCAGATCATCTGCCAACAAGGCTAATTTGACTTCATTTCTAATTTGGACGTCCTTTATTTCTTTCTCTTTTCTAATTTCTCTAGCTAGGACTTCTAGTACTATGTTGAATAAAAGTGATGAAAGTGGGCATCCTGGTCTTGTTCCAGATCTTAGAGAAAATGCTTTCAGTTTTTTTTTCCTATGCAGTGTGATACTTTCTGTGGATTTTTCTTATATGGTTTTTATGATGTTCAGGTATGTTCCTTCTATACCCAGTTTTTTGAGAGTTTTTATCATGAAGGGATGTTAAGTTTTATTGAATACTTTTTCTACATCTAATGAAATGATCATATAGGTTTGTCCTTCATTCTGTTGATATGATGAATCACATTTATTAATTTATGTATTTTAAACCATGCTTGCACCTCTGGGGTGAATCTCACTTGATCAAGATGAATGATCTTTTAAATGTGTTGTTGAGTTCTATTTACTAGTATGTTGTTGAGGATTTTTACATCTATGTTCATCAGAGATGTTGGCCTGTAGTTTTGTTGTTGTTGTGTCTTCATCTGGTTTTGTTATCTGGGTATTACATCTGTCTTGTAGAATAAGATTGGAAGCATTTCCTTTGCCTCAATTTTTTGGAATAGTTTAAACTGGATTGGTATTAGTTCATCTTTAAATGTTTGGTATAATTCAGCAGTGGAGTTGGTGAAACGCTGGTATGGACACTCCTGTGGCCAACACAGCTGGCACTCCACATTGCTGCACCTGAAGCTTTGCAGACCAGCACAATACTGGCCTGTGGCCACTGCTGCCTGGCTGCTGCTGCTGTTTATTCAAAGTCCAAGACCACTTTAGTCAGTGGATGGTAAATTCTTCTGAAACTGGGTGCATCTCATCAAGGCAATGGATTCCTTTCTGGCCACAGTGGGTCTGAAAATGCTGTCCAGGAGCAAAGATCTGGACTCTGGAGCTTCAGGAATATGCCTGCTGCTTTTTATTACTATTACTATGGTACCCAGGTTGCAAGACAAAGTTATCTGTATTCTTCCTTCTCCTTTCCCCAAGTGGAAGGAGTCTCTCTCAGAGCTGTACTGCCTGGAGTTGGTGGAGGGGCGATGCAGGCACTCCTTTGCCTGACACAGCTGGTGTCACTCTGGGTCATGCACCAAGTCCACTGCCTCCAAGACTGTTGTAGCATCAGGGCTTGCCCTAGGACTGCAGTCCTTCTAACCTGACTGCCACTCAAATTTATTCCAAGCCCCAGGTCACTTTAGTCAGCTGGTGGTGAAGCCAGCCAGAACTGTTTCCTCCTGCTGGGGCTGGGAATTTCTAGCCCAGGGCTGGTCTAAATGCTCCCTTCATGGGTGCGAGCAGAATTCTTCTCTGTATTGTGTTACACTGTGACAGGACAGCACTGAGTTCCAAAGGTCCACTCTCACTTTGGTCTTTCTTGCCTAAGTACACAGATTCTGTCTTCATGCTATACTACATGGGGTTCAGGGAGGGGTGCTGTAGGCAATGCAAGACTGTCTTTTCTACCCTCTTCAATGACTCTTTCCTTGATAATATAGTCAAACCAAGTACTGTGGTTGTCACCTATTTTGGTTTCTATGAAGGTGCTTTCTTGCATGAATAGTTGCTCAATTTGGTCATCCTGAGGGGAAATGATCACTGAAGGGCTATATTCAGTCGTCTTGCTCCAGCTCCCAAATATTGCCTCTTTTAAGTATCGAAAAAGAGGAAAAATACATTAACCACTCCCCACCCAACTCCCCTCTATAGTGACATAAAACACAACAGATAATGTCAGAGTAGCAGAAAAAAATATAACCCGGGCCACCTCAATGGAAACTATCAAAGTATTTTTATAATCTATGTACTTATTTTTATATTTATTGTTACCTTTCAAGTCCAAGCCACAGTAATCTCTAGTTTGAAGTACTTCAGTAGTCTCTTAATTGGTCTTCCTGGTTTCTCTTTTACTACCCCAACTACTCTTATTACCAAACTGCAAACATACTGGTATTTTAAAAAATGCAAACCTCATTTTATCAGTCCTTAACACACGTCAAGGCTTCCAATGGCACTTAGAAAAGACCCAAACATGTATATATGAAAATGTATGCACTCACACACATATTTTTACCATAACCTACAGGGAAATAAGTAATTTTGTCTTTATCTGACTCTCCAACTCCATGCCAATGGGGTATACTTACTTCACTAAACCAAATAATGGGGTTTCAGAGGAGATTAATATGTGTTGCTTTGGGGGGATATCTTGAGGACAAAGGTGCTGGTAACTGATTCATGTCTGCGAAATCTAAAGGTGAAAGACTGGATCACGCATTTAAGTAGTAGAACAGAAAGACACTGCTATTTGGAAATAGTCTTCACCTTCAGAGATTGGCTTATGTATATAGGTGTATGCTTCCAATGTTTTCCATGGACTGGATGTGAATCCCATATAAAAAAAAGTTCAATTTGTGTTGTCTTCAGGGAAATGCCTGTAGAAGCAAAGTAACCACAAATTTAACAGTGATATGTATTTTTCCTCCCTCTGACTGCTTTTAAAATAAAAAATTCAATTTAATGAGTTTTATTATGAGGAGCCTACCTGCATTTTTCTTTGCATTTATCCTACTTGGGGTGTGTAGTACATCTTGAATCTGTAGCTTGATATTACCTATCAGTTTTGAAAAATTCTCAGCCATTTCTCTGTAATTATTGTATCTGCCCGATTTTCTGATTTCTCTCCCCTTCCATGATGCCAACTACACATATATCAGAATTTTTCCCACGTCCCATATGTTTCTTGAACCTTTTTGTCTCAGTGCGTCAGTCTAGACAGTTTCTCCTCAGTCCTCACCCATACTTCGGTCTGTTTTCTTTTTTTTTCCTTCATCTCTAATATGCTATTAAACTCATCCATCTATTCTTAGTTTCAATAATTATATTTTCTGATTCTAGACTTCCTATTTGGTTGTTTTAGTTACCAGCCCTCTGCTGAATACTTCACCTTATCACTGAATTTCTTAAACTTGTTAATCATTTTTAAAGGTTCATGTCTAAAAACTAAATAGCTAGATTCTACATGAGTTTGTTTATATCGTCTGCTTATTTTTCTTGGTTTTCAGTTAATTTTTGACTTTTTCCATGCCTGATGGTTTTTTTATTTGCTGCCGATTATTGTATATGAAAAATAGTTGAGATTATTTGAAGCTCTGGATATTGTAATACTTCTGGGATAATTTAATTTTGCTTCTGGCAAGCAGTTAGGCTAAGGACAGATTGTATTATTCCAATCAAGGATTTAACTGATTTAAAGTTGGCCTTTAGTTTTGGTGAGGGCTATTCTATTTCTCATTCACCCTTACCCTTAGAATATAACCCTTCCAGGTCCTAACTTAAAGCCTCAAGTGTTTACCAAGTCTTCTCCTTCTTGTCAAGTTTTAAACTCCAATTTTTCTCCTGTAGATCTGAGATCCTGAAAACAGCTCTCTTATGTTTTCGGTCTTCAGTCACTGCATTTGGCTATGTCTGCATAAATCCTTTAAGGGACTTAGAGGTGCCAAATTGGTCTCACCTTCTAGGTTTCCCTTCTCTGAGATATCATGTCTCTACAAATGCGAACTGTCTTGGTAGGTTGCTTTGCGCTCAAATAGATGTTATTTTATATGTTATCCAGATTTTCTAGGTTTCTCAGAAGTATAATTGGTCCAAACAAACTACTCCACGACTGCTGGAAGTGGTAGAGTGCTATAAATCTTTTACCTCTAATATTCCAGTTGATTTTATAATTAAAATTTGTCTTGGCACGAATTATAAATATCTGCATAACACATTTTAAAAACAATCTATTTAAATATTTATAGGTGCACAATCACTTTGGCGTATGAAATTCCTTTCAAAATTAATTCCCATAATTATCTATTGTAGATTAGTTCAACCTAGATATCCTCAGAAATCTGTGCTGTCGACACAAACATTAATTTATTTTTAGCTATGATACTATAAATAACAGTTCTTGTTTATAAATTATGGCCACTGAAAGCAATACTTTTTCCTTTGATTTCTTCTGCTATTCTGAGAATCAATTGAAATTGCTTTAGTAGTGTATGCTTCCTTAAATTAAGATCTCTTGCTTGGCTATCATTATTTAAATACCTACTGTTATGGACTGACTGGTTGATTTATTGATAGATTTAGCCATTCAACAAATATTTTTTGAGCATCCACTTTGTATTAGTCACATTTCTGAGATAATGTGTGTACAGAAAAGAGTGAGATGGGCAGACAAAGGACTAAAATGCAATAATGTAATAGCCACAATTGAGAAATGTACATAGCACAAAAGGAGCATAATTCTGCCTGGAGAAGTCAAGGAAGGAGTCACAGAGTAGTTAACCTTTTAACTGATCCGTGAAATATTTTTAGCAGTTTTCAAGTCTGATAAGTCCTATGGGATCATATAAAGTGGTTACCAAATCCGGCCTTGAGAAGTCTTGAAAAGATTATTAGTTTTCAGCAAATGGTGCCAGAATAACTGGTCATGCACATAAAAGAAAATGAATCAAGACAAAGAGCTTACACCCTTCACAAAAATTACAAAATACTTCGCAAAAATTTAACTCAAAATCCTCATGGAGATAGAGAGTAGAATGATAGTTACCAGAGGCTGGGAAGGGTAGTTGCCGGGAGGCGGTGGGGTGGAGAAGAGTGAGGATGGTTAATGGGTACAAAAAAATAGAATAAATAATATCTAGTATTTGATAGCACAACAGGGCGACTATAGCCAATAATAATTTTATTGTACATTTTACAATAACTAAAAAAGTATAATTCAGTTGTTTGCAACACAAAGGATAAATTACTGAAGTGATGAATACCCCATTTACCCTGATGGGATTATTATGCATTGTATGCCTGTATCAAAATATCTCATGTACCCCATAAATATTTACACCTACTGTGTACCCATAAAAATTAAAACTTAAAAACAAATGAACTCAAAATGGATCACAGACCTAAATGTAAATCACAAAGTACAAAACTCCTAGAAAATAACATAGGAGAAAATCTACATGATCTTGGGTTTTGAGATGACATTTTAGATATGGCACCCATTACAATCAATAAAAAAAGAACTGACAGCTGGATTTTATTCAATTTTCAAAAATTCTTTTCTGCAAATGACCCTGTCAAGGGACAAAATGCAGACTGAGAGAAAATATTTGCAAAAGAGATATCTGACAAAGTGTTGTTATCCAAAATATACAAAATACTCTTAAAACAATGATAAAACAAACAGCTCAATTAAGCAATGAGCCAAAGGCCTTAACAGACATCTCACCAAAGTAGATAAAGTAGATGCACACATGACAAAAAAGTATATGAAGCCGTGGTCCACATCATATGTCATAAGTGAAATGCAAATTGAAACAATAATGAGATACCTGACATACCTATTAAAATGGCCAAAATCCGTAACACTGACAACACTGACTACTGGTGAACATGTGGAAAAACAGGACCTTTCATACATTTCTGGTGGGAATGCAAAATAATATAGCCACTTTGGAAGATAGTTGGGAGTTTCTTACAAAACTAATCATACTCTTACCAGATGATACAGCAGTGACGCTCTTAAATATCTACCTAAAGAAGTTGAGAATGTGTCCACAACTGCTTTGGGTAGATATTTAGGAGCGTCACTGCTGTATCATCTGGTAAGAGTATGTCCAAATCCATAGAAGGTACAACACCAAGAAATAACCCTAAAATAAACTATGGTCTTTGAAAATAATGTGTGTCAAAATACATCCATCAATTGTAACAAATGTGTCCCTCTGGTGGGGCATGTTGATAATGGGGGAGTCTGTACATGTGAGGAAAATGGGGGTATATGGGAAAATGAGAACTTTCCATATTTTCTGCTCTATTTTTCTGTGACCCTAAAACTGTTCTAAAAAATAAAGATTATTAGAGACTTAGCATGTGAAAAGAGCCCAAAGCTAATGAGAAAATACAATGACACTGAGGAATTCTGATTATTTCAGCATTACTGGCTCTTGAGGATAAGACAGTGACAGCAGTGAGCAAAAAGAGGAGGAGAAATGAGGCTAGAGAGAAAAACATAAGTGTGATGAAACTTAAAGGGCATTGTAACAAGCTTGGCATTCATTTTGAAAGAAATGGATTGTCATTAAAAGATTTTCAACAGAGGAGTATAATTCTGGTTGCATCACAGAGAATGGTTTGGATAGATGGAAGACTGGAGGCAGGGAAGCCAGAGAGGAGACTGTTGCAATGATCTAGCTGACACAGGTTTTGAGCATGGAATAAGGAATGGAGAGGGGAGATGATGAGATCACTGCTATCTTTGTTCTATATAACCTCCACTTCTACCCATAGTTCTTTTTCTTTTTCCATACATAACCAGAATTTGAGGCTACCCTCTTTCCAACAAAAACAGTATTTAACTGGCAACCATATTTCTCTATTGTTCTCTCAAATTCATTCCTATCAGGACACCATTTCTTTTCAAATTTCCTAGATTTCACTGAAAGTTTCTTATTTAAATTTCACCAAATTTTAAATTGATCATGACTTTAAATATGTTAACTCACATTTCAACAGTACAGATTTTATAAAGTGTTGTACAAAATGGATGCCTCATAAATATTTTCAAACTATGATGAGGCTTAATTTTATTAATCTATTTTAAGTTCTGCAGTATGAGCACAATTAGAGTTTTGTTCTCTCTCAGCCACACATATATTTCACATGAAAGACATTTCAAAGTTATTTGATAATATGAACCAGAGGAATAAGTGAATTTAATGAAAAAATGTGAAACACTGTACTGCCCTTAGAAGGGAAGAAATACATGACCGAGAAAAGCTCACATTTCTTAAAAATGTCATTTGTCAACTCATTAATTATATTAATAGCTTGCATTTGTAAGGTACTTTAAAATTCTTTCACATTTATTATTCAATTTTAATTACAATAAAAATAATTGTAAAAATTTTAGTTTGTAACAGGCTGCATGGATCTTAATGTGGAACTAACACTCATTATCTCCAGGATCCTGTAATGTGTGCAGGGATTAGGAAGACATTAGCTGAATACCTACTGTGTGTTCATGATTATTCTCAAGATTATTCTCAATGCACTGACAAATAGTAATGGTTTGCATAAAGTCCCTCCCTTGATTGTCTAACAATTCCATCTTTCCCACTGGCCAGGGACAAATTGTTAAATAAAATGTATCATTTACTATTAGCAAGAAAATAGCCTGAGTATACAGAGACACACTTTTTATTAAGTCTGGGATTCTGAGTCACAAAGAAGTCGAGATTTGCATTATAGATTTTCATTTCTAAGCAATTCCTAGGGGGAAAGACTCTCTCAAAATTTAAAGGAATTGCTTTAATGTTAATGTATAAAATTGACAAGACAAGATTTTCCTACGTTACAGTGTACATGACAATGTTTTTTATTTCTAAAATAGTTACTTATTGTTATACTGAGTGGAAATGTTAAGTCTCATATGACAGACAAATCTTAGTTTGTTCAGGAACTGATTAATCAGGTAGGATTTTCTTTTGAACTTTCAATTCCTTGATTTTGTCCATATTCCTATTTCTTATTATTTCTACAAGTAGATGGCTAACAACGCAGAGAAAAGTTGTAAGAAGTCAATTGTATTGAATGCCTTCCTAAATTTTTCCTTCGATTTTTTCTTTAAACTAAGTATATTTCACTGAGAGGTGAAAAGATTTGTGAACATCTGGGTCCTAGTCTGCTGCCACCTGTGACGATCTGCATTAATCTTTAGATCCTTTCCCTGTTCCCTAAAAAACACAGGCAAAGTTAATCAGTGACAAAGTTAATTAGAATTTAGTTCTCCTAAAATGTCTCATCATCAACAGCAATTCTATGTACCACTGGAAGATGCACTTAAGAGAGAGTGTCTGCAGTGATGCTTATCAAAGTAATTGAAAAAGGAGGGTGGGGGTGTTTCAGAATTAATCACTAAAAAAGTGCAAAAATCATCTCAAGTTTGTAGTGTGTTACGAATTGAATTGTGTCCCACAAAAAGATATGTTAAAGTTCTCGCCCCTGGTACCTGTAAATGTTAACTTATTTGGAAATAGTCTTTGCAGATAGAGGTCATTACAGGGGGCCTTCATCCAGTATGACTGATGTATTTATAAGAAGAGAAGAGACACCGACAGAGACACACCATGAGGCCATTATGTGATGACAGAAGCAGAAATTGAAATGCCTGCAGCTGAAAGCCAAGGAATACTAAGGATTGCCAGCCACTACCAGAAATCAGAAAGAGGCAAGGAAGCATTTTCTGCCCAGAATCTCAGGGGGAGTATGGCCCTGTTGACACCTTGATTTCAGACTTTCAGCCTCCAGAACAGTGACAAGATAGATTTCTGTTGTTTCTAGTCACTCAGTTTGTGGCACTTTGTTACAGCAGCCCTAGCAAACTAATACAGAATGTAAACAATACTTTTTTCAAGAGAATGAAAAACATGCAGGCATGTAATACAAGTCAGTAACTCCATGCTTCTAAGACACAGACTCGTTCAGATGGAAGAATGGTTGCTATTTTTTAATTAGCTGCCAGGAGACGGCTGCTCCTTAAATTTTTCTGACTCACTTGTTTTTAAAAGTAAACTTCAGGCCGGGCGCGGTGGCTCACGCCTGTAATCCCAGCACTTTGGGAGGCCGAGGCGGGCGGATCACGAGGTCAGGAGATCGAGACCATCCCGGCTAAAACGGTGAAACCCCGTCTCTACTAAAAATACAAAAAATTAGCCGGGCGTAGTGGCGGGCGCCTGTAGTCCCAGCTACTTGGGAGGCTGAGGCAGGAGAATGGCGTGAACCCGGGAGGCGGAGCTTGCAGTGAGCCGAGATCCCGCCACTGCACTCCAGCCTGGGCGACAGAGCGAGACTCCGTCTCAAAAAAAAAAAAAAAAGAAAAAAAAAAAAAAAAAAAAAAAGTAAACTTCATTTTGACATATTTGTAGTTCCACCCGCAATTGAACTATTTGGATATTGCTATATTTCTCTGAACTTCAGAAAGAGAGAGATCAACGGGTTAAGCAGAAAGGTATGCTTGATCCCATTATACGAGATTCTAGAATACAAGATAATGATTAAAGAGTGTTGAATGTTCTCACAAATAGAATTATGTCGATGATAATATGAATAATGTAGAGAAGAAAAAGAGGAAAGTACCCAAAGCAACCAGTGAAACTGAAAATTAAGCTTTTTGTTGAACCTAGAATTATAAAGTTTTATGATTGTGTCCAAGGTAAGTATGAGAAGAATGTGTAGGCGGGTAATGGTCAAAGTGAATTAAACTCTTAAAGAGATGGTAGAATTTTCATAAGTGACAAGAAAAAGCAGAAAATCTCATTCTTAAGTTGCGTTTTTTCAACATATGTCATAATTGCAGAGCATTAAAAATATTATTTAAAATAACTGAAAAAAAAACATGGGTGTATAAGGTGGCAAAGAGGATTGACCTGCCCTGAAGAAATCTGTCAATGGAATCACCAAACTTTACTATTCATGTATGAGGAATCATAGGGAACTATATGGATGTTGCCAAATTTTAGAGAATAATTGAAGAAGGTGGTGATATCTAACCTAGGAAATAGAAGGTGACAAAATAGTTTTCAAAATCACTGCCTTGGAATTTGGAGTGACGTCAGAAACATGGCATAAAAGGAAACTCCATGCACTTGTTCCCCCACAGGAAGGTATGTAGGTAGATAGATAGACAGACAGACAGATAGACGGACAGACAGACAGATAGGCAGATAGATGATAGATAGATATAGATAGATAGACAGACAGACAGACAGATAGATAGACAGACAGGCAGATAGGCAGATAGACAGACAGACAGACAGACAGATAGATAGACAGACAGATACATAGACAGATACATAGATAGACAAATATTGGCTAAAATAATTTTTTTCGGAGCTCCGAAAATAGTCAAAGGTCTATAGTGGTCAAATGAATGCCTAATCAAGAAAAAGCCACATTCAAAACATTAGGAAATGTGATGTTTTTACTCACTTTTGCCTCACCCATTTCCCAACGTGGCATAATGCAGCAGTGAAAAAGCAACAACCCAGTTCCCAATTCCTTCCCTCAAAATAGAGGGAGCAGAGCAGACATTTTTTCATTGTTCTAACTTGTCTGGGGGTGGCCTGAAAGACTGATTGCAGGACACAAAATCAATGCGCAAAAATCAGATCTCTTTCTGTACATCGATAATTGACATTCTACAAAGGAAATCAAGCAAACAATCCCAGTTATAAGAGCATCAAAAACATAAAATGCTTTGGAGTAAACAACCTAAGAGGTAAGACTTGTACACTGAAAACTATAAAATTCTGCTGAAGGAAAAAGAAAAATAAATAGAGAGATCTCTCATGTTTATGGATTAGAATACAATTTCTATTGTTATGATGTCAATACTACCCAAAGTGATCAACAGCTTCAGTACAATTCCTATCAAATTCAAATTTCTGATGACATTTTTTGCAGAAATAGAAAAATCCATGCTAAAATTCATATGGACTCTCAAGGGATGCTGAGTATTCAAGACAATCTTGAAAAAGGAGAACAAAGTTGAAGGTGTCAGATTTTCTGATTTCAAAACTTAATACAAAGCCACATAGTAATCAAAAGTGTGATACTGGCATCAAGACGGACACATAGGCTAATGGAATAAGGTAGATATTTCATAAATAAACCCTGCATATATGGTCAAAAGATTTTCTTCAAGGTGCAAAACATCTTTTTTGCACCTTGCAACACCTTGCAAAAAAGGTGTTTTGCACCTTTGGGAAAAGTGTTTTTCACCTTTAAGAATGGGGAAAGGAGGATCTTTTCAACAAATGATGCTGGGAAAACCATATCCACATGCATGAAGATGAATTTGGACTTTTACTTTATATCATATACAAAATTAATTCAAATAAAGACCTCAATGTATGAGCTGAAAATGTAAAAGCCTTAGAAGAAAACATATGCAAAAAGCTCCATGACATCGAATACAGCAACAATTTCTTAGTTATAGCCCCCAAAAGCACAGGCAACAAAAGGAAAATAGATAAATTGGATTTCATCAAATTTAAAACTTTTGTCATCAAAGGAAACTATTAACAGAGTGAAAAGGCAACTCACAGAATAGGAGAACATATTTTCAAATCAGGTCTCTAACAAGAGATAAATATCCAGAGTATACCAAGAACTCCTACAACTCAACACAAAAAAACAATCAATGCAATTTAAAAAATAGACCAAGAACTCAAATAGATATTCCCCCAAAGAAGATATACAATGGCCAGTAAACACATTAAAAGATAGTGGGTATCATTTATCATTAGGGAAAGGCAAATAAAAAACACAATGAGTGGCCAGGTGCAGTGGCCTATGCCTGTAATCCCAGCACTTTGGGAGGCCGAGGCGGGTGGATCACCTGTGGTCAGGAGTGTGGCAGTTCCTCAAAATATTAACCATAGAATTACCATATGATCTGGCAATTCTATTTTTGTGTATATACCCAAAAGAATTGAAAGAAAGGATTTGAAGAGATATTTGTACACCAATGTTCATAGCATCATCATACACAATAGCCAAAAAGTGGAAAGAACACACATGTTGATTGACAGATGACTGAATAAGCAAAATGCAGTACATATGTACAAAAGAATATTATTCAGCCTTAAAAAGGAATGAAATTCCAGCACATGCAAAAACCTGGGTGAACCTTGAAGACATTATGTTTAGTGAAATAAGCCAGACGCAAAAGGGCAAATATTATGTGATTCCACGTACATGAGCTATTCACAGCAGTCAAATTTATACAGGCAGAAAGTAGAATGGTGATTGCTAGGGATTAGGGGGAGATGGCAATGGGAAGAGTTTCAAAAATTTGGAAAGATGAAACTTTTCTGGATACAGATGATGGTGGTGGTTGCACAGCAATGTGAATGTAGTTATTGCCACTGAACTATATACTTATCAATGTTTAAAATGGTAAATGTTATGTATGTTTCACTACAATGCAAAAAATTCAGTGGAGACTGAGGGTAGAGAAAAGATTGACCGAAAGGTGCCATTAGGAAAGTTTTAGTAGTGATAAAAATGTTCTACATGTTTACTGCAGTGGTAGTTGAGGGTGTATGCTTTTATGTATTCATTGAGTACATTTTATCTGGTTTAATTTTATTGTATGCAAATTATACCTGAGTAAAGTTGATTCAAAAAATTCTTAAAAATATCACTTGCCTTTAAATTTAAAAAAAGGATTAGACTGAATCAGGATAGGAGTTGAGAACAGAAGTGGACAGAGGCTACAGAGAGGCATATGTCTTCTCTATATACAGGATGCATTGCTTAATAATGGAGCATTGTTAGGAGATATCATCATTGTGGGAACATCACAGAGTGCACTCAACACAATCTTAGATAGTATAGCCTGTCGCTTCTAGACTACAAACATGTACAGTATGTTACTGTACTGAATATTGCAGGCCATTGTAACACAATGGTATTTGTGCATCTAAACATAACTAAACATAGAGAAGGTACATTAAAAATATGTTATGAAAGATAAAAAATGGTACACTTGTATAAGGCACTTACTGTGAATGGTGCTATCAGGATTGGAAGTTGTTCTGGGTGAGTCAGTGAGTGAGTGGTGAGTGAATGTGAAGGCCTTGGACATTACTGTACTCTACTGTAGAATTTATCAACACTAGACACTTAGGTTACACTAAATTAATAACAAAACTTTTCTTTCTTCAATACTAAATTGCCCTTAGCCTACTGTAACTTTTATACTTGATAAACTTTTAATTTTTTTTTTTACTTTTTGACTGTCTTGTAAAAACTCTTACCTTAAAACACAATCATATTTTACAGCTGTACAAAAATATTTTTTTTATATCCTTATTCTACACAATTTTTAATTTTTTAAAACTTTTTAAACATTTTGCTAAAAACTAAGACACACACACACATTAGCCTAGGCCTATATGGGATCAGGATAATCAATGTCACTCTCTTCCACCTCCACATCTTGTCACACTGGAAGGTCTTCAGGGGCAATAACACACACGGAGCTGTCAGGTCCTGTAACAATGACTTTTTCTGGAATAACTCCTGAAAGTCTGTACCTGAGGCTGTTTTACAGTTAATTTTTTTAATAAGTAGAAAGAGTACACTCTAAAATGATAAGAAGTACAGCATAGTAAATACCTAAACCAGTAGTATAATCATTTATTTTCCTCATCAAGTATTATGTGCTATACGTAATTGTATGTGCTATACTTTTATATGACTGGAAGCACAGTAGGTTTGTTAATACAATCATCTAACAATGTAATTGAGTTCTTGCTACAAACCAAGCATTGTTCTAAACCATTTTATATATTATCTAAACTAATACTCACAAAATAGCTCTAATGTTAGGTACTATTATTGCCCTCATTTTTAAGATGAGGAAACCAAAGCTTAGTTTCAACAGTTTCCCTAATGCCTTATATAGATAAGTAGTGGATTCTAATGTATATATTCCATTTTGAGAGCAAAAGTTATTAATCAGTATACTACAGTGCTAAATAGAGATTTTCGTAAATATAACTGCCATGCCAACGAATTGCCTCCAATTCCTGGAAGTATCTGGGCAGCTATTGAGGAGCTATCAGTCAAAGAAATTATAGAGCAGGCATCAGCAAACTAAGGCCAGCTATGAAATCAGGTCCCGCCAGTTTTTGTTGTTGTTTTTTAATTGTGATGTAATTAACATGCCATAAAATGTAGCCTTTTAAAATGATGTTATATTTAGTGGTTTTTAGTATATTCACAAGGTTGTGCAAATATCACCACTATATAGTTCCCGAATCTTTTCATGACATCCAAAACGAAACGCTATATTCACTAGTACTCACTCTTCACTATCCTCTTGCCTTACCTCCTAGCAACAATTAATCCACTTTCTGTCTTTTTGCCTATTCTGAAAATGTCATAAAAATGACATATGCTATGTCTTTAAGTTCACTAATATTTTCTTTTCTGGCTTTGAGTCTGCCGTGAATCCTACCCAGTGTATTTTTTGTCTTAAATATTGTAGTTTTCTTCTTTAAAAGTTTTATTTGGGTATTCTAATATCTTCCATGACTCTACTTAACACCTGTCTTTTTGAATATATAAAAAATTATTATAAGTGCCGGGTGTGGTGGCTCACACCTGTAATCTCAGCCCTTTGGGAGGCCAAGGCAGGCGGATCACCTGAGGTCGAGAGTTCGAGACCAGCCTGACCAACATGGAGAAACCCCATCTCTACTAAAAATACAAAATTAGCTGGGCGTGGTGGCATGTGCCTGTAATCCCAGCTACCCAGGAGGCTGAGGCAGGAGAATCGCTTGAACCTGGGAGGTGGAGGTTGCGGTCAGCCAAGATCACACCATTGCCCTCCAACGTAGGCAACAAGAGCAAAACGCCATCTCAAAAAAAAAAAAAAAATGAAAGCACACAATAAATGACTTTTTGTGACTGGCTTTTTTCACTTGGCATAATGTTTTTAATGTTCATCCATGTTGTAGCATCAGTATTGTATTCTTTTATATGGCTGCATAATATTCCATTGCTTGTATATACATTTTGTTTATCCATTTATCAGTTAATGGACATTTGGGTTGCTTATATTTTTGGTGTTATGAAAATTAAAGCTATGAACATTCATGTACAAAATCGTGCTTGAACCTGTGTTTTCAATTCTCTTGGGTATAGTCTAGGAGTGGAATTGTTGGATCATAAGGTAACCCTTATGTGTGATACTGGCAGTTTAACAAATGAGGAACTGCCGCACTGTTTTCCAAAACTACTGCACTATTTTGTATAACTCTGGGCAATATGTTAGGGGTCCAATGCCTACAGATCTAACATTTGTTATTGTCTATCGTTTTGCTTATAGCTGTCCTAGTGGATGTGAAGTGATATCTCATTGTGATTTTAGTTTGCACTACCCTAATTTATAATTATGTCGAGCATCTTTTCATGTACATATGGACCATTTTATTTGTATAAATGTTTATTCAAATATATTATTATTTTGAGTTGGTTATTTGCTTTTATTGATTTGTAAGAATTCTTTATAGATTCTGAATATTTGACCCTTATTAAACATATAATTTGCAAATGTTTTCTATAATTCAGTAGTTTGTCTTTTCACTTCTTTGAGAATGTCCTTTGATGCACAAACACTTTTAATTTTACTACCGTCCAATTTATTATTTTTTGATTGTATGTTTTTAGGTGTCATATGTAAGAAATCATTGCCTAATCTAAGGTCACAAACATTTACACCTATATTTTCTTCTAAGAAGCTTATAAATTTAGCTTTTACATTTAAGTCTTCAATCTAGTTTGAGTTAATTTTTGGATATGGTAGGTGGAGGTATCCAACTTCCTTTGTTTGTATGTGGAGATCGTTTCCCAGCTCCGTTCTTTAAAAAGACTATTCTTTATTCATTGTATTTTCTTGATACCCTGGTAGAAAAACATAAATGTCCATTTCTAGACTCTATTCCATTGGTCTATGGGTCTATCTTTATGCCAGTAGCACAGTGTTGATTACTGTGACTTTGTAGTAAGTTTTGAAATCAGGAAGTGTGAGTTTTTCAATTTTGTTATGTCTTTTCAAGGTTGTCTTTGGTATTCTGGATCACTTGAATTTTTTGACTTTTAGAATCAGCTTGTCAACTTCTGCAAAAAGCCAGCTGTAATTTCGATAAGAATTGCATTCAATCTACAGATCACTTTGAGGGTTATTGGTATCTTAGTAATATTAAGCCTTCTTATTCATAAACACAAGATGTTTACCATCTATTTAGTTTCTCTTTAATTTCTTTCAATGATGTCTTTTAGTTTTCATTGTACAAGTCTTGCATTTCTTTTAGTTAGAGTGATTCTTAACATTTGACTCTTTCATACTGTTGTAAATGACTTAATTTTCTGATATTTCGTTGCTAGTGTACAGAAATTCAACTGACAGGTATATTGATTTTGTATCCTTAAATCTTGCAGAAGTCATTTATGAGCTCTAATCCTTTGTTTTATAGATTCCTTAGGATTTTCTATATACAAGATTATGTCATCTGCAATAGAAATAGATTTTTTAAAAATAATTACAACTTTTATTTTAGACTCTGGGGGTACATGTGCAAGTTTGTGAAATGGATGTATTGCATGATGCTGAGGTTTGGGATATGAATGATGCTGTCACCCAGGTAGCGAGCATCGCACCCAGTAGTTAGTTTTTCAAAACTTGCCTGCCTCTCCCCCATATGGTACCCCTGAGTGTCTATTGTTTCCATCTTTATGTCCATGAGTACCCACTGTTCAGCTCCCACTTATAAATGACAATATTATTTGATTTTCTGTTCATGTGTTAATTTGCTTAGGATAATTGCCTCCAGCTGCATCCATGTTGCTGAAAAAAACAAGATTTCATTCATTTTTATGACTGCATAGTATCCCACGGTGTACATGTACCACATTTTCTTTATCCAATCCACTTTTGGTCTGTGCCTAGTTTGATTCCATGTCTTTGCTATTGTGAATGTAGGTGTGATGAACATACAAGTGAAGGTGTCTTTTTGGTAGAATAATTTATTTTCTTTTGGATAAATATCCAGTAATAGGATTGCTGGATCGATTAATAGTTCTGTTGTTAGTTCTTTGAGAAATGTCCAAACTGCTTTTCACAGTGGCTGAACTAATTTACATTCCCACCAACTGTGTGTAAGTGTTCCCTTTTCTCTGCAGCCTCACCGGCATCTGTTATTTTTTGACTTTAATAATAGCCATTCTGACTGGTGTGAGATGGTATCTCATTGTGGTTTGGATTTGCATTTCTCTAACGATTAGCGATGTTGAGGCCCTTTGCATATGTTTGTTGGCCACTTGCGTGTCTTCTTTTGAGAAGTGTTTGTTCATGTATTTTGCCCATTTTTAATGGGGTTGTTTTTTGCTTGTTCAATTGTTTGTTAAAAATTCTGGATATTAGACTTTTGTTGGCTGCATAGTTTGTGAATATTTTCTCCCATTCTATAGGTTGTTTATTTACTCAGTTTATACTTTATTTTGCTGTGCAGAAGCTCTTTAGCTTAATTAGGTTCCATTGGTCAATTTTCATGTTTGTTGCAATTGCTTTTGAGGATTTAGTCATCAATTCTTTCCCAAGAACAATGTCCAGAATGGTGTTTCTTCAGTTTTCTTCTAGAATTCTTATAGTTTCAGGTCTTACATTTAAATCTTTAATCCATCTTGAGTTAATTTTTGGAAATAGTGAAAGGTAGGGGTGCAGTTTCATTCTTTTGCATATGGCTAGTCAGCTATTCTAGCACTATTCATTAAATAGGGAGTACTTTCCCCATTGCTTATTTTTATTAACTTCTTTAAATGTTTGGTAGAATTAACCATGGAAAGCCATCTGGTTCTGGGCTTTTCTTTAGTAGGAAGTTTTTACATTTCTAATTTAATCTCTTTGCTTGATATAGTTCTATTTAGGTTCTTCTTGATTCAGTTTCAGTAGTTTTGCATTTCTAGGAATTTTTTCATTTTATCTAAGTTGTACAATTTGTAGATATAAAATTGTTCATAGTATTTTCTTATAATCCTTTCTATTTTTGTAAGGTTGCAAGTAACATCTCTGCTTTCATTCCTTATTCTAATAATGTGAGTCTTCTCTCTCTCTTTTCTTGGTCACTCTTAGCTATAGCTTTGTCAAATTTGTTGATCTGTTTAAAAAAACATGTTTTGAGTCATTTCTTTTCTCTATTGGTTTTTTTCTTCTGTATCACATTTATCTTCTCTCTAACATTTATTATTACCTTCATTCTGCTTCTTTTGTGTTTAATTAGCTCTTTGTTTTCTAGTGTTGTAAGATGGGAAGTGAGGTTATTGATTAGAGATTGTTCTTCTTTTTAAATATTGTTTTCAGCTATAAATTTCCCTCTAAGCACTGTTATAAAACCCTGCTATAGTTTTAGTTTTTATTTATCTCAAAATATTTCCTAATTTCTATTGTAATTTTAATTTGACCCATTGGTTATATGAGAGTGCATCATTAAATTTCTGCATATTTGTGAATTTATCAAATTTCCTTATTTTTATTTCATTTTGGTCAGAGAATATGCTTTGTCTGACTTCAATTATTTTAAATTTATTGACTATTGTTTTATGGTCTATTCTTAAGAATGTTCCATGTGCACTAGAGAAGGATGTCCGTTTTGCTGTTTTTAGAGTGTTCCACAGGTTTCTATTAGGCCTAGTTGCTTTGTTGTCTTGTTTAAATATGTTTTTCTTTATTGCTATTCTGTCTAATTGTTCTATCCATCATTATAAGTGAGATATTGAAGCCTCCAACTATTATATTAAATTGTCTATTTCCCCCTTCAAAGAATGAAGTTTTTACTTCATGTAAAAACTTACTACATGTTTATAATTATTACAACTTCTTTGTGGGCTAAACTTTTTATCATTATAAAATGTTCCTTATTGTCTTAGTAACAATTTTTGTCTTAAAGTCTGTTTTGTTTGATACCAGTATTGCCATTCCAGCTCTCTTTTGACTACTATCTTCTTGGCGTATAATTTTTCTTCCTTTTACATTCAACTTATTTGTACCTTGAGTCTAAATTATGTCTCTTATGGAAAGCATATCATGTTTCTAAATTAACTCTTTCAACCTCTGGCTTTTGATTGAAGTGTTGAATTCATTTAAATTTAGTATAATTACTGATAGAATTTACATCTTCCATTTTGATATATTTTCATGTCTTATGTCTTTTTTCGTCCCTCTATTCTTCCATTGCTGTCTCCTGTTAAATAGATATTTTTTATTGCATCATTTTAATTCCCTTGTCATTTGTTTTAATATGTTTTTAAAAGTTATTTTACTAATTGCCCTGGGGATTGCAATGAACATCTTAACCCATAACAGTCTAGTCAAATTAATACCAATTTTAATAATATATCAGAACTTTTATCCTATACCTCTCTATTCCCACTGCCTTTCATTGTGCTATTACACAGAAATTAATTTTTATAATTCTGTATCCATCAACATGGATTTATAATTATTGGTTTATGTGGTTGTCTTTTATATGAGATAAAAGAAGAAAAATATAACAAGCAAGAATACGTTTTGTCTCTTATGTTTACCTATAGCTACCTTTAGCAATACTACTCATGATTTCATGCAGATTCAAGTTATTGTCTAGGGTCCTTTCATCTGATCCTGAAATTACTGTCTGGTGTCACTTTCTCTCAACCTGAAAAACTACCTCTGGTATTTCTTGTACAGCAGGTCTACTAGCAATGAATTATTTTCCTTAGGAACGTCTTAAGTTTTCACTTATTTTTTGAAGTATGGTTTTGCTAGCTATAGAATCTTTGGTTGAAAGTCTTTTTTTCTCAGTACCTTAAGTATGTCATCCCATTGCCTCTGGCCACATCATTTCCGATGAGAAAGCAGCTGTTAATTTTATTGAGGATCCCTTAAACATGAGTCACTTCTCTCTTGGTGTTTTCAAGATTCTCCATGCCTTTGGCATTCGACCATTTGACTAGGATGTGTCTCTTTGTAGATTTCTTTTTTTTTTTCATCTTACTTGAGATTTGTGGAGCTTCTTGGATAAATTTATTAATGTTTTCTATCCAACTTAAAAAGAGTTTGACTATTATTTATTCACATTTTTTTTCTGCCCAGTTTCTTTTTCTCCTCTATGGTTTTTCATTACATAAATGTTGTCCTTAATGTTGTGCCACAGCTCTGTAAGTCTCTATTCACTTTTCTCCATTCTTTTTTCATTCTGTTCCTTACACTGAATGCACTCAACTGACCTTTCTTCCCACTATCTTATTCTTTTCTCTGCCTGCTTAAATCTGGGGTAAAATTCCTTTAGTTAATTTTTCATTTCAGTTATCATATTTTTCAACTGAAGAATTTCTACTGATTTTTCAGAACTTCTTTTTATTGATATTCTCAATTTGATGGGACATCATTCTTGTATTTTCTATTAGGTCTATAAACATGTTTTATTAAAAGTTATTTAGATATACTTAAAACAATTGAAGTCTTTGTCTAGCACATACAATGTCTGAGCATCCTCAGGGAGACATTATATTAATTGCTTTTTTCCTTTGTGTATGAGCCATATTTTCCTGTATATTTGCTCATCTCATAAGTTTTTGTTGAAAACAGGACTTTTCAAATAATCTAATGTAGCAACTTTGGTAATCAGATTTTCTCCATTTCCCAGGGTCTCTTGCTGTTGCTGTTAGTTGTTATTTGTTTCTTCAGTTACTTTTCTACACTAATTCCTTAAGCCTATATTGTTTATTCTGTGTCACGACTGAAATTTTTGCTAAGTATAGTGGTCATATGGCACCAATAATTTTCCTAGTCCTTGCCAAAGGGCTTTTGTGCATGTTTGGGCCCAAATTCAACACTCAGCCAGGCAATTGAAAACTCCATTTTATCCCTCACTGCCTGCTTGTGTAATGTCTTAAGTTTAGCCAGAAGTGAGAGCTTAAGACCTTGTCATATCTTTCTTGGACATGCAAACAGCTTTACAAAGGCATGTGGCCTTCTACATTCTCGGGAACACATCTGAGCTTTCAAAGCCTCTTTGGTCATCTTAATTCCTAGATTTTAAGGTTTTTGGATAGTTTACCTCAGGCAGCCATGAAGTTAATCAATTTCCTCTCATTTTTATTTTTCGGAACAAATGTCCCTAAGAAAAAGGCTTTTCAAACTGTGCAAGCTCCATGTCTAGTCAAATAAAGAAGGCTTTGCAAGTAGAGTCTTCCAGTTACCAGAAAGATCAAATAATGACAGTGGGATAGAACTTTGAAGAGGCTTCAGATCCATTCTGCCTCCTGGCTGTGAGGCTGTCTGTTTCCAACAAGATTGAGGACCTTAGATTTTCAAGCCTACTGTGGAGGTGGAGGAGGGAAAGATAGGAATAGGGTGAGTTAAAATGGCACAAACTTACTGTTCTTACTAAGACTCAGCTTTTTTTCTCTCAAATAAAACCATTCTTCAGATTGCTGCAAGCTTTCGGTGAATCTCCATTGTTCTGAGAACGTTGATTCTGCTGTCTCTGTTTTCTCATTGATTTTATGGAGGAGAAAATTTTCAGAGATTCTAACTCCATCATTTTTACTGACCTCCCTCTGTTTTTATAAATAATATTTTATTGGGACCGTGAACTCAAAAGTATCTGAGACAGATCTCAATTTAGAAAGTTTATTTTGCGAAGGTGAAGGACATGCGCATGACACAGCCTGATGACATGTGCCCAAATGTGGTTGGGGCACAGCTTGATTTTATAGATTTTAGGGATACATGAGACATGAATCAATATGTGTAAGATGTACATTGGTTCTGTCCAGAAAGGTGGAACAACTCGATGCAGAGGAGGCGGCTTCCAGGTCATAGGGAGATAAAGACAAACGGTTGCATTTTTTTTTAAGTCTCTGATTAGCCTGCTACTGAATACACAATTTGCATGTGAGAGGAGGGTAAAGACATAGTCACTTATGCCTTAGTCTGGCTTAGGGAAACAATAGGGCAGAGGAAGTGATCAAATACGCAAATACGCATTTGTCTCACATGAGCAGAAGGATGACTGTTTTATCCATCCTTTGTCCACAAGGAATTTTTTTTTTTTTTTTTTTTTTTGAGACAGAGTCTTGCTCTGTCGCCCAGGCTGGAGTGGTACGATCTCGGCTCACTGCAAGCTCCACCTCCCGGGTTCACGCCATTCTCCTGCGTCAGCCTCCCGAGTAGCTGGAACCACAGGCGCCCGCCACCACGCCAGGCTAATTTTTTGTATTTTTAGTAGAAACGGGGTTTCACCGTGTTAGCCAGGATGGTCTCGATCTCCTGACCTCGTGATCCGCCCCCCTTGGCCTCCCAAAGTGCTGGGATTACAGGCATGAGCTACCGCGCCCGGCCTGTCCACAAGGAATTTCTTTGTGGGCAAATTGTGTGGGAAGTAGGTAGCTTTTTCACCTTTGTAGCTATCTTATTTAGGAATAAAATGGAAGGCAGGTTTGCCTGATGTCGTTCCCAGCTTGGATTCCCTTTGCTTTAGTAATTTGGTGGTCTCAAGATGTACTTTTTTTCAAGGGCACGGTAGTGTTCATTCATTTTGTGTATTATTTCGCATTACAATGGGAGAACTGAAGAGTCATGACAGACTGTATGCCCTCAAAGTCTAAAATATTTACTATCTTGTCCTTTACAGAACAAGTCTTCCAACTTCTATTATATGACATTTTTATATTGTTTTGGAAGTTAGACTAGTTCAGTTGCTCCTAACCTAGGTTCCCATCAAAATCATTTGCGATGCTGGCTTAAAACTCAGATTTGAGGGCCCCACACTCAGAAGTCTGATTCAGTGGGTATGGAGTACAACCAGCAAGTCTGTGTTTTTTAAAATGCCTCAGGAATCCTGATGCAGATAATTATATTATTAGGAACAAATGAAGTAACTGGTTTCTCGTATTCTTTCTAAATGTATGATTCTGTATGTTAGATTTCCAATAGCAAGCCCTAGTAACATCAAATGGGGAAAATAGTCATATGCTCATTATCAAGCATTGTGTTTTCACTCCTATTATCAACAAAAGTTCCATTTTGTTTAAATGGATTCATCTCTAGTTTATTACAGTCAATAGTCCATGGAGGAAGAATTAATGGACCTGAAAGCCTGAATTTTTCCAAGTGTGTGTGAATTGCCCTTTACTGACATTTTCTTTCAAGGACCCAAACTTACTCAATTTTCTTACTTGACTGACAGATCTCAAGAAGGCTCAGGGCCCTATCTAAGATAATAAACTGTTCTTTTTAAATAATATAACATAATTACAAGTAAGCCTCTAATTAATACAATTTGCAGTAGAGGCTCTCTTTTTATAAATCCATTTCATGTGTATGAAATACACATAGTTATGAATACTTTATTTGATGAATGGGCACTAACAGAGGGACTTACTCATATATGAGAAAAGGCCACTCAAGTTTATGTATTCTTGCTCTGAAGCCCTTTTCCAATACTCCCTGTTCCTAAAAGTCTTTACTAATAAAGTTGACTGATTTTAAGGTATTATTTAACTAAATTTATCCCTTGAAACAGATAAGCAAATTATTTAAATATGTCCTTAAAACCCCAGAATTACTCTTTAAGTTAAATATCAAAAATCTCTAAGAATAAATACTTTTATGTGGGTGGCTAGGGAGTTTAATGAATTTTGATTCCCTAGGCCCACAATTACTAAAGGATTAAAGTGGATTAATTATACACAAAGTTTCATTTTTTGCTTAACAAAAGATAAATAACCAAAACTACCTAAAATTGTACTTGTCTCAGAAGGATGCTTAAGCCAGTTATGACATCGAAGGTAACTTTCGTTTGGCGAGTAATAAAAATTATTACCAAGAATTATGGAATAGCCCGTAAGTAATTCAATAAATCACTAACTTTCTAATTTGGGAAAATTTTTCTTCATTGTAAATACAACTATTTCTCACTATTTAATGAAGAAAAAGTGGGTCCAAATAAATTGTATTAGTTTGGTAGGGCTGCCATAACAAAATACTACAGAATGTGTGACTTAAACAACACAAATTTCTTTTCTTACAGTTCTGGAGGCTGAAAGTCCAAGATCAAGGCATTGGCAAGGTTGATTTCCTCAGAGGTCTCTCTCTTTGGCTTGCAGATGGCTGCCATCTTGCTGTCTCTTCACAAGGTTGTTCCTCTGTGGACACACACCCCTGGAGTCCCTTCCTCTTCTTATAAGGACCCCGGTCATATTGGATTAGGGCCTTACCCTAACGGCCTCATTTTGACTTAATCCCATTTTTAAAGGCCTTACCTTCAAATACAGTTACATTCTTAGATACTGAGTGTTAGAGCTGCAACATATGAATTTTATGTAAATATAATTCAGCCCATAACATGGCTGATGACATAGTAAACTATAATTTACAAAATTAATGTTTATCTGGGCCTGTGAATCTTCTTAAAAGTCACGTAAATGAAAAATATGTAGAAAATAGAGGAAAATGAGGTCAGATCATACAGGAATGATGGAACCAGTAAAGTGAATATTTACAGAAAGTTAGAGTGGAAATCTACTTCATGCAATAGCAGTAGGACCAATGTAGAAATGATAAAGTTCATCACCTAAGTAGTGCTTTAACTGTATTCTACAAGCTAGGTGTAGTGTTTTCATTATCATCTACTCCCAATTATGTGCCCACTTTCTTTCTGATTGTCTGTGGTCCATTAATTATTTGAGAAGTGCCTTTTAAAAAACTTCCAAACAAACGAGATTTTAGCCATCTTTCCATTACTGATTCTAAATTTTAATACACTGTGGTCATAGAATGTGGTCAGCATAGTATTTATGTTTGGTATTTATTAAAAACTGTCTTAGGAATAGGCTATGTGTGCTTGAAAATAATGAATATTTGTAAATTATTGGGGGCACAGTTTTATATATATATATATATATGCACACTAGACTAAACTGTTTAATTGAATTATTCAAATATTTTAGGCTATTATAAATTATTGGTGTACTTAATCATTCAATGTCTGAGAAAGACGTTAAAATTTTTTCCAGTATGACTGTGGACTTAACAACATCTGCATATATGTATAATAATTTTTCCTTATACACTTTGAGGCTATACTGTTTAAGGAGAACAGGCCCAGAGTTTTACAACTTCCTAGTGAAATGTTCCTTATGATTTTTAAGTAAAGATGATCTTTATCTTTTAAAATGCCTTTAATCTAAAAGTCTATTTTGATATTTTTGCTGGGCCGATTTTTTTTTTGGATTGCATCTATCTAGTGTATTTTTTCTTATTCTATACTTTTTTATTTTTGTATTTAAATTTTATTATGAAAACATTCAAGCTTGCAAAAATCAGATAGGTCTAATAAGCTGTCATGTAATTATCTCCATGCTTAAATAGTTGTCCACATTTTGCAAATCTTGTTCTGTCTGTCTCACACCTTCATATGTATCTAGGCACCTTATACATTACAGAAAAAACAGGATATTTTATCCCAGATCATACTCTTTCCAGCTTATTTTTTTCTAGTATTTTAGTCCCTCCTGGTTAGACAGCCACCAAAGTAATTATTATTAAGAGTGGTTTTCACAGTCAGTGCAAAGTTAACATACACATTTACTAATTTCTTTATTCACCAGTGCTTCTTACATTCAACTCATTTTTTTTTTCTGGGGTTCAGTTTTCTTCTTCCCAGGGTAAAACACTGGTAGCTTTAGAATAATTTGAGCTGAGGTATTGGCTATTAATTATAGAAGAGAGAGAGTACAAGCAGATAAAAGGTTTTTACACTATTCCTGTTGTGAAACCCTACGAGTCTGAACTATGGTGTTGCCAATGGAAATGAAAAAGAAGTGGTGAATCTGAGAGACATTACAGGAGTGACTGATTAGATATAAAGGGGGCTGTCATCTAAGGTAAATTTTTTTTTTTACTATATTTTTGGTGAAGTCTCAACCTCTATTCAGAAACACATGAAGAATATTTTTAACCGTGGACATACTAAATTTGAGCTGTTTGGGAGACATTTGGGTAGTAAGCGTTCTATAGACATTTGAAAATGAGCCTGTCTTAATGTAGAAAGTTGAATATGGAGATACACAATTGACAAAAGGAGAACATTGTTGTCCAATATTCTAAATTCACCTCATCTTCTCCACCACCTTCTGAACATGTACATACATCTGTCTTTACTTCCCTGGGGAAGGCGGGGTAGGGGGTGCTTCATTAGATTATCTCTGGTCATCTAATATATCTTAATTTGACAATGGTTTCAAATATTGTTATTCAAAATGCTGTCTGTAGACCAGCAATAGAACTTGGAAGCTTGTTAGAAGTGCAGAATCTCAGCCCTGTCCCAGGCCTTGTAATTCAGAATCTGTATTTTACCAAGATCCACAGGTAATTCAATATGTACATTGATTGTTGAGATTCACTATTTTGAGGTAGTCTTAGAGCTGGCCTTGTTTGGGCATATGACTAGCTCCGAACATATCTCTTCACCTGATTTTACTTTTGAATGAGAAAAACAGATAAAAACATTCAGCCTGAAGGGTCAAAAATTGACATCATAGTTTTTCCTGAAAGTAGATTTGGGTAAGAATTAGGAGACATAATAGTAGATGCAGAGAATAAAAGGTAACTTTGAGGTGCCTGCAAAAGCCGACTTGTGGAAGCCTCTTTGTTAGATTACACATTAGCATTTCAGTTGTTGGATCATGAGGAGGTCTGGAAGTCCAATGGGAGGGGCCAAGCAGGCAGGGTAAATTTGTGGTGGAATATAACACCCAAGGGACTTAAACAGTTATTTGCTAAACCATGGGTAGTATTTCAGTATTGTAACAAATAGTATAACCTTACCCTGGGGAGTCAAGAAGGGAGCGGCTCAGGGATATTCATTTCATAGCCTAATGGCATATATTTCACAAACAGAGATTATCCAAGATAAAACTCTTGGTAGCAAATTTGTAAGGAAGAAATAGAGATATTTGGGGAACTTTTTGGAAATACCCCTTCAATTTCATATTTGAAGCAGCTACTGCTATTCTTATGTTTTTTTATTCTTATGTATGTTTTACTCCTGGAACTTTTATGCTACTGAGGAGGAGATATAATTTTCCCTCAACCCTCATAATTTAGTAGTGTGGAAAAACCCCTGTAATTAAAGACAAATTAACAAGAGAAAAACAAGCAAGTTTATTAATGCATGCAGTGTACATCACAAGGGAGGAACCTCAATAAAAGGTAACTCAAGGCAGTGGCTTAGAACTCTGGCTTCTATAGCATCTCCAATAAGGAACAATAAATTTGTAGAGAAAATACAGGATAAAAGAAAACAGCTTTATGCTTCCAAAGACAGGAAACTGTGGGAAGGTAAATGCAGTACATGGGAAGAAACTAATGGAATAAAGTTCATTTACAGATTCCCCGGGTGTCATTTCTGGGCCGATAAGAATTGTTCCCAATAAAAGAGAATTTACATCCTGTCTTTAGGATAGGGAGAGTTTTTCCTCTGGTTGCTGCTTCTTAATTGCCTTTACCTCAAAAATATTTTTATGCCAAAGAGGTATATTTTGGGGTGACATAGTCTGCATTCCTTTAGTACTATCAATTACACATCTTAGGGACTAAATATATTATAATTGGTTTTGACTTTTTGCCATCACTAAAATGAAAAAACTTCTACTCTCTATCCATATCTATATGCAAACACTTGGCACAAGGCCTGAGAAAACCAATGGGATATAATTACATCTGTTATATTCTCTCCTTATTTCAGGTGAGATACTATCATTGATTTTATGCCATGGGTATTAAAAAATAGTATTTTTCTTCAAAAGATATTATTTCATTTAAATTGGACAAATTACAACATGATTAATATTTTAAATTGCAAGACTAAATATAAAAACCAAAAATAACGTAGTAAACATAATCTAATCTACAAAAATTCAAACTAGAAAAATGGGCAGGAAACATCAGCTCTATGTTTGTTGCAGTGCTTGAAAGTTACTAAATAACAGAGTCAATTTGTGCTATTTACAAATTTACAAGTTTCCTTCTAGGCTAAATTTAGATGTTGTGCTTTAATGGATACAGTTCATAATGAAACAATAACATTTAATAAAATTTATATAATTGAGTAAATCATTGGTGCTTACATTTTTTGCTTAATATAAGTTGGAATATATGGCTCAGTGTAACAGACATTAAAACTGCAAACTAGGTGAAGTCCTCAATATATATACCAGAAAGGAGGAAATGAGGAAGAAATAAAAGTTGAATTGGGGCCATCATTCTAATCTTTACCATCTGCAGTAGATAGATGTGAGCCAGTGAAACATAAAGGTAGCCATTAATAGATTATAATATTAGTTCATGTCAGTTGGTGTTAAAATTGTCTGGAGGAAGGCTTGTGGTTTCAGCTCTAATGTGTAAAGAGCTTAGAAGTCATCACTACATTTCTTATAATAAGAAAAAGCTGAAAAAACTGAAAAGGACTTATTAGAGAGATGAATTTACAGGGCAAACACTAGCCCAAAACTTGGAGTGACAGTTGAACCCAGAGAGTTATAGCTGAGATTTGCTTACCTGGAGTAAAAGCTGCTGTAAGCCATAAACTCATAGAAACACTTAAATGGTGATTTTGATGAATTGCTAGAGACTGAATGTGGTATAGTGTAAAAATGAAAAACTCCTGGCGGCAGCAGTCTTAAGAGAGACACCTACACTTTTGTGGGCTTTATGTCTAGCAACCCCACAAGATTCTCACAGTATAGATTTAAGGAAGATCTCCTCAAGGGTCAAGCAAAGGGAACAAAAGAATAATCCTCATAAGATACTACAGAGCATTCTCCATAACAAAGTCCTACTCTCCAGAGGTAAAGACTTTACCAGAACATTTTCCCAGAGCCATGGGGGTAGAGTCATTCTCTGGCCTTCCTGTTTCACTTAAATTTGGAGATGGGATAAACATTTAAAAAAAAAACAATAAAAAACCACTTGTGAAGGTCATAGGCCAAAGACATAGGCCCACTAAAAACTGAGATTTAATTGGAAGATTATAGAATTCTTCCACTTCTCCATACCTTACCACCATTACAACAGAAATCCAGTATAATAATAATGACTACAGTTGAAAGAGTTGTAATATACAGAATCTCTATAAGGAAGAATACTTAGAAAAGGCCAAGGCAAGACTGGATGTGAAAATAAGGGCACTACAAGAATTTGAAGTCTTTTCACTTATAGATATAATGACTATTAAATACAGCCCAATTTTTAGCTACATTACCATCAATCTTCACATTAGAGACAGATTTACTTCAGTTCCTATTACTTAAAACATCATGCTCAGTCCTCAACAACAACAAAACTCAACAACAACAAAACACAAGGTACACCAAAAGGCAAGTGAAAACAGTCTGAAGAGGTGAAGCATTAGAATGGGGTTCAGATATGACAGAAATGTTGAGCTTATCATACAGAGAATTAAGATAGCTATGATTAGTATGTTAAGGGCTCTAATAGAATAGATAGCATGCAAGAACAGATGGATAATGTAAGCAGAGAGATGAAAACTCTAAGAGAAAATCAGAATTGTTAGACATCAAAAACACTGTAAAAGAAATAAAGCATGTATTTGATGGGCTCATTAGTGAATTGGACGAAGTGAGGAAAGAATCAGTGAGCTTGAACATAAGTCAATAGAAACTTCTCAAATGGTAATGCAAAGAAAAAAAGAATAAATAATAGAACATCCAAGACATGTGCAACAATTACAAAGGTATGATGCATGGGTAATTAGAAAGAATTGAGCAGAAGTAATATAACATAATTATATACGAGAACTATCCAAATAGGACAGACACCAAAGCAAAGATCAAGAAAGCTCAGAGAACACAAAGCAGAATAAACATCAGACATACTAGGCACTGAAGTATCATACTCAAATCGCAGAAAACCAAATATAAAGAGAACAACTTGAAAGAAGGTGGGAGCATGAAACACATTACTTATGTAGAAAAAAGAATAAAAATTATAGCAGACTTCTCATAAAAAAAACATGCAAGTCAGAAAAGAGTGGAGTAGGATATTTGGTGTTCAAAGAAAGAAACTACTAACCCAGAATTCAATATACAGTAATATAATTCTTCAAAAGCTAAGAAATAAAAGACTTTCTCAGACAAACAAAAACTGAAGGAATTCATCACCAGTATACTAGCAGACTTGCCCTGCAAAAAAGTTAAAAGATATTCTTCAGGCAGAAGGAAAGTGATATAGTTCAGGAACTTGGATCAACACAAAGAGAAAGAGTGTTGGAAAAAGAATAAATGAAGGTGAAATAAAATCTTTTCTTATTCTTATTCTTAAATAATTTAAAATATAAGTCTTTATTGTAATAAGAGAACAATGCATTGAATAATTTTAGCATGTAAATAAGTGAAATAAATGACAGCAACATCATAAGGAAAAGGTGGGGGAAATTGTGGATACTCTGTTAGTATGTATTGGCAGTACATGTAATATAGAATGGTATTATTTGAAGGTTGACTTAGATATGTAAATATATATATTATAAACTTTAGGAAAACTTCTATTTTTAATAACAATGATTGTTACACCAAGAGAGATTATACATAATCATATAAAATGTTCAATTAAAGCCAGATAAAGCAGAAAAAGAAGCCTCTGTCACGAATAAAAGCAATTACAAATGCATTTGATGTGAATCCACAATATTATTTCAAATATATCAATAATCATTTTAAATATTAGTGGTTCAAGTGCACCAATTAAAATACAGAGATTACCAGAGTAGGTTAAAAGACAAGACCGTAAGATATAATTCAATAACAAATCTGCTTAATTAGAGTGAGCCCTATGTGTTAAAAGTAGTGGGATGAAGAAAGATATATCATGCTAACACTAAGCAAAATAAACTTGAAGTACCTACATGAATTTCACAAAAACAAAATTCAGAGCAAAAACAAGTAATCAGTGATAAAAAGGATAGTACATAATGATGAAGGGATCAATTTTCTAAAAAGATATAACTATCCTAAACATGTATGCACCTAATAACAGAGCATCAAAATGCCTGAGGCAAAAACTGATAGAATTGAAGGAAAAATAAACAAATCTTTTATTAAAGTTAGGGATTTCATCAGCATACTTACAAACATCTCCATCAGTAATTGATAGATTATACTGGCAGAAAGTGAATAAGGATATATTTGACTTGAACAACACTATCAATGAATTGGATCTAATTGACTTTTATAGAACAACCCATTATCTTACAGAATTAGATGTCATCTTACCATACAATTTAGCAATCATGTGTCTAAGTATCTACCCAACTGATCTGATAATTTATGTCTGCAAAAAAAACCTTCATGTGGATATTTACAGAAGTTTTGTTTATAGTCATTATATTATCATACTCACCAAAGTCAACAAAACCTAGAAGCAACCATAATATCTTTCAATGGGTGAATGGATAGACAATGGATTAACATTCAGTGATAAAAAATAAATGAGCTATCAAAGTATAAAAAGTCAGGGATTAAACCTAAATTTATATTTCAAGTAACAGAAGCTAGTCTATAAAAGTTACATATTGTATTATTCCAATTATGTGACATTCTGGAAAAGGTAAACCCATTGAGATGGTAAACATTTCAGTGATTCCCTGCCATTTCAGTGATTCCCTGTGCAGACAGGGAGGTGGGGGATTAAATCACAGGGCTTTTTTTTAAGGAGTGAAACTGTTCTTTATGATACTATAGTGACCAATAGCACGTTAAACATCTTTGAAAATCCGTAGAATCTTCAAGTCCAGTACTACTATAAAGACACATGCACACATATGTTAACAAATGATAGTGATAGTGTATACCCTTAAAATGATGTGATGGGAGTTGTACTTTATTGCTGTGGTCTTCTTTCCCCAAAACTTTAATCTAATAATGAGAAAAATGCCAGATACATCCCAGCTGAGGGACATTCTACAAAGTACCTGGCCAGTACTACTTGAATTCTCAAGGGCTTCAAAAACATGGAAAGTCTGAGATGTCAGAGTCAGTAGAAGTCTAAGGAAACATGACAACTAAATGCAATAGGATCTGCTGGATAGGATTCTGTAACAGAAAAATAACCTTTGGAAAATTTGGAAAAATCTTAATAATGTACTTTAGTAACATTAATATATCAATATTGATTTATTAATTGTGGCAAATGTACTATAATAAGATGCTAATAATAGGAAAAACTGTGTGAAGGTGTACAAGAACTCGCTGAACTATCTTTGTAATAGCTCTATAAATCTAAAGCTGTTCTAAAATAAATTTTTTTAAGTTTATTTTAAAAATGTGACCTGAGACATATATATGTATCTGTGCCAGATTTAAACTTCACGGCCCCTCACCTGAACAAACACACTTTCCAAGGCCCTAAAATCAATATGCTTACATGGTCTCATATTCTTGTAATGTTTTTAAAACTGAGACATTTTAAACACAATTGGTTAAATAACTGTTCTTTATACTTCAAATCTCTCTCCATCATTTTTTCTCTCATGTAGTTTTGGAGAGGGCACAGGCACTTTGGGGATCATGGTGAAAAGAGGTTGTGTTAGAAATACATTTAGTTTGGCTGTGGAGTAATGTGTGAAATTTTGGTTCTCACTTATTGTCATCTATAATTATAGCTAGGATTACTGGCATAAGAATGGCTTCCAAGTATACTCCTACAGCTCACTGTGCTAACTTACCTTGCATTATGACAGGAAAGTGTAAGGTCATGTTATGTTATGAATGTGTGCTGCAGTGAACAGCCAGAAACATAAGGGTAGTGGGGAATCTAGATTGAAATATACATAGCTAGAAGGTGGTTTTCACATATGCCCAGTTTGCCAATGTCTACCTTTTTATTGGTGTCGTTAGACACTTAATTTAATTATTGATACGGCTGGATTAAAATCTATCACATTGAGAGTTGTTTTTTATTGTTCTCTGTTATAGTTTCTTTTCTTTCTGCCTGCTATTGAATTATTTATTTCATTTGCTTCCACTATTGGCTTATTATTTAAATTCTTTAAGAAAAATGGAATGTTTCTCCCAGCTTTACGTTATGCATTTTTAATTTATCACAGCCTACCCAAATAATATTTAGAGACTGAATTAGTCCATTTTGCATCGCTGTAAAGGAATACCTGAGGCTGGGGAATTTATAAAGAAAAAAGGTTGATTTGGCTAATCATTCTACAGCCTGCACAAGAAGCATGGCACCAGCATCTGCTTCTGGTTAGGACTTTAGGAAGCTTTTACTCATAGCAAAAGGCAAGGGGAAGGGCAGTGGCATGTCGAGAGGGGGAGCGAGAGAGATGCCAAGCTCTTTAAGACAACCAGCTCTCATGTGAACTAATAGAGTGAGAACTCATTCATTACCATGGGGAGGGGACCAAGACATTCATGAGGGATCTGCTCCTATGACCCAAACACCTCCTACCAGGCTCTACCTCCGACATTGGGGGTTACATTGCAACATGGGATTTGAAAAGGACAAACATCCAAACTATATCAGAGCTCCATATTTACTATAAGAGCCATAAAAATGTATACTTAAATTTTTCTCTCTCCTCTTTTGTGCTATTGTTACATAGTTTACTTCTACATATATTATAAACATACAATGTATTGTTACTATTTTTCTTGTATACAGTAAATTACACTTTGGAGTTACTAAAGTAAAAAAATACATTATAGTTACCTTCATTTAAACTATATGCAGTTTTTCATTGTTTTGTCTATGTATGTATATCCAAGTTATTGTCTGGTATCATATTCTTATGCCTGGAGAACCTGCTTTAACCTCTTTTTTTGTTGTAATGAATTGATCCTTTAACCACTCTTTTGGTCTATAATAAATTCTCTCAGCCTTTTTTTTCTGGTTTGCAAAAGCATGTTTTCCCTTTATTTTGAAAAATATTTTCACTTGATATAGAATTTGAGTTGATGGTGATTTTCTTTGATTACTTTAGAGACGTCATTGCATTGTTTTCTTAGTTGCACAGCAGCTGATGACATAGTGAATCTAATTATTTTCTTTCTTCTTGTATATAATGTGTTTTTTCAACTCTGGCTGCCTTCAAGATTTTCTCTTAATCATGGGTTTAAGCCTTTTAACTAGGATGTTTCTAAGTCTGTTATTCTTTATTTTGTTTTGGGTTCTCTAGGACTTTTAGGGTATTATGACTTGATTTTCAGAAACCTCTATGACACCACTTAAATATTTATTCTGCCCATTTCTTTCTCTCTTATTCTGTGATATCACTACTCAGATGTTAGACCATTTGATACTGTTCCACAATTATAGGATATTTTATTATTTTATTCTTTTTTTCTCTTTGAATAATAATTTGGGTAATTTTTGTTGACACCTTCTAATTCATTCATTCATTCCTCAGCTAGATGAAGTCTACCTAAAAAACTGTTTAAGGCATACATCATCTCTATTACCATGTTTTTTTTAGGTCTAGTATTTCAATTTGATTGTTTTATATAGTTTCAATCTTTTTGTTGAAATTCTACCTCTATTCATTTATGTTGCCCTCCTTTTCCACTTGAGCCTTTAATATATTTAACAATAGTTAATTTTAAATCTCTATTTTATATTACCAATATGTAGCTCATCTCTGAAGCTGGTTTTGTTGATTGTTTTTAGAAAATGTTAGTTTTTTCTGGTGTCATCATTTTTAATTGATTATTTAATATCGTGTGTACAATACAGATGGTAGAGTATATATTTTAAATGAATTTTCCTCTATTTCTATTAGGCTTGTATTGTGTAGCATCTAGTCAATCTTCTCAAGAGTTGCACTGGGCTTGGCATTTGTTGTTGCTTGATACTGGGTATGGAAGAAGGGTTTAACTACAAAGATCATGAGAGAAATTTTTGAACTGATAGAAAATATTCTGTATCTTAATCTTCATGGCAACTACACAATAGTATGCATTTGTCAAAACTCATGAAGCTGTACACTAAAATTTTTGAATTTTATTATGCACAAATTATACTTCAGTAAGCATTTTTTAAAGTACCATCTATGTACCTAGACCTTGAAAAACACTACTAAGTGTTACAAAAAGTGTAAAAAATAAAATCTAGAAAGTTCTCAAATCAACACCCAACATCACAACTAAATGAATTAGAGAAACCAAACAAATTCAAAAGCTAGCAGAAGACACGAAATAACTAAGATCAGAGTAGAACTGAAGGAGATAAAACACGAAAACCCCTTCAAAAAATCAATGAATCCAGGAGCGGGTTTTTTTTTTAAGAAATTAATAAAATAGACCAACTGGCTAGACTAATAAAGAAGAGAAGACACAATAAAAAATAGTAAAGGGGCTATCAGCAATGACCCCACAGAAATACAAAAAATCATCAGAGAATACGATAAACAATTATACACAAATAAACTAGAAAATCTAGAAGAAATGGATAAATTCTTGGACACATACACCCTCCCAAGACTAAACCAGGAAGAAGTCGAATCCTGAATAGACCAATAACAAGTCCTGAAATTGAGGCAGTAATAAATAGCCTACCAACAACAACAAAAAAAGCCCAGGTTTAGACGGATTTACAGCTAAATTCTAACAGAGGTACAAAGAAGAGCTGGCACCATTCCTTCTGAAATTGTTTCAAACAGTTGAAAAGAAGGGACTTCTCCCTAACTCATTTTATGAGGCCAGCATCATCCTGATACCAAAACCTGGCAGAGATACAACAAAAAAAAGAAAACTTCAGACTAATATCTTTGGTGAACATTGATGCAAAAATCCTCAATAAAATACGGGCAAACCAAATCCAGCAACACATCAAAAAGCTTATCCACCAGGGTCAAGTCGGCTTCATCCCTGGTATGCAAGGCTGGTTTAACATATGCAAATCAATGAACATAATTCATCACATAAACAGAACTAAAGGCAAATACCACATGATTATCTCAATAGATGCAGAAAAAGCCTTCAATAAAATTCAACATCTCTTTATGTTAAAAACTCTCAATAAATTAGGTATGGATGGAACAAATCTCAAAATAATAAGAGACATTTATGACAAACCCACAGCTAATAGCATACTGAATGGGCAAAAACTGGAAACACTCTCCTTGAAAAATGGCACAAGACAAATGCCCTCTCACCACTCCTATTCAACTTAGTATTGGAAGTTCTGGCCAGGGCAATCAGGCAAGAGAAAGAAAGGAAGCAAATTCAAATAGGAAGAGAGGAAGGCAAACTGTCACTATTTGCAGACGACATGATCCTATATCTAGAAAACCACAGTGTCTCAGCCCAAAAGCTCCTTAAGCTGATGAGCAACTTCATCAAAGTCTCAGGACACAAAATCAATGTGCAAAAATAACAAGCATTCCTATACATCAACAATAGACAAGCAGAGAGCCAAAATGACAACTCCCATTAACAATGGCTACAAAGAGAATAAAATACCTAAGAATACAGCTAAAAAGGGATGTGAAGGACTTCTTCAAGGAGAACTGCAAACTACTGCTCGAGGAAAACAGAGAGGACACAAACAAATAGAAAAACAGTCCATGCTCATGAATAGGAAGAATCACTGTTGTGAAAATGGTCATACTGCTCAAGGTAATTTATGGATTCAATGCTATTGCCATTAAACTACCATTGACATTTTTCACAGAATCAGAAAAAACTACTTTAAAATTGATATGGAACCAAAAAAGAGCCTGTATAGCCAAGACAATCCTAAGCAAAAAACAAAACAAAACAAAAAAACAAAGCTGGAGGCATCACACTACCCAACTTCAAACTATACTACAAGGTTAATGGTAACCAAAACAACATGGTACTAGTACAAAAACAGATACATAGACCAATGGAACAGAATAGAGATCTCAGAAATAAGACCGCACATCTACAACCAACTGATCTTTGACAAACCTGATAAAACCAAGTAATGGGGAAAGGATTCCCTATTGAATAAATAGTACTGAGAAAACTGGGTAGCCATATGCAGAAAATTGAAACTGGTCCCCTTCCTTACACCTTATACAAAAATTAACTCAAGATGGATTAAAGACTTAAATGTAAAACTTGAAACTATAAAAACCCTAAAAGATAATCTAGGTAATACCATCCAGGACATAGGCACAAACAAAAATATAATGACAGACACCAAAATCAATCACAACCAAAGCAAAAATTGACAAATGGGACCTAATTAAACTAAACAGCTTCTGCACAGCAAAAGAAACTACCACCAGAGTGAACAGACAACCTACAGAATGGGAGAAAAATTTTGCAACCTATCCATCTGACAAAAGTCTAATATCCAGAGTCTTCAAGGAACTTAAATTTACAATAAAAAAAAACCCCATCAAAAATAGTGCAAAGGATATGAACAGACACTTCTCAAAAGAAGACGTTTATTCGGCCAACAAACATACAAAAAAAAGCTTAACATCACTGATTATTAAGGAAATGCAAATCAAAACCACAATGAGATATCATATCACACAAGTCAGAATGGCTATTACTAAAAACTCAAAAAATATCAGATGCTGGTGAGGCTGTGGAGAAAAAGGAACACTTTTACACTGTTGGTGGGAATGTAAATTAGTTCCACCATTGTGGAAGACAGTGTGGCAATTCCTCAACGACCTAGAGTCAGAAATACCATTTGACCCAGCAATCCCATTACTGGGTATGTACCCAAAGGAGTATAAATTATTCTGTTTTAAAGACATATGCACGTGTATGTTCATTGCAGCACTATTCACAATAGCAAAGATATGGAATCAACCTGCATGTCCATCAGTGATAGACCAGATAATGAAAATGTGGTACATATACACCACAGAATATTATGTAGCCATAAAAAAGAATGAGATCATATCTTTTGCAGGGACATGGATAGAGCTGGAGGCCATTATCCTTTGCAAACTAACACAGGAACAGAAAACAAAATACCACGTGTTCTAACTTATAAGTGGGAGCTAAATGATGAAAACACATGGACACAGAGGGGAACAACACACACTAGGGCTTTTTGGAGGATGGAAGGTGGGAGGAGGGAGAGGATCAGGAAAAATAACTAATAGATTCCAGGAATAATACCTGGGGAATGTAATAATCTGTACAACAAACTCTCATGACACACTTTACTTATGTAACAAACCTACACATTTTGCCACGTACCTCTGAACTCAAAAGTTTAAAAAAATCTATATTTATTCACATGCTTTTATCCACATGTGCAAACATATTTGGCACATAAGCATTCCAACATGACGACCACCACACCTAACATGAAGCCCACATAGATTGCTCTCTTCTATTTTTATGACTTATTTTCTACTTCAAGAAAGGCATTACCATTTCTGTTATGCTAATTTTATATGTGTGTATGTATCTATCTTTCTTTCTATGGCTATATAATATTTTGAAGTATTAAACAATATATAATGCTATTGCCCCAAAACATGATTTTAATACAGTATTTTCTAGCCAAGGAAACTAAAGCACTCCACCTTCATTGCCCCAGGAAAATGAAGCTACAACAAAAATGTTCTTGAAAGGTATGTTAGTTTATAAAAAAAATTTTTTTCAAGTTTTAATTACTAGAATTTTTGCAGTTCGACTCTCTAACCTATGAGAGTTTGGAAATAACATTTATACCACAAATAAAAAAATTTTCAAACAATGCATAAAAAATACTATACTCCCTTAGACTTAATGAAGATTCCACAAAAACAAGAAATGAAGGTAGGAGGAGAGTTGCAAAAGGAAAGAGTGGAAAAATAGAATGTTGAAAGGCAAGCTACAGACTTACAAGTTTGTGTAATATCTGGATCCAAGAATCCATGAGTAGACGATTTCTGTGTTCTCCCTATTGGAACCCTGAGAAGCAGCACGAGAACAGCAGATAAGAAATAGCTGCATGATAAGACAGTACCTGGGGATAGCTCCACTGAGTTTTCTTCAGATCCAAATTGGAAAGATAAAGAAGCCAGCTTTTACCATGCTTGAAGATAGCTGAAAGAAAGAAAGAGTAAGTTGACAGACCTGATGGGGTCATGCAGTTGTAATTAGGGAATGCTACAGAGGAAAGTTGTGTGGAGCATATGGGAATGAGGACATCTTGACACATGTCAATGTGGAACAATAATGACAGCCAAGAACTAGAGACTGGATGATCTGAGGATGCAGTGTGAAAAGATGCCATCTTGGAACCAGACTTCATGATGTTACATAAGCTTCCTGGAACGTAGGTGTTACTAGGAAGAGGCGGAAAAAGTTCTGAATTAACTGATGTTAAGCAATAAATTAATCGGTTTAGCTAGAATTGACTGAGATTATATTTTATATTCTCAACAGAATGAAAACTCAGAATATAGATCACTGTGAGCCACAAATTAAATCCATTTTTGCATACCTTAGCTCTGTGGCTTAAGAAATGTGTATTCTTTCCCAGTATTTGGAGGGATATGTTTACAGAGGGAGAGTAGCAGCATAGAGCTCACACTGATTTTCATTGGTGAGTGTGGCATCCCCTTAAGAATGTCTATGACCAAAATTAGAAGAGCTGAGTAAATTTGGAGCCGTGTTCCTTCAACCAGCTAAGCTCAGTATAGTATGTTTCACTGAAATGTATTTATTCACTCCAAAATATTTATTAAATGCATACTATGTACCAGCACTGTTTTAGAAGTTCAGCATATGCCATGAGCAAACAGACAAGGAAGGTTCCTGCCATCATGAAACATGTATTTCAGCTGAGGCAGTGTACTAAAACTGCTAATTGATTACCATATCTATCTTTTCTTCTTTCTGTAATATAGCTAGACTGCATTTTCCAGTCTCTCTTGAATTTATAGGAACATGTGACTGAGTTCTAGCAAAGGAAGTATAAATAAAAGTAAAGTGTGATAATTTCAGGTCTGGTTCATAACACCGTTCATATGTGTTTTTGCCTCATGCTCTTTCTCCTCTTGCTAGCTTGATGCAGAAGACAATGAGGCTCTACGGGAGTACAAATCCATAAGATGGAAGGTGCTATTGAATAGAGATGAGCCAACAGTGAAATCTAAACAGCCACCTGGAACTGTTAGGTGAACAATAAATAAAATTCCATCTATTGAGCTATCCCAAGTTTGGGTCTATTTTTATCAGTTAGCCTACTCTTAACTACCATGGGGAGAGAGACAATAAACAACAAAAAGGAAATATATAATGTAGAATGTCAACATGCGCTTCAAAAAAATAAAGCAGACCAAGGGGAGGGTGGCTAGGAAAGACCTCTATGAGAAAGTGGCATTCGATGAGAAACCTCAATTAAATGAAGGAGTCAATCATGCAAATATCTGGAAAGAGTGTTTCAGGAAGAGTGAACTAGGAAATGCAAAGACCCCAAGAAAAACAAATCAAGCAAAGGAAAGAATATTAGAAAAGGAAGACAGATATATGGGAACTAGATTATGTAGTTTCACAAGCGGTGGTAAGGCACTTGGATTTTATTGTAAATATAGTGGCAAGCCATAAATAATGACACTCTCTAATTAACATTCTTTTTTTTTTTTTTGCAAATAATACTTTACTGAAAAATTACCTAGAGTAAAATGCATAAAGCTTAAGTGTATAGCTCAGTGAATTTTTACAACTAAAGTAGTCCCCCCTTATTCTTGCGGATACGTTCCAAGATCCCTAGTGGATGCCTGAAACCTTGAATAGTACCGAACTCTGCAGGGGCCCTCAATCCCTGGGCTGCCAATCAGTACAGGTCTGTGGCCTGGTAGGAGGGAGGCCGCAGAGCAAGAAGTGAGCATCCAGCAAGCTTTACCTCCTGAGCTCCACTCCCTGTCCGGTCAGCTGTGGCATTCAATTTTCATAGGCGTGCGAACCCTATTGTGAACTGTGCATGGGAAGGATCTAGGTTGGGTGCTCCTTATGAGAATCTAGCTAATGCCTGATTATTTGAGGTGAAACAGATTCATGTCAAAACCATCCCTGCCCGCCACCCCCATGGAAAAACTGTCTTCCATGAAACCCATCCCTGGTGCCAAAAAGGCGAAAAGTTTGGGGACCACTGCTATATAGTACATACTATGTTTTCTCAATCTGATAACTGAGATAGCTACTGACTACTAGACAGGTAGTGTATACAGCGTGCATATACTGGATAAAGGGATGATTCACATCCCAGGATGGCATGAGATTTCATCACACTACACAGAAGGGAGGACAATTTAAAACTTACGAATTGTTTATTTCTGGGATTTTCTATTTAGTATTTTCAAGACTGAGGTTGATCTCTGGTAATTGAAACCAAGGAAAGCAAAACTATAGATAAAGGGGGACCGCTGTATATCTACCTATCACCCAGCTCAAAATAAATAACATTCCCATTACCCCCAGAAATTTCCCTCACAACTATATCCAGTCAATCACCTCACCCCGCCACCCTCCACCACCCTACAGGGACATGTTATTCCAATGTCTATCACCAAAGATTGAATTCGAATGTCAACATGGTACGCTGACAACCTTCACGATATACATTGTGTTCATGTTTTTACACAGCTGAACAAAATGATAATGTGCAGATTGGGTGGGAGGTAAAATTTTGGACATTAAGGAGAAAGCACTGCGAAAGAGGTATCTGAAATTCAGCAGCAGCCTGACAAGCAGATGGTAGGAGCCTTGAAGAATTTGAACACCTTCTTTCTCTAATTTGCTTCTATGAGCAACCTCTTTTCTCTCCCTCTGAGTTCTGCAATCTTTGACTCTTTGTTTCCTGGTAAATTGATTTCAAATGTATGACTCAGATTGGATGCTGTGCTGTTTAATTTGATGTTTTGAGTTTTCCAAAAGAAAGGCACTTGATTTTGCTCTGTGAGGAAATCAACAGAAGTACAAGCATTAGAAATACCATTTGATTAAATCAGATAGGATTTTGTAAATGACAAGACCCATCTTCAAGTTTTGAAAATGATAATTTCCTAGAAATAATAGCAACAATAATAACTACTTATTTTCTCCTTAGGATTAACTTTAGAAAACTAATATAAATATCAGAGAAAGCATGATTCATTTGATTTACTCTCAGGTATATTAGTGGGACAATTTAGAGACATGCCTTTGGGGATATTGTTGCAACTTAGTATTCCAAAGGACCTTTGAATCACCAAAGCTAACTTTTCAGGACCAGTTGGTAGGGAATTGCTGGCTTGCATAATATCTCTTTCAAACCTGATTTCCGCTCACTGGAAGAACAGATGAAGTAGCTCTTAGTAAGGAGTGGTAATTATTAATTCAGTTATTTGGATATGCCTTGACATACATGAAGAAACATGAGAAAATTAAATAAATACACTATTTAGCATCTCTGTGGCAAGGTTTTTACCAGCTTTTTGGTTCAGTGACTGTGAAAATATTGTCTTACCCTTAATCAAAAAGGAAATTAATTTCAAACAAAGTTTCCATTTTGGGTCAGAATGAAAAGGAAAAAACATGTAGGTAGCTGCTTGTGTGGAACACAGTGTGCTAAGTGTCATCTTCCTTTTCAGCTTGGAAGCAACAGTTCATGCATGGTAATTGCAGACATATCTTACTGAACAGGACTAACAGATGAACACATTATTAGCAAAAGGAGGGTGGTCACTTTAGAATCAGCTCATACAATAATCTCTTAATTTTCCAGCATCCATTTAACATGTATTTGCTAGGAAACAGCACCTACCAAACATTAAGAAATTTGAAGTGAACTATGGAAAATCCTGATATTACAGTTTATGCTTTATTTTTATTTTGGTATGAAATAACTGAAACATTACTTACAATTTGTGAAAAAAATTTCTAAAAAGAGCACAGTGTACCTAACACACAGCACACAAAATATCATATTCTGAATACCTTTGATGTCTTCTGTGTACCCCTCCTTGATCTTATTCATCTTCTTCCCTCCCTGCCAGGGGTAACCACTGTCTTAAATTTTGTTCATTATTCCTTTGCTTTTTGCTAAATATTACCACTTGGGTATGTGCCCCAAAATATTATACTCTTTAATTTTGGACGTATGCAAATTATATAAATAGCATCAGACTATTATTTTGCAATCGTTTTGTTCATTCAACTTGGTGAGATTCATCCATATTGAGATAGCTATAGCTCTTTCAATTTCATTATTGTATGGTTTTCCATTGTATGAATACAAAATGATTTATGAGTTTTGTTCCTCATGTAAATTTGGTTTCCAGTGTTTTGTTTTCCAACATCACTGCTATCTGCATTCTTCTACATGTCATGTTGCCTACTTATGTGAGTTTCTCTAACATCTATATCTATAGATGAAATTGCTGCATCAAATGATATGTGTATCATCAACTTTACTAGATAATACCAAATATTTTTTTCCAAAATGATTGTGATAATTTATACTCCTACCAGGAGTACATGGGAGTTCTAGAAGTCTTACATTCTCACAAATCGGCAATGTCCAATTTATAATATTTGCCTATCTAGTGGGTGTGAGATGAAATGATTTTAATATATATTTTCCATGTTATTTAACAAGGGTATGCTTCTAGCCATAGATTTTTTATTGGCTATTACTTTTTCCTCATTCTGTGAAATAGCTAATTATATCTTTTGTCCTTTTCTATTAGGTTTTTAAAAATCAATTTGTAGAAAGTATTTATATATAATTGATAATGTGCTTTCCAGTTACATGTACTGCACTATTTTCTCCTATTTCATAGATTTTTTTGCCATTTATGCTATTTTTAATAAATAGTAGCTCTTAATTTTAATGTAGTTAAATTTTATAATCTCTTTCATTTTAGTTTTCATTGTTTGTGGCTTCTGTAAGAAATATTTTTCTACCCCAAGCTCATAATATTAACATTTTATATAACTTCCTCTATTTTTAAAATTTTTGACATTGGATTTAAGTATGTAACCTACTGGTAATTATTTGTGAATTTTATACTTATACTTTGGTCCTGTATATAATTACTAAGTTATGTGTTTGTGTGTATGTGTGCATGCGTGCATGTATTTTCTTTTTTCCTCCATCAATGTGCCTGAGGTTTCTTAATATTGTTAGTATGTTCAAAAATTTGGCCTTGTTGATTATCTTTATTAAATTTTTATATGATTAATTCCTGATTTTACCTTTGTTATTTAACTACTTTTGTTTTATTTGAATCTATTACATTGCTCTTTTTCTAACTTCTTAAATTATATACTTAGATAATTTTAACCTCTCTTTTATATTTATATATCCATCTCTATATATTGCTGAAGCTGCATATCCCAAGTTTTGATATTTAGCATTTTCTGTGGACAATCTAAAATATTTTGACTTTCATCATTATTTCAACCTGATCCAACTAATTATTTAGAAGCTGATGTGGTTTGGTTGTGTCCCCACCAAAATCTTATCTTGAATTGTAGTTCCCATAATCCCCACACGTCGTGGGAGGGACCCAGTGGGAAGTGATGAATCACGGGGGCAGTTACCTCCATGTTGTACTTGTGATAGTGAGTTCTCACAAGATCTGATGGTTTTGTAAGGGGCTTTTCCCTCTTTTGCTCGACACTTCCCTCTCCTGCCACCACGTGAAGAAAGACGTGTTTGCTTCCCCTTCCACCATGATTGTAAGTTTCCTGAGGCCTCCCCAGCCCTGAGGAATTGTGAGTCAAACCTCTTTCCTTTATAAATTACCCAATCTTGGGCAGTTCTTCATAGCAGCATGAGAGCAGACTAATACAGAAGTGTACTTCTTAATTCGCAAATGTTTTTCAGTTATTATTGATTTGGAGCTTAATATTTTTATTTTAGAATATGCTCTATTATTTTGGTTCTTTGAACTTTGGTAGGATTTGCTCTCTAAAGCTGTATATGTCCAATTTTCATAAATGTTATGAACTTATTTGAAAAAATATGCATTCCACAGTTGTACTAAATACTCTGTAGGCATTCGTTAAGTCAATTATTCATTTCTTTCAAATTTTCAAGTTTCTATCAAATTTTTGGTTACTTGTTTTATTAATTACTTAGACATGATGAATTTTCCTGTTATGGTTGTGGAGGATTCTTGCTATGGTTGTGGAGTATTCTATTTCTCCCTGGATTTTGTCAATTTTTGCTTTATATGTTTTGAAGTTTTACTACTTGCAATATACAAATGTAACCGTATTATATCTTTCCAGTGAATTGAAGCATTTATTATTATAAAATCACCTATTTACTTCTAGTAATGATTTTTATCTTAAAGCCTACTTCATCAGACATTTTTTAGCTACACCAAGTTTCTTATGGGGGTGATAGATACTCCTTTATTTTTTTTATAGGAGATCATTATATGCTACCTAAATATTAATTCTTTTTCTAACATTTAGTAGGTTTTTAACCCCAACTTTTACATTGCCTTTTAATTAGTATTATGATATCTTTATAAAATATTTACTTTGTATGATTAATATCTACTTTCTTTTTGATGTCTTATATTGGTTGTATGCACATAAAGCATTTCTCAATCTGGAAGTAACATAGGTATTATCATATAGGCTTTTCCAATGTTTTAAAAGTTATACATAAAACCTCTTATGTTCACCTGGAATACGTTTTATTTTGTAATGAGCAATCGTTTTTTTACTCATAGTTAACACATTTTATTATGTGTTATATCGTTCTTTGCCATTGATTTATCATTTTAATGTTTCATTTTGAAATAATTTTATATTTACAAAATCACTTGCAAAACCGTACACATATTTTCTCCCATTTTGTCTCTTCACTTTGTTGATAGTTTTCTTTGCTGTGCAGAAGCTTTTTAACTTAATGTGATCTCATTTGTCCATTTTGCTTTGTTGCCTGTGCTTGTGGGGTATTGCTCAAGAAATTTTTGTCCAGATCAATGTCCTGAAGATTTTCCTTAATGTTTTCTTGTAGTAGTTTTATAGTTTCAGGTCTTACATTTAAATCTTTAATCCATTTTGATTTCATGTTTTTCATATGGCAACACAGAGTTCCTGTAAACCCATTCCCTACCTCTCTCAAATATTAAAATCTCATATAACTAGTATAATTAATAATACCAGGATATTATTGATACCTGGCTCTCATTATTGAAAATATATTTACTTATTTGCTCAATCCTATTATATGCAAGTTCCAGAATTGCTAACTCATACCTTCATGAAAAACAAATTTATAAGCCAGCATATAATATTCATTTACAGTTCTTTTTTCTCCCAGCCTTAATATGTAATATCAAAAAACCATTTTCCTTATTTTCTTCCTTGACCCTGTCAATGTCACTATGTTATTAATTTGAAATGATGTTAGGCTCACTTATTTCTGTTTGTATTCTATTTCCCCCCTCCTCTGCATTCTCATTTAGTCTGTCTATCTATGTATCTACCTACCTATTTATTTATTGGTTGCATAAAATTTTACCATGGTTCTAAAGGTCAAAACTATTTTTAAAAATACTCATAGAAGCTTCATCACTTTTATTGTTTCATCACTTTTATTCGCATTACTTTGCTTTTCCCATCCCATTTTCCCCCATCTCCTATACATAACTAATCTCATTAGTTTCTTGTTCTTTCTTCTTGTTTTTGTTTTTGCAAAAAAAAAAAAAAAAAAAAAAAACTTGTACATCTTATAGTCCCTTCCTTTTAACATGAAAGGTAGTGCACTATAGATATATACTCTTTCACCTTTGCTTTTTTTCATTTAATATAGACTAGAAATCACTCCATACCAGTTTACAGATCTTTCTCATCACTGAATTTTTAAATTTTTAAATTTGTAAATTTTCTGGGTACAGAGTAAATGTACATATTTATGAGGTATCTGAGATGCTTTGATAGAGGCATGCAATGTGTAATAATCACATCATGGAAAATGGGGTATCCATCCCCTCAAGCATTTGTCTTTTATGTTACAAGCAATCCAATTATATTCTTTTAGTTATTTTTAAATGTACAATTAAATTATTATTGACTATAGTTACCCTGTGGTGCTATCAAATAGTAGGTCATATTCATTCTTTCTATTTTTCCTCATCATTTCTTAAACCTGCATAATATTTCAGTTTGTGCATATACCATGGCTTATTCAACCACTCTCCTATATATGGACATTTAGTTTCTAATATTTTGCAACTGCAAGCAATGCTGCAATGTATAATTTGTACATATGTATTTTCATATTGTCAGAAGTGCATCTTCAGGGTAAAATCTAGAATTGTAATTACTGAGTCAAAGGTAAATGTATATGTAGTCTTATTAATGTTGCTAAATTGACCTCCAGAAGGGTTGTGCCAATTTGCATCCCTATTATTAATACATTGAGATTGGCTGTTTCTCACAGGCTCACCAATAGACTGCGGTGTCATGCTGTTTAATTTTTACTAATCTTTTAGGTGAAAAATAATATCTTAGTGCTGTTTTATTTTGCATTTCCTTAGTGAGTTTGAATATCTTTTTATACATTTTAGAGCAAGTTTTATATATTTTTGGTAAATTGTCAGTTGATATTCTTTCTCAACGTGACAACTTCATAATTTATGACGATTTTTGCTTGGCTTTTTTTCAATGTTATGTAGTCAAATTTATCAATCCCTTCATTCACTTCCCCTGAATTTTAAGACATACTTGCAATAACTTTCCCTGTGCCAAGGTTAAAGAAGAATTTATTGACTTTTTTAGTATTTGTAGGGTCTCATTTTCTATATTTAGACCTCTGATCGATTTAAAATTTATTGATATGGTGAGAAGTATGAATCTAATTCTATCTTCTTCTTTTTATTTATTTTTTAGACAGAGTCCCATTTGTCACCCAGGATGGAGTTCAATAACATGATCTCAGCTCACTGCAACCTCCACCTCCGAGGCTCAACCGATTCTTGTGCCTCACCCTCCCGAGTAGCTGGGATTACAGGCCTGCACTATCACACTCAGATAACTTTTGTATTTTTAGTAGAGACAGGGTTTCACCATGTTGCCCAGGCTGGTCTCAAACTCCTGACCTCAAGTGATCAGCCCACCTCAACCTCCCTATATGTTGGGATTACAGGCGTGAACCACCATGCCTGGCCTCTAATTCTACCTTATTGCAAATTGTTACTAATATGTTCTAGAGCAATTTATTAAAGTCTATATTTTCCAATTGATGTGAGATGCTACTTTTATCAAATACATTTCTGTATGTAGTTTGATCTACTTCTGGACATTGTATTCTCTCTCATTGGTCTATTTGTCTATTAATATGCCACACTGTTTTAGTTATAAAAATTTCATAAGTTTTAATGTCTGTTAAGGCTAGCTTCACCACTTAATTTTCTTCAATGATTTCCTACCTATTTTGCATGTTTGCTTTTGTGTATGAATTTTATTGAGGTTGAATAACTCCATAAAACAGCTTGTTCCCTATCCAAGAATAAAAAAGTTTTGTCATTTATTCTACTCTACTTTTCTATCTTTGATAAATGTTTAAAATTTCCTTTACATATATTTGTTTCTTATTGTTTATTCCGAAGTTTTAGTCTGCTTTGTTGCTGTCTTAACTGAATACTTTCCTATCATCATTCCTATAACTGATTATTGTTTACCTATGTGAAGTATATTGATTTCTGTATGCTAATTTTATATCCTGTTAATAGCGCATTGTTCGTGGTTTGAGTTACTTTCATCATTGATTTTCTTTTTCGTATACTATCATATCGTCTGCAAATAGAAATAGTTTTGGTTTCTCCCTATGAATTCCTCTGCCTTAAAGTGATTCATATTACCTATTTGCATTGCCAAACACAACTAGTGCAATGTTGAATATAAGTGTCAATAGTGAGCATCATTGTTTCTTAACTGAGACATAAATAATTCACATAGTTAGTTAATAAAAAGTATATCCAGAACTTGGACCCAGTATTCCGGCTCTAAAATCTGTGTTATTGATTAGCATACTATTCATTTGTCATAATCTGAATTATTTTAGCTACTATGTCTTCTTCTCACATTTGTATTTCATAATTATTCTACCAAAACAACATTATTTAATTATATTGGCTTTGTAAAAATTATTTATGTCTTTTAGGACAAGTCTCCTTCTCAATAGCACTTTTACAAAGATCACTTGGATACTTTTACTCATTTCTTGTAGTTAACACATGCACGTGATGAGCAATCTAAACATTACAAAGCTATATGTAGAGGAAAGAGAAAGGATCCTGCTCAACTTCCTCTCCCAGCTCACCAGTAACCATTGTTAGCAGGCTCTTTGTTATTCTACTTATGAGAAAGTTAGATCCTTAAGAGTATAATAATTCTACTTCCAAAGTAACAAAGTAGCGTTTAAATTACAGGCTCCTTCCAGGAATGTGAGTGATATTTGTAGCTTTGAAATTATAATATGCTTTTCTTTCGGATATATATTCTAATAGGCACCATTTTCCAAAATAGACCAGTTTGAAGTTTTGATAATGCAAACAGTGTAGTTTTAATACTATTTGTAGGACACCTCAAAAATCAGCACATATACAGAATACATTTCATAAACTAGAAAACAATTTGACTAAGGGCAAAATATCTACAAACAACGATAGTTTTGATATATTTGGCGAACAGAGTCAACAGAATGTGCTGAAGGACAATGTGTGGGGTGTAAAAGAAAGAAAAATAAAGAATCACACCAGGATATAGATCTGACTAACTGGAATCATGGGGATAGCATTTGCCTAGATGTGGAACACTACAGAAGGTGCTCCTTTTGAGGGGTAGATTGGGTGGGTGTTCACTTCTTCTGCTTAATACCAAAAGGCAGATGTCCAGAATATAATTGAATGAAAGAACCTAAAGTTGCGTTAGTGATCTGAGCTGGAGATGTACTGAACAGATGACATTTAAAGTGAGATGACTGAGAGACTTGAATATAGACAGAGAAGATAAGGTGGCAAACAACTGAGCTCTGCAGTATTCCAATGTGAGAATTCAAGAAGAGGGTTGAGCAAAGGGAACTGTGAAGTAGCAGCTAGTGGGGGGGAAAAAAACCCCAAAAAAAACAAAAACAAACAACAACAAAAAACAAAAAAAAACTTGTAGAGTATATCTGGGACGTTATAGAAAAAGAACGTTTTTCCTGTAAATAGGAAAAAGTTACCAAACATGTTAAATGCTT